>NC_000006.12:43393333-43696363 GCF_000001405.40 Homo sapiens | reverse complement strand
GGCGCTGCATAGCCTAATGCTCCAGCATAGAAATGAATCAGGTTTGCTTTATAATTAATCGGTTATACAGTACATTTAAGTTTTATATACTTTTCCTGGATGTGTGTCTTATTTCACAATGAAAAAGTTAAAATTTTAAATTAAAACAAAAGAGAGAGAGCAAGTAAATTCCAGGGCAACCATCGAGTTTACAAAATGTTTCTTTGTCAGACAAGAGCTTTCACCCCTGGAGTGTTGACTAGTGCACGTCATCGTTTGTTTATAAAAGGCACGTAGTAGCTCCTCAATTGATACTCACTGGCAAAATAAATGATGAACAAATGTGTGGATAGAATGAATAACTTGGGCAGAGTAAAAGTCCTTGTGAAAAGACAAACAGCACTGAAAAAGCAATGGAAAATGTTGAATTAGCAGAGACTCTAGACACACCCCTATTGTTTCCAGGCCTATTGCGTCAAGCAGGACACACCTGTAGAGCAGCCACCACCAGGCAAGGGGTTCTTTGTCCAAGGACTCCCCACCCCACCCCCGCTCATACCTGTTTGGGAGGCAGGAGCTCTAACAGGAGGGAACTGCCCTTTTTAAAGGTCATAGGAAACAGAGGTGTGTCACCAGGCCAGCCCAAAGCGGCCAGGCCCAGGCCGTTCCCATTGCAGTTCTCTCCCCAGCTTAAGGTGCTGTCCCTTCCTTCATCCAGACAGAGCCCTTGAGGCGGAGGAAGGCAGCAGCTGCAGATGAAACCAGACCCTTCTTGGGAGACTCAAGCCTCAGTTCTTGGCCTAGGCAGGGCAGGCCACATGTTGTTATGGTTGAGTCGACCAGCTGGGAATCAGCAGGGGGTTTGTAAGGAAACTGCATTAATTAGGAAAAAGCAAACATGACTGTCACTCCAGTCTGCCAGCCCCTTCCTCTGATTTCCCTTGCAATTCCCCCAGCCCCACGTGGTCTCCATCAGATCATCTCTCCCTTCACCTTCCCGCCCCTTTCCGTTGCCTCTGCTCCTTCATGGCTCACATCTGCACTGCTCTTGGCCCTGACCCCTCTTCCTGGGTGAGGTGGAAGGAAGGCTGGAAGAGCACAGCCATCCACAGCTGGGACCAGAACCTCCCCAGGCCTGAAGCCTCAGATGGGCTGACCTAACTCCTTCCTGGGATCTGGCCTGAGCCTCGCTTTCCTGTTAGCCAGCAGCACATCACTCGACCAGATCATCCCTGCTGCGAATTTAAGTTTTCCTTGGCAAAATGAACATTTCTGGGTTCATCTCCTGTGGGTTTCCCTGAACATCTTCATTGAGAAGGTTTACTTGGGATGTAAGTTTATCTCCAGAATTAAGACAGAGTCCAGGACAAGGTGTGGAGGAAGAAGGGCGGTCTCCTTGGGAAATGGGGTAGAACCAAGGGGGCTGGGCTTCTCCAAAGAGGAGGCGATAGAAGAAATAAAGAGAGGTTCAGAAATAAAGAGAGGTTCCTCAGACTCCCTTCTCTCATATATGTGTATACACTGTCATTGCTTCTCTTTAATTTCCAGGATTGCCACTGCAGCTGGAAATAGTTCTCATGCATGAGAATGACTCCGTCAACAACCCTAGAGACTTAGGCTCAGAAAAAGACCCTTACTTTGGGTGGCAGCTAACCATCTGCAGCTCCCAGACAAGGGCCCTGACCCCCTTTCATTCCACAGCACTGTTGTACTTACAAAAAGAATCCACAGCATACTCAACTAGGGAGAAGGGAATAAAAGACTCACTGATTGAATAGAACATACTGTTTTTGGAGTAGGAAGCTAGATATTAGAAAAAATTTTGGGCCAGGCGCAGTGGCTCACGCCTGTAATCCTAGCACTTTGGGAGGCCGAGGCGGGTGGATCACCTGAGGTCAGGAGTTCAAGAGCAGCCTGGCCAACATGGTGAAACCCTGTCTCTACTAAAAATACAAAAAATTAGGCAAGCTTGGTGGCGGGCACCTGTAATCCCAGCTACTCAGGAGGCTGAGGCTGAGGCAGGAGAATTGCTTGAACCTGGGAAGCAGAGGTTGCAGTAAGCCAAGATCGCACCACTGCACTCCAGCCTGGGCAACAGAGTGAGACTATTGTCTCAAAAAAAAAAAAAAAATGAAAGAAAATATTTTGAATTGAAAGCAAGCTAAAAGCGGCCAGGCACAGTGGCTCATGCCTGTAATCCCAGCATTTTGGGAGGCCAAGGCAGGCAGATCACCTGAGGTCAGGAGTTCGAGACCAGCCTGGCCAACATGGCGAAACCCCATCTCTACTACAAATACAAAAATTAGCCGGGCATGGTGGCAGGCACCTGTAATACCAGCTACTTGGGAGGCTGAGGCAGGAGAATCGCTTGAACCCAGGAGGCAGAGGTTGCAGTGAGCCGAGATTGCACCATTGCACTCCAGCCTGGGGGACAAGAGTGAGACTTCCTCTCAAAAAAAAAAAAAAAAGCCAAAGCTTAGCAATTGGAGATTGGAGATTGCACTTCCAGACAGTGAAATAGTACATAGCCATTAAATATAGTGCCAAAGTTTGCCTGTCGTCCCAGCTACTCAGGAGGCTGAGGCAGGAGGATTGTTTGAGCCCAGGGGGTTGAAGCTGCAGTGAGCCATGTTCAAGCCACTGCACTCTAGCCTGGGTGACAGAGCAAAACTCCATCTCTGAAAAAATAAACAAATGAAGATATATATATATATATATATATGTGTGTGTGTGTGTGTGTGTGTGTGTGTGTGTGTGTGTGTGTGTGTGTATGGTGCCGAATGACAGAAAAAGAGACCACTGGAACTAAATAGAGATTCCAGAAAACAGACCAGATGAAATGCAGTGGGGAAAGTGTGAAATTTTTAATTAGTCGGGCATGGTGGCAGGCACCTGTAATCCCAGCTGCTCGGGAGGCTGAGGCAGGAGAATCGTTTGAACCCAGGAGGTGGAGGTTGCAGTGAGTGGAAATCACACCATTGCACTCCAACCTGGGCAACAACAGCAAAACTTCGTCTCAAAAAAAAAAAAAAGGAAAAGTGTGAAAATTTTAAATGGTGCTAGGTCAGTTAGATATTGAAATTATACGGGAAAAATTAATCTTAATCCCAGTTTCAGACCATAACAAAACAATTCCAGATGACTCAAAGATCTAAATGTGAAAAGTAAACAATAAAGTTTTTAGAAAAAAAGACAGAAGAACATCTTCATGACCTTGAAGAGGACAAAAATTATTATTTATTTTTTACTTTTTGTAGAGACACCTTCTTACTCCATCACCCAGGCTGAAGTGCAGTGGCGTCATCATAGCTCACCGTAACCTCAAACACCTGGGCTCAAGTGACCCTCCCCATTTTAGCCTTCCAAGTAACCTGGACTGCATGCACGTACCCAGCTAATTTTTTTTTTTTTTAATTAGGTCTCACTCCCATTGCCCAGGCTGCTGGAGTGCAGCGGCACAATCATGGCTCACTGCAGCCTTGACTTCCCGGGCTCAGGTGATTCTCCCACCTCAGCCTTTTGAGTAGCTGAGACTACAGGCATGCACCACCGTGCCTGGCTAATTTTTCTGTGTATTTTCAGTAGAGATGGGGTTTCACCTGTTGCCCAGGCTGGTCTCAAACTTCTGGGCTCAAGCAATCGTCCTGCCTCAACTTCTCAAAGTGTTGAGATTACAGGCATGAGCCACCACGCCCAGCCAGAAAAAGAATTGAAAAGGAAACAAGAAGCATCAACCATAAAAGAAAAAAACTGATAAATTGCACTATATTAAAATTTTTTAAATACTCCTCATAAAAAAAAAAACTACAGGAGAATGAAAAGGCAACCCACAGAGAGGGAGATGACATTTGAAGTACATATATTCAAGAAAGGATAAGTATCCAGCATATATAAAGAACTACAAATCAATAAGAAAAAGACAGGCCAGGAGCTGTAGCTCATGCCTGTAATCCCAGCACTTTGGGAGGCTGATGCAGGAGGATCGCTTGAGAGGAGGACTTCGAGACCAGTCTGGGCAACATAGTGAGACCCTGTCTCCACAAAAAAATTAAAAACAAGCTGGGTATCAGGCTGGGCGTGGTGGCTCATGCCTATAATCCTAGCACTTTGGGAGGCCGAGGTAGACAGATCACCAGAGGTCAAGAGTTCGAGACCAGCCAGGCCAATATGGTGAAACCCCCGTCTCTACTAAAAATATAAAAATTAGCTGGGCATGGTGGTGGGAGCCTGTAATCCCAGCTACTCAGGAGACTGAGGCAGGAGAATTGCTTGAACCCAAGAAGCGGAGGTTGCGGTGAGCCGAGATCATGCCACTCCACTCCAGCCTGGGCGACAGAGCTAGACTCCATCTCAAAAAAAAAAAAAAAATTAGTTGGGTATCATAGTGTATGCCTATAGTCCCAGCTCCTCAGGAGGCTGAGAGGTTGGAGGATCACTTGAGCCTGAGAGGTCAAGCCTGCAGAAAGCCACGAATGTGCCACTGCACTACAGCCTGCGTGACAGGGAAGTCCTGTCTTTAAATAAATAAATAAATAGAAAAAAGAAAAGCAAAACACAGGCAACCCAATATAACATCAGCCAAAATATTAAACACACATTTTACAAAAGAGATGTCTAAATGACCTATATTGCTATATAAACTGCACGCTTGAAATTTATTGGCCAGGTGTGGTGGCTCACGCCTGTAATCTCAACACTTTGGAAGGCCGAGGCAGGTGAATAATTGGAGGTCAGGAGATCCATACCAGCCTGTCCAACATGGTGAGACTCTGTCTGTACTAAAAATACAAAAATTAGCTGGACATGGTGGGGTGCACCTGTAATCCCAGCTACTCGGGAGGCTGAGGCAGAAGAATCACTTGAACCTGGGGGGCGGAGGTTGCAGTGAGCCAAGATCGCACCATTGCACTCCAGCCTGTGGGACAGAGTGAGACTCTGTCTCAAAAATAAATAAATAAATAAATAAATATAAATAAATGGTCTATGAACATATGAAAAGTTACTCATCTTCATTAAGCATCAGAGAAATGTAAGATAAATACACAGTGAGATCCTACTACACGCCAACCAGAATGGCAAGATTAAAAATACCAAAAAAAAAAATCAAATATTGACAAGGTGTGGAGCAATTAGAACTGTCACACACAGTTGATACCAGAGTAAACTGGTACAATCATTATGGAAAATTGTTTGACAGTATCTAGCCTGGCCTTTGGGCCAGACATGGTGACTCGTGCCTGTAATCTCAGCAGTTTGGGAGGCTGAGACAGGCAGATTGCTTGAGCCCAGGAGTTTAAGACCAGCCTGGGCAACATGGGAAAACCCCACCTCTGCAAAAAATACAGAAAATTAGCCGGGCATAGTGTCATGTACCTGTAGTCCCAGCTACTCAGGAGGCTGAGGTGGGAGAATCACCCGTGCCCAAGAAGTCCAGTCTACCGTGAGCCATGATCACGCCACTGCACTCCAGCCTGGGTGACAGAGCAAGACTCTGTCTCAAAAAAAAAAAATTTAATTTAAAAAGGCTTTTGTAAAAACTGTCAAGGCAATATCTTCTACTAAAGCTGAGCATAGGCATACCCTGCAACCTAACAGTTCTACCGCGAGATAGGCCCCAAAGAAGTTTGTTCTTGTGTTCACCAAGAGTCACGTAGAAGAACGTTACAGCACTCTTTGTAGTAGTCCCAAGTGGCAAGTATCTAAATTCTATCAACAGAAAAAAAAGTGATTTTTTAAAATATAGTATATTCACAGTGGAATATTATATAAAGGTCAAATGCAGGGAAAAGTAATGTATTGTGCTAAAAGTCAGGATAATGATTATCCTTGCGGGGTAGTGTCTGGAAGGGGACACAATGGGGTGTTCTAGAGTGCCAGTCAAGTTCTGCTTGAACATGCCACTCCACTCCAGTATGGGTAGTGTGTCCCTTTGCGAAAATTCATCAAGCAGTACACTGATGATTTGTGTGTTTTGTTGTTTTTTGTTTGTTTGTTTGTTTGGGTTTTTTGTTTTTTTTTTTGAGACAGTCTCACTCTGTTGCCCAGGCTGGAGTGCAATGGCGTGATCTCGGCTCACCGCAACCTCCACCTGCAGGGTTCAGGTGATTCTCCTGCCTCAGCCTCCTGAGGAACTGAGATTACAGGAGCCTACCACGCCCAGCTAATTTTTGTATTTTTAGCAGAGATGAGGTTTCACCATGTTGGCCAGGCTGGTCTCGAACTCCTGACCTTAAGTGATCCACCTGCCTCGGCCTCCCAAAGTGCTGGGATTACAGGCGTGAGCCATTGTACCCAGCCTGTGTATTTTTCTTACACAGGTAATACTTTAATTAAAAGATGTGTTGTTTTTTAAAGCTAGTCTCCTGATCCAAACCTGGTCTCACAGAATTGTAGGGACTAATCATAAATGGATTCAGAAAAATAAGATATTATAAGGCAAAGAATATCCACAGTATTATTTCATCTTGCTAAATGTAAACAATGCTTATCTCTGGATTTTAGATGACATTTATTTTCTTTTTACTTTATTTATTGTTTCATTTTTCTACAATGATCACATGTTACCTGTCATAGTTGTTTTTTAAAATAAAATTTGTTTATGATAAGTTAAGATAAGATAATGAGAAGAGGGTTGGCACTCGAATGCTTTAGCTCACTGTGTCCAAAGCAAGCCCTGGGTGGGGCTCTGTTGCTGCCCTTGTCTCTACTGGATTCCTGGAAGTTGGAAATGGGTGAAGAAACAGAGGATGTAGTACAAACACAAAAGGTCATCTATACATCTATAAGCTCAAGGTCATCTATGCAGAACAAACTTGGAAGCTATAGGGAGAGTCAAAGCTTTCTTGATCCTGGCTGGGACACCTAGACCTACACCTCACTAAGACCCTCTGCTTCACTCCTAATCCATGTGTCAGTCTCTACCACCTTGATTGACTTTTCTTTTAAGTTTCCCCTTCACCGGGTTTACCTTTGCTAAATGAGATGTTTTAACGTAACCCAATGCTGCATTTCTCCTGTTCTCCCTGTCTATGGTGATGCCACTCACATTTTCCATACAGCAGCTGCTCTGCATCCTCCTATTAGGGTGACGGTCCCAACTGGATGATGGGCTCCTCTCCTACTCATCAGAAAACATGCTATGTCATTTAATAAGCCTGATTTTCCCATCTTGAATCAGAGAAGGATAGGAAGAACTGAGTTGTGAATGATTTTCCTTTCCTGTGGAGCTCCAGAGGAACATCCTATACGTCTCACAAATCTGAAAGAGGAAAAACTGGCAGTTGTATTTTCTCTTTGGTACCATAAGCTTCCTTACAACACAAGTGAGTCCAACTTGTGAAAAGAGTCATCTCCATAACTGCTCTATTAACTAGCTTATGTTTATTGAGCCCTTTTGTTTTGTTTTGTTTTGTTTTGTTTTGTTTTTGAGACGGAGTTTCACTCTTGTCGCCCAGGCTGGAGTGCAATGGTGTGATCTTGGCTCACTGCAACCTCCGCCTCCTGGGTTCAAGCGATTCTCCTGCCTCAGCCTCCCAAGTGTCTGGGATTACAGGTGCCCGCCACCACACCCACCTAATTTTTGTATTTTTAGTAGATAGGGTTTCACCATGTTGGTCAGGCTGGTCTTGAACTCCTGACCTCAGGTAATCCACCCGCCTCAGCCTCCCAAAGTGCTGGGATTACAGGCATGAGCCACCACACCCGGCCGATCACTTATGTTTTATCACATCTAATCTTCAGGGTCTAGTCCTCCCCTAGGCCCTATAAAATAGATTCTACTCATTCATTCAACAAGTATATATTGTACTCTTATTATGTGTCAGGAACTATTCTAAGTGCTGGAGATGTGCGAGTCAACAGAAAACAATGTTCCTGACTTCATGGAGCTTACAGTCTGGTGAGAAGACACATACAAAACAAACATAAAACTGAAATTGTCCCAAGCACTAAGATGGAGAGGCATCTGGTGCTGAGAATGGGCAGTCAAGCAAAACTGTGGAAATAAGGTTTGAGGTGAGCTCTAAGAAATAAGCAGAAGCTAACTAGACAGCTAAAGAGCAGACAAAGGAAATAGCTTGTATCAAGGCCCTGGGGCTAGAGAGAGGTCTAAGTATATGCAAATCAAAGATCAGTGTGGCAGTGGTCAGGGAAGAAGGGGGTATCAATTCTATCCCAGGTCTGCCTGATATCCGATACTCCAGAGCCAGAGTTCCTAACCATTTCAGCCTCTCCCGTAGAGGTCTAGCCCCAGTCACAGAAGCTAAAAGTCCACAGCTCACGTGCAGTGAAGAGAAAGCTTTAAAGACATAGGTGGGGTGTTGCGTGCGATTTTCCTAAGGAAGCCTTCCAGGAAACGAATGCAACCTTGAAGACTTGTAGGCATTGGCAGACAGGAGCTAGAAGACCTCCCCTAGATCCTTAACACGAAATATAGGCTTGACGCAGAAGCCTCTCTTCGTATCCCAAAGCGGACAGGTGAGAGAAATGATGTGACAGGAGCAAGCGAACTACAACCCCGCCCCGCCGTTCCTGCCCCACCACTGCGGCGGCGGGCGCTACGTTCCGGAAGCGGAAATGGACGAGAGGTCAGGGTAGGTTTTTGAAGATGGCGGCCCTCAAGGCTCTGGTGTCCGGCTGTGGGCGGCTTCTCCGTGGGCTACTAGCGGGCCCGGCAGCGACCAGCTGGTCTCGGCTTCCAGCTCGCGGGTTCAGGGAAGGTGAGTCATGCGTCCCAGCAACCTCCTGAAATTAAGAAGAGCGGCAGAGACTGCTTCCGCCAGCCCCGGTGCGCTCCTTCCTACCTTTCCTTCGTCCGATTCTGAAACTTTGGAGGTACCGGCTCCCCAGGCGTGCTTAAAAGCCCCTTCCACACCCTGGTGCCTTATCTTGATCTCCTGCCCCTTGTGAGTATCTTCACAAGGCGGAGGAGGACGGAGAGAAAAGCCTGCTTACTTAGCAGGAGCAGACACTAAACCTGTCCTAGGGCTCAGAAAAGTTTTCGGAAAGGGTTTGCATGTTAATTCTTCCTTCCATGTTCTCCGAATCGCAGTCTCTTTTATTAAAGAGTCTCTGGATCACGAAGGAAGGCCATCTGGGTACCCTCCCAGAGCCTCCCTTTCCACTTTCCCTTCTCAAAATGCTGTGATCTGATGGCGGCGTTCTCTGCCCCGGGCCGCTAGTCTCCCTGTGAGGGGGAGGCCAAAGTGGAAAGGCCATTGAATAGCTGAGACATAGGCAAATGCAGGATGGTAGTTCAGCTTTTCATTAATCTTAATCTGGGAAAGCGGCCTGATTCGAGCATCAACTGAGAGTTTACTGAATGCCAAGTGCTATGCTTCAAGCTGTGAAGGAATTCTGGAGACAGAAAATACAGCCCTTTTTCTGAAAAGCTTAGGTTCTAATGAGATTATGTATATACACACTCCAATAAATGCAAGTTAGCCTTTTACGTGACGAAGTACAGGGAGACTCAGTTACTGGAAACGGCAAACCCAGTTGGAAGTTTTCATAAAGAGGATGTGTCTTGAGCAGGCTCACAAAAGGATGGAATCTGGCGGAGAGTGAAACGGTCTTTTAGGACATAGCCTTCCTTTGTGTACTCCTGGAAGCAGGAAAGGATGAGTGATGTGCAAAAGAAGAGATGTGGGGTTTTTTGAGGATCTGGCATAGTATTGGGCAGCATATCCTTTAACGAAAGCTGAGAAGTATCCAGTGGAAAAGAGTGATCATTGTTGTCAGAGGGAGCAGAAAAGTCTAAAAAGGGCCTAATGAAGGGGCCATTGGATTTGTCTCAGAAGAGGTCTCTTTGTAGCTTTCAAACAGCAATTTCAATAGAGTGGCAAACAAGGAATCCAGTTTGGAGAAATGAAAGAGATAGTTGATGAAGAGATGGAAATAGTAAGTATGTTTGAAGAATTTAGCCCGTAAGGGAAGTGGAGCATTTGCTAGAAAAAAAAGTCTGGATATTGCCTGATTAACTTATCCATTAGTAGACCCATTAATAAAGACACTAAAGAAATCATGCAGATGATAGAGAGGACTTGGATGTTTCATTTGTTCCCATGCTGCAAAATAGGCATATCTCCATACCATTTTGGGGAGTCTACCAAGTGTCAAACACTATTGGCTACAATTTGCATATTCTTATGAAATTCAAAGTTGAGGCAGATTTTGCTATGCTTCCAGAAAAAAAGGCAAGAGGAATCGTTTTGTTTTAACAACAAATATTTGAAGTTAGACTTAATTTTTTCCTTTGGAGAGTTTGTGAAATGATGGACTGTAAGCCAGGTACAGTGGTACATATCTTTAATCCCAGCACTTTGGAAGGCCAAGGTGGGAGGATCACTTGAGCCCAGAAATTGGAGTCTAACCTGGGCAACGTAGTGAGAACGCCCACCTCTTTAAAAAAAGTAAAAAAGGATGGACTGTAAATCAAATGGGTCTCTGAAGTCCTTCATCTAAATGTTAGGTTGAATTAATATGATTCTACATGAAGGCACTACCATATTCTATATTCTTAAGAATCACCTATCTTCAAAGCTTGTAAATGAAAACATTTTCTTTTGCTAGTCTATGCATTATGTGTAAGGCATAAAGTATTATACATATAGCTAATTTTGACTAGTCTCAGCTGGTATATGTGACACCCAAACAATATTGTACACATAGAATTTAAAGTTGTGGGAAAGAAGCTGGTTCTCTTGCTGAAAATATTCAGGCATCCTACTTTTCAAAGTATCAGATAATAATACATAATTTTAGTCAGCTCTTGAGGACTGAGCACCAATTTTCCTGTCTATGAAGACTTTCAGTCTAAAACAGTGATTTTCAACTGGGGGGCAATTTTGTCCCCCAGTAACAATTGGCCATGTCTGCAGACATTTTTGGTTGTCACAACTGGTACTACTGGCATCTGGGGGGTAGAGGCGAGGGACGCTGCTAAACATAATGCACAAGTCAGTTCCCCACAACAAAGAACCATCTGGCCCAAAATGGCAGTCCTGCTGCTGTTGAGAAAGCCTGGTTTAAAGTTTGACCAGAGAGATACACAAAGCCAAAAAAAGGTTATTATGGGAAAAGCAAGACTGAAGGAGGACGAAAATAGAAATTGTGACTTACTGTGCCTGCTTCAAATACTGTGCTAGGTTTTCCACATACATTTATTCAGTCTTCTCAAAAACACCTTAAAGGTAGATATTAACTGTCCTCATTTTTATAAATGAGGAAATGCCGTTCCAAGGGGTTTAATAGCTTGCCCAGCATCACCTGTCTAATAAGTGATGGAGTTGGAAGTAGAGCCAGCCCTCTTCCCTCTCCACCAGTAACATCACCTTGGTATTCCATGGCAGGGCCTCCCTTATTGTTCCCTCCTTCCCTGAAAGCTCTTAGCAGTTAACTTGCCAAAGACCATTTAGTGCCATTATGGTTGGCACTGCCAGATTTAGCAAAGACTGTGTTGGATCTCATTCCTCCCTTATCCCTCTTAGAGCCCTTGTGAAGGAAATGTATTTAAAATAAAAAAACAAACATATTATTATATAAATTAAGACATGATTTGTCAGACACTTAGAGAAAGGTATATTGAAGTGAGTAAAGGCCAAAGGGAATTTGCTTCATCTCTTTCACAGTCAGTTAAGAAGGCCTTCTGGAAGACCTAACGTTTCAGACAAGGGTATGCCTGGCAGGTTGGGCAGTCCCATATAAAAGCTTTGAGAGAGGAGTGAGTTGGAGTCTTTAAAGAATTCAGGGGACATAGTCCAGAGTAACCTGCTAGTGGGAAGAAATTTTTGTGCAGCAGTAAGACGACTCATTCTGAAGCATAGGGCAGAGGGACATTCCCTCAGGGGTCCAAGGGAAAGAAAGGGGGAGGTGATGAGGGAACCAGAAACTTTAATGGTAGAGTTAAAGATGAACTGGAGGAAGCAGGGCTTGAGGCAGGAAGGTGTTTGCAAAAAGTTGTCAGTGGCCAGAAATGCAAGCACACATCCCAAACATGGCACACCTCTCCCTGACCCTACATAAGACTATTAGGGCCACTGCCCAGCCATCAGTTACTCCAGTCTTTCCTACTCTGCTTGGGCCCTGGTTTTTACAGATCCTCTCCAAGAGGGACCTTGGTCTCTGGGCACTTCAGCAGTGCCCTGCACTCCTCATCTTTTTTCACTTCCTCTTTTATTAAGCAGTTGAGTCTTTACATGGCTGCAGTTCACTGTGTCTGTTCATGTGGCCATCAAGGTTTTTTGCATTTTCTGTGTTTGTTGTTGTTGTTGTTGTTTAAGAGACAAGGTCTTGCTGTGTTGCCCAGGCTGGCCTCTAACTCCTTAGCTCAGGTGATCCTCCTGAGTAGCTGAGACTATAGGTGTCACCCCATCTCCTCCTTTTGCATTCACTGCAATCTCACCACAATGTCATTTGTTCCACACTGTTATAATTCAGTTATCTTGGACTCCATCCTGGGCAAGTATTTACTGAAGTACTCAAAGGACCTCTTTACGAGGCATGGACTTTATTATAGTCAAGTTCCCATGCAGAGTTTAGTTCTTTTCCTCCTCTAGGGCAAAGACTGTGGCTCCTATTCTACTGTAATTCACAGTAGGTAGAATGAAGCTGTATAGTCCATAAGTGCCCAGCAAATGTGTTGCCTCACTGGGGACAGATTATTTCATGTGTATGAGAAGTGCTTATCTGGAAAGATTTTGGCCCTTAGTTCCAGTTTAGAAAACTGCTTCATCTCTTCCCTTAGCTTACTTGATACTGCCATATCTCAGAACACAAGGGTGATTCCATCTTTTTCTAAACAAGTTTTCTGTTACTGCCTAAATCTCTCAGTCCAGCTTTTCTTAGCCACCCCCACTTCTCTTGAATAGGGAGGCAGCCAGGAACAAAATGGATCAGGTTTTGTTTGGTTTTGACACGTTTTTGTATGCACCCTGTAAATCAATACTATTTTGATTCCTATCTCCTCTTTCGAGGGGCTTAAAATCTACTAAGGGCCTCAAGGACCAGGTTCCAACAGGGCCTTCTCCCCCTGCACTAAGACACCACCCTGATCAGTGTCAGTTCAATGTGAGTTCTCAGGTCATTCCTTCTGGTTTGACAAATTGTCTCTGTTAGATAAGCATCTGCCTATTGTTTTACCCACTGGCTTCTAGTAAGATGATTCGCTGGCTCACAGTTGCTGCGTGGAGGGGGAGTTTGTGAACAGTGGAGCTTGCCATGGGCTTTGATCTGTTTTCCAGGGGCCAGTGGGATGACTTCAGGATTTGGTACTTTGCCGGGAGTGATGTGTGTTTTGTTAGACTTGTTTACCTCATGGTTAGGACCCAAGTGCCTCCACCAAGCAGGGAACCACATGTTTATCCACTTGTGTTTCAAGGCATTGTTCTTCTGCCGACTCCAGTGGTACCAGAACGTGTCTCTCCTTTGGTTCCTTTGGGGATTCTTAGAAACTTTCCCCACTACTTGTTGCTCAGATTAGGTTGTCTCTCAACTTGGTTTTTGCAAATTAGCAAAGTTGCAGGGTGCCTGGAACCCCTACTGGACTGGGGATGTGCCCTCCTCCTACCTCCCTTCATTTCTCCCCATCCTCCGTTTGTAGGTTGATTCTGCAGATTGACGTATTGCAGTGACCTTCCCTCTGCAGCTGTGCTGGCTTCCAGACTGAGGACCACATTGAGTCTCACCCAAATCCCATTCTTGGGTTGGTCTGTGTTCTGTACAAGTAGATCCGTGTGTGGGGTGACCCATTTTCTTTTACATGGAAAAACCTAGGTTGTCTTTGAATTGATTAGTAACTACAGTGTTCTCTGGAGAAAGCCTCAGGGCTTTTCTAGCCATTGTTATTCCTTTGTATGTCTGGAGTTGGACACTGAGAGGCTCTCAGGTTGGTTGTTTTGGAGCAGTGAGTCTTTATGAATGGGTTGCCCAGAAGACAAATGAGGGACAATTCCAAGCAGTCTGTGTCCAATTAGGTGTTGGTCACAGAGCTCAGTGATCACAGATGCTGCCATGGGCCTCTGGTTGGGTTACAATTGCCTTTTTAGTTAGATGGTCCCTTCTCTTTTTATTGGTGTTTGTTTGTTTATTTGAGATGGGGTCTCGCTCTGTCCCTCAGGCTGGAATGCAGTGGCATGATCATGGCTCGCTGCAGCCTCAACCTCCTGGGCTCAAGCAGTCCTCCCACATCACCTTCCCAAGTAGCTGGGATTACAAGTGCATGCCACCATGCCTGGCTAATTTTAGTGATTTTTGTAGGATTTTGCCACATTGCGCAGGCTGGTCTCCTTAACTCCTGAGCTCAAGTATTTCTTCCCGCCTCAGCCTCCCAAAGTGCTGGGATTACAGGCGTGAGCCACTGTACCCAGTCTGGCTTCTATCTTTCTAAAGAAACTGTGTCAACACGGGAGTATCTCCAAGAACTATTTGATTATATTAGCTGAATGTGGGCTATTGGCTCATTCTGCATCTTGGTTAGGTAAGATAGGAAATGTATTCAGCCTGACAGACGTGTGCAACTGATTGTCTTGCCTTCAGATTCTCTTCTGACTGCCTCACCTAAATAGGCAAAGCACTGAGGGTGTCCCTCTCTGTTTGGAATGGCAGTACTTGAAATTCTTCTTGGACCCAGTATCTTCATGCTCCTTATTCCTACCGCATCCATCAACACTCTCCAGTATAGATAATAAAATGCAACCCTGCAGGGAGAAGAGGATTTCACTCAAGACTCCCAGGATGTGTTCTAGGAGTGAACTTGTCTTTTTGCTCATTCACTGGGGTGCCACTGGAATAGTGTTAGTTCAGTGCTATATCTTACATTGTAAACTCTTCAGAGCAGAAACCATTCTTATCTGATTCTCTTTGTGCAGGAACACACACCGCCTGCGTACTTTTGAAGGTCTTTTAGATACCACTACCCCACCCTCTTTTATTGCTAGCCACCGTAGGACAGGATCTGACCAATTCCTTTGGATAGAACCAAGATAAATCTTTGCATAGAAAGGCAAAAACAGTGCGGAACTCCTTAATCCCATACCAGAGAGGTGATGCTACCTGGGTATCCTGGGCTTGCCCCCACCCCGCCTCAAGGGCATAGAGCCTTGGCACTAGTGGGGTGAACCCTGCATGCTTTCTGTTCTAGGTGGAGACCATGAGAGAGTACAGATGGAAGGCTGCTTTTTTCCAGATGTGTAGAATTTGAGCTGTTATTTGAAACTCTCTGTTCCTTATTAAATGGCTGACCTAATGTTTCCCCCTTTATCTCCGTAGTGGTGGAGACCCAAGAAGGGAAGACAACTATAGTAAGTATCGTTGAGTTGGCCATGTATAACCTCTTTAACGCTTGGAGCTGCCTGGCCGCTCCTCTGAGGGAGGGAGGGGCCCAAACTGGACGCCCAGCTCCAGGATCAGCTCCCTCAATGACCATAAATCCCACAGCCTACTATTTTTCAAGCTGTGTGCTATAGTGTGGTTAATCAGGAACAGTTGCTGTGCCTGGGCTGAGGTATCTGCTATTTGATGAAAGTGGCCTTTTGTGTAGCAAGGTCTCAGAGGCCTTTGCTGATAAGCTCTTTGGCGGGTGTTGAATCATTTTCCCAAAGGGGAAACTAAGGCATTGTTGCACGCCTAGAGAGCCAGAGTAAGTTGACCCAGAGCCAAGAGCCTGGACCTCAGTTCCTTTCTTTTCTGCCTAGAATGGCTAAACTGCTCCTTAAATGATGCATTTAAAAAGTGACATTCTCCCGGCCCTGGCCTCACTAGCTGGCGCCCTGGTTTGTCTGTTGGTAAGAAAGTTGGAACAATACTTCATCTACCCACTCCCCCGTTTCCCTCCCTGGGCCCATCCCACCTCCCTTCCTTGGGGAGTCATGGGGCCTAGATTATCCTATAATCCTTAAAAGACAACAACGCTGTTTTCACATGGCCTTCTATGCCTCCAAGAAATCCTCAGTCACTGCACAGAGCTCCCAGAGGCCTCTGTAACTTCCATGTCAACCAGATATTTAACCCTTTAGGTAGCCAGCCAAGCTCAATCCTCCCCAAGGCAGTCTTATTCCCAGGACAAGTCCATTGGGTCTCCCCCTAGAATGCTCCCTCTGCCTTTCCACTACTTAGCCTCAAAACAGTTCTTTTTAGGGGACCCCCCCCAATCCCCTTAGGGTACCTTTTAGGCTCCTTGATTCAAAGCCAAAACAAGCATTCACTCTATCAACTCCATGCTGGAGGAGAGAAATACATCTGACTTTTGAGTATAAAGAGTGTTTTTCATGTGGGGCATGAGTCTGCTGTTTGTAGAATAGATGTGGAGGCATTGTGGCCTATGAGAGCCCTCAGGGGAGGGAAGAGCCCATCCATGCCTTTAGCGGCATGGCCATGGCTGACTGGATATTATTCTCTCCCCTATGAAATAAGATCAGACACCTACCTCACTAGATTCTGGAGGTTAAGTGAACTAATATATGTGAACCATTCTTAGCACTGAGCCACACATATAATGGGGAGTCAATAAATGTTAGCTCTCCCCACCCCCAACCCCCAACCCACTGCAACCTGCCTCCCAAGGCCTACCGTGTACTTGCGAATTTTCTCTAACATCTCAGTTTCTGGTATAGTTGTGATTGCCATGGCAGAAGGAGGGTAGCAGTGCCCTGCACAGCCAAGTAGTACTTCCAGCCCCTTTCCCCTGTGCCACTTCTCCCCCAGGAGACAGTGTTGCTTCCCTCCCAAAGCCTCTCAGACCCGTCCCAGCCTCACTCTCATAACCCACAGCCTCAGTCAGCCAGGCTTTCTAAACTCCCCTCTTGCAATTGGAGCTAATTCCCAGGTCGTTGGTTTATTGCGCTTAGTAATTCCAAGGCTGTATCACAGGATACGGCAGCGATAGGGAGGTCATTTCGCACTTGGCCTCAGCAGGGTTTAAAAGGTGGCATCCAAAATGATAAAAGCAAGGAGCATGACAGAGAAATGTATCCTCCCATCTGTATCGTGTTAGTTTTTTCTTTCTTTTGTAAAGAGAGAACGAGTGCACGCATATCTGCTTATATGGCACAGCCCGGGTTTTTTCAGCCTTGCTATTCCTGGCATTTGGGGCTGAGTAATTCTTTGTTGTGAGGGCTGTCCTGTGCAGTGGAGGATGGTTAGAACATCCCTGCTAGATGCAGTAGCACTCCCTCCCCCAGTCGTGACAATTAAAAATGTCTCCAGACATTGCCAGATGTCCCCTGGGGAGCAAAATCACCTCTGGTTGAGACCCATTGGCATAGCCTTAGCTCTGTAAGATAAAGCTGGGAACTGCAGTTTCCCGCTAGGAGGACATGTGGGATGGGAGGGAGGCTTTCTTTGGACTCTATATCCCTGTGCCACTTAAAACTTTTTACCATGTGCATGTATTACTTTCCCCCAAAAGCCAAGGAGGGGAAAAAGTATAGTGTTCTGGTGCCTTTGTTTTTTTCGAGGACGGAAAGGTAGCATTCAATTGATAGAGCAAACCCCTCTCTCCCTCTTGACACTGGTATTAAGTTCAGATGGTTTCCATTACCCCTGTAGGCCACCAAACCACATCCCTGTAGCTATCTCAAGGCCTAGCATACGGCAACTACAGAATAAACACCACAGTTCAGGCAGAGAAACCTCTTAGCTACTCCCACAAGAACCCCCAAGGTAAACTTTCACCAGCATTACCATCATTTTGGGGTTTGTGCAAAGATAATGTGGCTCCACGCAGGTCCTGTCTCTCACACTGGCTCACTTTCTCTGTCTCCTAGATTGAAGGCCGTATCACAGCGACTCCCAAGGAGAGTCCAAATCCTCCTAACCCCTCTGGCCAGTGCCCCATCTGCCGTTGGAACCTGAAGCACAAGTATAACTATGACGTGAGTCTGGGTACAGAGACACTCGGTTCTGTGTGTCATGAAGTTCTCAGATTCCCTGGTTAACTGGAGCAGCATGTCCCCGCTGTAGCTACTGCTGCATTTCATGGAACCACCAGAGATGGGAGCATTTTGTCCAGTTGTTCTCAACCCTGGCTGCACATTAGAATCACCTGGGGAGCTTTTAAAAAATAATGATGCATGGGCTCCACCAGGTCCTCCCAAGCCACTTCATAGATGTGGTCTCATTCACCGCAGCTCTCCCTCTGAAGAAGACCCATCACCATCTTCGGTAGCCTAGGAGACTGAGGTCACAGTGTGGAATCAGCCTCGGGGGGTGGGGCCTGAGCATTTTTTCAATGCTCTCCCGTGGTTCTAATGTGCAACCAGGGTTGAGAGCCACTGATTGAGTTTGTGGTCTGGTCGTGCCTCAGACCACTAGGGCCCTTAACTCAGCTCGCCGGGGTTGTACTCTTGTGGGATGGAATCATGATCTGGGTTTGGCTTTCCTCTTTTATGATGAGGGTGTATTTGAACAGGCTCTTGGTTCTCACTGTGATCTGGGAACACATTACCTTGTCGTTCTGTATTGGAGCTATAAAGATACCTGATTGCTCAAGCTCTTCTAGTGCAGTCGTTTCCAGGGAAAAAAGACAGTAGTGAATAATAACAACAGCTAACATTGAGTGCATACTCTGTCGGGCACTGAGTACTTACCTGTTTTAATTCACTTAGTTTTCACAGTAACCCTATGAAGTAGGTACTAGTTTCATCCTCATTTTATAGATGAGGAAATTTGAGACATGGAGACGTTTGTGAACTTGCCTCAGATCCCCCAGCCAGTATCAGAGCTGGGATACAAACTCCAGGGACGAAAGCCCAGGCAGATCCCATGCTCCTAATGACTACACTACCTCCTCCCCAGAGATGGGGAGGGCGTGGGACTAAGGACACAGCCCTGGAGAAATCCTTACTTGTTCTTCAGAGCTCTCACAGGTGACATGAAACACCCTATTTTTGGGTTTCAGGTGATTCAGGCTCTGGGCCAGTTTGACCTGCAGGTTGTCCCTGTGCCCCTTTGTGGAATAGGATGACTAAAGGCAGAGATCCTGGTCAGGTGATAAGAGCAGGAGAAGCCACATGCCCATGGGATCTGAACAGAGTGACCCAACTAATCTCGTGGGCTGGAAGCCTTGGCTTGAGGCCACCCTGAGGGTTGGGGGGGTTCTTTCTGTCCTGGGGCCCTTCTCCTGATGGCCGCCTGGAGTAACAGGAAGCAAGCACACAGGCAAGGGGCAGTGTTCCCAGCCGCTCACCATGCGGAAGTTAGTGGGGTTGTGGGCATCCTTGGAACCTCAGCTGCTGATAGAAAAGCAAACCCCACACCCGCCCAACCACTGTAGGGCACTCTTCCTACCAGCCTTTTCCAGGAAACATACTTGGCTCTCTCCAGCAGAAGAAATCTAATCCCGGCTGAGGTAAAGGCTAAAGTTGTTTTTCCTCTTACCCCTTTCCACTCAGAGCACCATTATCCTGAGCTGCACAAAGCTGTTAGCTTGCTTGGCAGCCTAGGGTGGAGGGCTGGGGCCTCCAGCCCAGTTGATTAGCCCTGGATTAATCCAATCCAAGTTCTTTTCATCAGATTCTGAAAAGTACAGGGGTGGGAATTGAAGGCCTGGGTCCCTCAGGAACTGTCCAGTGATTAAAACAAATCTGCAGTTATGCAGCAAGGCGCCTGCCAGGGCAGCAAGTTGGTTTGTGGAACTTGACTGCTAAGATTGGCATGCCAGGCCCTTGCAGGGAGGGGAATGGTGAGTTTTCTTTAACCCCTTAAGCCATTCTATGACAGCGGGGTCTTGCTGTGTTGCTCAGGCTGGTCTCGAACTCCTGGGCTCAAGCAGTCTGGGAATGGTAACATTTTAGACCTGGCAGGGAGGTGGTCCCTTGTCTTGATTCTGGCTCTGCTTATCTATTCCTTTGACCTGTCCCAGGCAGCCTGGTGGGCATGTGATGGTCCGAAGGAGGCCCAAGAATCCACTCAGATCTGGTCACAGGGGGCCTAGATCATGTGAGATTAAACTTCACAACCCTGGTTCCTTCCTCCTTGGCTTTTATGCCTTCCTCGCACTTCAGAGGGAATGGCAGGAGGTGGAGGGGCTGTTTGCATATACTCTGGCTTGTGGTATATAGACTTTGAGGTCTAAAATGTTACAGGTTTTTCCTCTTGTGTGGAAACATATGGCATGTCTCCTAACCCTATCTGAGCAGACATTTTGTCCAAGAAAGATGCTTCAGGTACATAAAAGATTGGTGACCCTTCTTGAAGAGTTTCTGTTCTCTAACCTAGTCTATCAGAAGATGATCTCAGGAGGCTGGGTGTAGGGGCGCACACCTGCAATCCCAGAACTCTGGGAGGCCGAGGCAGGCAGATTGCTTGAGCCCAGGAGTTCAAGACCAACCTGGGCAACATAGCGAGACCCCATCTCTACAAAAATTAGCCAGGCATGGTGGCACGCACCTATAGTCCCAGCTACTCAGGAGGCTGAGGTGGGAGGATCACTTGAGCAAGAGATTGGGAGGCAGAGATTGCAGTGACCCGAGATTGCGCCACTGCACTCCAGCCTGGGCAACAGAGTGAGCCCTTGCCTCAAAAAAAAAAAAATCTCATAGAGAAGCTGGGAGCTCTTGGGGTTGATAATGGGGTACAGAAAATCTTACTAAGTTGGGATTAACCTTTGTTGGGTGAAGGTAGCAGACCCATGTGCAAAGCTCTGTGTGGAGGAAGTGATCTCAGCTAGGTTCCCAGGAGATATCAGCCTCCCCTGTAGACCATGAAGCCCTAGCTTCCCGGCATCAAAAGCAAGCCCAGCTGACCCTCATCCCCTATTTTCGGTTTCCACTAGGATGTTCTGCTGCTTAGCCAGTTCATCCGGCCTCATGGAGGCATGCTGCCCCGAAAGATCACAGGCCTATGCCAGGAAGAACACCGCAAGATCGAGGAGTGTGTGAAGATGGCCCACCGAGCAGGTAGAAGGCCCTGGGGACCAAGAGGGGCAGAGGGCTGCAGGCACTCTCTCCCCACCCAGCTGCCCCATGTTTCAGCCCCTCCTGGAAGAAAAGTGGATATCCGGAGTGTTAATTATACTCACCACCCAATGCCAACCTTCCCGCTCCCTTGGGCTTTCCCTCTGGCCCCCTCAGAGCTGCAGAGGGAGCTGCAAAGACTATCCCCTCTTCCCCGCCACTCAGGTCTATTACCAAATCACAGGCCTCGGCTTCCTGAAGGAGTTGTTCCGAAGAGCAAACCCCAACTCAACCGGTAAGCAAGCCTGGGTGTGAACAACCTGAGCGTTCTGCGCTCAGGAAAACTAGGGTGCACCTTGGCTGTCTGTTCCATTCCCTGCCAGCTTAAGCATCCACCCCCATCAGTCCACCCCTGCTGCAGTCTTCGCTTCTTCTGTTGCCTTCTTTGCCAACCTCAGCCTCTTTCCTCCCCTGTAGGGCCCTTAGCAAAGGCGCAAGGAGGGTAGAGGCCTGCTGATTGGGCATTAGAATGTGCTAATCCCCCATCTATGACATCACACTGGGTGGCTATGGGGATGTCAGTACTACAAATTTTCAGTATCCTAGCTCTCTCCAGCGCTGGGGTTATTAGAGGACAGAAGGCCTTAGAAATGGGAGGGCCTCCTGGGTTAGTGCCACTGAATACAGCTGTGCAGGTCGCACACTGGACAACTTCAGGGCAACATCCATGTAGACTAGGTCACAAATAGTGCTCCCCAGAGTTGTAGTTAACAACCTACACAGCGCCATGTGGCAGCCTAGGAGGCCCAGAGTTCATACAGAGAAGGAGAGGATGGCCTGCAGACCTTGGAATCACTTTGTCTGCCTTCTAGTCTAAGCAGGACCCTGTAGAGTGGAAGCAGATTCTTGTCTAACATTCAAGCAGCTGTCCCATTGCAAGTTCCCTTCTTCCCTCCTCTCTGGCATCAGCACACTCACATAGTCTTAGATCTCTAGTATCCCCTTGTTGAGAGTAGAGCCAGGTCTGTAGAATTGATTTGAGGGGGTTCTTCTCCCTACCAATGGCCCTTTCCTCCTGTCCAGCTGGTGGTTCCCAGACTGGAATGAGGAACATATTAGGTTGGTGCGGAAGTAATTGCAGTTTTTGTCCTTTTTTAATAGAATTGCTCTCTGTAAGGTATCAAAGATGACTGACGCAAAGCAAACACCTCAGCCCCCAGCAGACCTCCTAGGCTGATCCCCACCAGAACTCAGGCATGGAGGGTAGGGGGTGTGGGATGTGGGAATGCAGGGCTTCTTCCTGGTACCCTGCCTCTCTGTCCCTGGGGGCTAAGTCAGAGCTGGACCTTTACCAACACCATGCCAGCACCCTGGCTGTGTGCCCATCTCTACCTGTGCCCCCCACATTGCTAGCTCAGCCATCTGCCAGCAGCTCTTGGGGAGCAGGACATGCTAACCTCTTCCTATGTCCCCTAACTATGCTATGGACCATTTGGGGGTTGAGCCCACCCCCTCTGGCTTTTTAAGAGACAGCAGCAGGCCTGAGGACACAATCCATCCTGCCTCAGGCCTTTGAAGCTAGGCCAGGCGCCCTCCCATACATCCGGCATCCTTTAACGTGACACAGGATTGATGATGTGTGGGGGCTAGTCGGTTGCAAAAGGCCACGCTGAGCGGGAGGGGGAGTTCAGGCTACGAAGGAAATGGATTCCCTTGCAGGGGAGTCTCGTTTAATGCTGCCATGCATGGGCCCAGGCTCCGCTGGGGCCTGGCGGAGCCATGCTTTGTCTGCTGCTGTGTCGCTCCTCCTGCTGCCCCTTCAGGAGAGGTAGGAAGGGGCTGGTTTAGGAAAGAGACTTGGTTCTTGCTAGAGCTGGGGTGTTCCCAAAGAGCTGGCTGGAGGCCACCCGGCCCACCCCCTGCCAGCTGGCCGCTCCGTGTGGCGCAGGCATCAGGCCCAAGGCCAGCTAAAGCCCAGCTTCCCTCTCCAAGGCATGGGAGAAAGAACAGCTTTAGGGCAGTAGCTCTGGAGAACCTTTCCAGCTTTTCCTCTGCATCCCCAAATCTCAATGAGCACCCTTCTGGGGAGCCTGCTCCCATACCCCATCTCTTCATGTACCCCTCTGAAGCCTGGGAGAGGCCAGCAAAGGGGCCATCCCTGGTCCCCTCCCTTTACCTTACTCTTCTGTCACCTAGAACCACCGACCATAGAAAAAGCAGTCCCCTCACACCTGTAATCCCAGCAATTTGGGAGGCCGAGGCGGGCGGATCACTTGAGGTCAGGAGTTCAAGACCAGCCTGGCCAACATGAGGAAACCACGTCTCTACTAAAAATACAAAAATTAGCCATGCATTGTGGCGGGTGCCTGTAATCCAAGCTACTCCAGAGGCTGAGGCAGGAGAATTGCTTAAACCCAGGAGGCGGAAGTTGCAGTGAGCCGAGATCGCGCCACTGCACTCCAGCTTGGGCAACAGAGCAAGACTTCGCCTCAAAAAAAAAAAAAAAAAAAGCAGTCCCTATAACTAGCCTCCTTCACAGTCATCATCCTGGCCAGGGCAGTGACAATTCCAGGAGACACATGGAAGGCCCTCCCATCCCTGCCCAGCACACACTTGGAGTGCAGGCCAGCAACTCCCGCAGCTTCTGTCAACACAGGGCTGGCAGCAGAAGACCAAGGTCCAGCGGAGCTCAGTTGAACTGCATAAATCAGCAATCATTTTTTCACTTCTTTTATCTAAGAGTTTTTAGCTAAGGTTATTGAGTTTTTAAATAAAAAAGCTTTTTCTTTGATGGTCTCTAGAGACAGCTGGGTTGAGCCCCAACCTAGAATGGAGGCAGGGGAGGATTCCTGGCCTTTGTCATGGCTGAGCTTTCAGAATGAAGGATGGGCCTTTCTGGACAGGATCCAAGTTTTATTCTGGACAGAGTAAAACCCAATCCTAGCCGGCATGAGCCACTTTTCTGGGAACTATCAGGGCCCTGGCCATCCCCAAAGGAGGCCAAAGGTCCATGGGCGGCAGCCATCTTTCCCCACCCCCCTCCTATTTACAGGAACCTTCCTAGGCTAGGGCTGCGCCCACGGGCCCTTACCCCTTGATTCCCATCACAGGTTGGGTGAGGGGCAGGGGTCTTATACCAGTTATAGTACCCTGGGGAGTTCCCTGAAGGTTGGGGTAGCTGAGTGAGCCAAATGGGGAAGAGCAATGGGTTCCTCCAGAGCCTTACATCAGCTCTTCTCGCCCCATGGCTGAGGCCAGAGAGGAATGATCTGCTCTTCAGGCAGCCTCTTCGCCACCTTTTCCTCAGCAAACACACACCAACATTGACATTTACAAAGATCAAGGGAGCTTGTGGCCCTGGGCTGCCTGAACCTGGCCACACAGGCTTGCGGCAGCAAGAGCCCAGCCCATCTGTTTACAGGACGCTCAGCAGTTACTCCCAGGAAAATCCCTGCACTTCAGGAAAGGGAAACTGGTGAAAGGATTTGCTTGCCCAACCGTGGCCTGGCCTGAGGAGGTAGTGCTCCACTCTCCCACGTCCAGCTTGGGCCCCCAGCCCTCACAGGCACCTCTTTGTTCTCCCTCCACAGGTACCTGACGCGCTGGGCTCCTGGCTCCGTCAAGCCCATCTACAAAAAAGGCCCCCGCTGGAACAGGGTGCGCATGCCCGTGGGGTCACCCCTTCTGAGGGACAATGTCTGCTACTCAAGAACACCTTGGAAGCTGTATCACTGACAGAGAGCAGTGCTTCCAGAGTTCCTCCTGCACCTGTGCTGGGGAGTAGGAGGCCCACTCACAAGCCCTTGGCCACAACTATACTCCTGTCCCACCCCACCACGATGGCCTGGTCCCTCCAACATGCATGGACAGGGGACAGTGGGACTAACTTCAGTACCCTTGGCCTGCACAGTAGCAATGCTGGGAGCTAGAGGCAGGCAGGGCAGTTGGGTCCCTTGCCAGCTGCTATGGGGCTTAGGCCATGCTCAGTGCTGGGGACAGGAGTTTTGCCCAACGCAGTGTCATAAACTGGGTTCATGGGCTTACCCATTGGGTGTGCGCTCACTGCTTGGGAAGTGCAGGGGGTCCTGGGCACATTGCCAGCTGGGTGCTGAGCATTGAGTCACTGATCTCTTGTGATGGGGCCAATGAGTCAATTGAATTCATGGGCCAAACAGGTCCCATCCTCTTCATGACAGCTGTGAGCTCCTTACTGTGGGAGAGCTGCAGGGAGCCAAGGTGGGCTGCCTGACACACTTGCCGCTCTCGTGTGAATCCAAGAAACTGCGTTCCTCAAAGGGGCCCTGGTTGTCACCTTCTCCCACAGCCATTTCCACCCATCGTTGTCTAGAATCTCTTTCATTAGCACATTCCAACCCCTCTGCCACTTGGTTTAGAAATGAGCTCCCTGGCTCAGTGGGCCTTTCAGAATCTGGAACCAGACGGAGGTGGAGTTAAGAAGATAGGACAGAACAGGCAGGCCAAGTTCACTGAAGCTTAAGAAAATCATGTTTAGACTCTGTTTAAAAACATCCAGGCTGGCTCCCATTCTATAGCATGAAGGGCAAGTCCATGTTCTTCTCGCCAGTGCCCACGTAGACGTAGCCATAGTTCTTGGTGCGGGGAGCATGGTAGAAGGTGAGGCCCGGCCAGAGCAGGCTGCGCAGCACCACCAGGGCATTGCCCCTCTCCATCTGGATGCTCCAGGACCCTGAGATAAGACAGGCAGGAGGTGAGGCCTGGTGCTGCTGGAGCCACAGCTCTGCCCTTCATGCTGTGGCCCCTGGCTCCTTGGGCAGCCAGGCCCAGGTGCTATGGTTCCACTGGGGAGAGACCATTTAATTCTCCAGATGCTTTACTCCCTGATTGTCTTTTAGCCATTATTCTTTTCGTTTTAAGAGACATGGTCTCACTCTGTCACCCAGGCTGGAATGCAGTGGCGCAATCACAACTCAATGCAGTCTTGACTCCTGGGCTCAAGCAATCCTCCCACCTTAGCCTCCAGAGTAGCTGGGACCATGGGCATGCACCACCATACCCAGCTAACTTTTCTGATTTTTTGTAGAGATGGGGCCTCACTGTGTTGCCCAGGCTGGTCTCAAACTCCCGGGCTCAGGCGATCCTCCCACCTTGGCCTCCCAAAGTGCTGGGATTACAGATGTGAGCCACCACGCCCAGCCCTTTTAGCCATCTCACTGCTCATTAAAACCACTTTCAGAGGGAGGGCAAAGGAAATGAAAAGAGGCGAAACTCAAACCAGTCTGTTTTGTTCCTGTCAGCAAGTCTAGCTAAAGGTTGAGTGGGGGAGGAGGCTGAATCCAATCCACAGGCAGAGGGGAGTTGGGCTGGGCCAAGGGAGACACCAGCTCCTCCCACACTATACCTAGTGCAGTCACCAGTTCTAGTGTGGTTTGCCACTACTTGCCATTTTGCTGTGTCTTCCCCATTTCCTGAAGCCTCTCCTGAGTTGGATTAGACCAGACCAGGAAAGGAAGGCTCAAATAGAAATTTGGGCAGTTCAGGCCTCCTAGCTCAATGGCCCTTTCTGGCAGCTGGTAGACTGGGAGCCATCCTTGGTGGGAGGGGACTTGGGCTGCCCCTAATGAGCCTTTGTCCTAGGTTCTGCCCTGGTTTTTGTCTCCCCACACAGGAGCAGCCCAGCTCAGGGCTGAGTCGTGCAGCCATGAGGACTTGGCTGGAAGGGCCTGATTAAGCTCCAGAACCGAGGGAGGGAGCCACAGTGTGGGAGGAAGGAGCCTGGGAAAATCGCCTCTGGATGCAGATCTGGGGCTTCTATTCCCCTGCGCACTGAGGCCTCTCCCGGCCCAGCCACAGCCCTGCTCCAGGCCCTGCCAGAAAGGCAAATGCTTTGAAAGTTTTGGTGTTGGACCAGCCAGCCATGCGCTGAGAGCTTCTCTGAGGCCTTCATCAGCTGCCAGCTCAGCCTGGCTGCTTGGCTCCTGCTGCCCCAGCTTCCCACGGGCCACCTCCAACCATGGTTCACCCTAGTCACTCCACACCCTGCAGCCTCACAACTCAGTGCCCACCCACTGGGGGCCACCCTGCATCCAAGAAACCTGATTGCCAGGAACCCCTGACCCTCATGGCAGCTCATGCACCCTTACTCAGGGTGCAGCCGCCTGCCCAGGTCAAAACCAAAGTTTTCTGGGCGTATATAGTTTGGCTGTCCCTGGTCCTGCTCAGGGAGAAGCCAATCGCAAAGCTCACTTTAGCACCGTGCAGTGGCCAGCACCAAGTGCCATCGCCCATGCAAAGGATGACGTCAGCCCCCTCCAGCCCACACAGTGCCTGCTGGACAACATCAAGAAGAAAGTAGTGCCCCTGTGTTAGCGGGGCTCCGGCTGGAACACTGCCCCTGAGAAGGAGTATTTCCCCTGACTCTTAAAACTTTTCTCTGGGTGCTTGAGGTCCTCTGCCTCTCAGACCTGCCCTCAGAGTTTGAGAGTCCCTAGCCTGGTACTTTCCTGGTCATGCATCTCCAGAAAACAGATTGTTTAGGATTGATGAGGGTGGGGGTCCAACAGGACAGAGTGTTCCAACTCCACTGCTTCAGCCTTGGACAAGAAGCACAGACCCAGGGAGATCCGATTCCCTCACTTGGTCACCCCACCAGCCTAGAGTATCGTCAGGGACCAGGCTCCATAAAGACAGTCCCTCAGCCCCTTGAACTAAGACCAGACTGCCTCATCTCTATCTGCCTACTGAGGGAGGGCAGCTTGCAGCCTGCCTGGGCTAGGTGCTGCCCTGGAGAAAATGGAATCCTGGAGTCCTCCAACCTAGACCCTTGTCAGTTCATTGTTGCCAGCACCTTGGCATGCCTGGGCAAGGGCTTGGTCCTGCCCTGCCCTCACACCAGCCTGCCTGCCTAGGCTTTGGCCACCTCTTGCCTCCAGTAGATAATGCAGGGGGCGGGGGGCAGTGTTCTTGGACGAAGTGGCCTAGGCCTATCAGCAGGGGCTCCTACCCAGAGAGCAAGGAGAAACTGGCAGGGGAGCTAGGGAAATACAGTGCCCCCGCCTGGCAGGGGGCAGTGCTGCGCAGGCGGGAGGGTGCTGGTGGAGTACGGTAGCGGCATGTAGGGCCAGCCAGAAAACAGCACTGCCTCCCTCCCTCGCATTCCTGTCACACTCCTGTCCTCTCATCGTCCCTGGCTCAGCTGGTCGCCCGGGAAACACAGACTCAACGTGCCAGGAGTCACGTAGCATCTACCTGAAGAGCCAAGCACTTGCTGTCACCTTCACCCACTTTCTTACTGCAACTGCTGAACAGGCTGAGCCCAGCCAGCTGCTGTCACCGCCTCCAGGACTCGGGGAAAAGCCCCCTGCAGACTTGGTGCTGCAGGTTCACAGCCCCCGCTCTCTCTTCTCTCCCCAAATCCCTCCTGCCCCCTAGCAGCCACTCTTCTCCAGAAGCTGTGTTTTGAGGATGTGATGGGTACAGGTTGGTAAATCAGGAGGGGTTCCTCCTGGGTTTCCTGGGCCCACAGGGTCTCACCCACCTTGCTAGTATGGAAACCTCAGGCTAGGGCGTACTTACTCTAATTACATTCTCCTGCCATCCTGGAAGAAAGGCAGCTCTGGGATTAAGATCGAGGGACAGTAGGCCAGGCTGGGGACCAGGGCTGTCCAGGGGCAACAGATGGCTCAAACCCTCTCAGATGAGCACCAACAAAATTTTTGTCACATACAAAAAAAAAATGGCCATGGGTTCCCAGTGGGAGAGGCACCCCCATCCCCTACAAGGGCCACAAGAATCATATACCCCCTAGAGGCCTGAGGACAGAGGAGGAGGAGGAGGGAGAAACCTCTGGCTGCCAGACCCGTATCAAATCGAGTAGCAAAGGCAGGCCCCGTGGCCCAGAAGGCTGAACACTTGTCAGCCAGGCTTCCAAGGAACTGGGGCAGGAAGAGCCACCTGCGCACATCCCGAAGGGAAGGCTGACCCTGGGCACCATGTTCCCCCCCGCGCCCATGCCCGCCTCACTCGCCCCCTTCCCGGTCCTCAACCACCACCAGCAGCAGCTTTCAAAGGCTGCTTTCCAGGTAGGCAGGCAGGCGCGTTGCTGCCCTCTGCTGCCTGAACTGAGCATTGCTGCTGAGGAATTGCTTGGGAAGGAGCCCCAGCCTGTGTGCACCTGGCAATTCTGAGACCTTTGCACCAGCCCAGAGTGGAGCAAGGAGAGGAGCAGTGGCCCTCCAGCCCTCCTCCTTTACCTCCCAGGACACCGATGCTTGCAAGGCACCCTCTAGTTTACATTTCCCTTTCCCATCCTCTGTTTCATTTGATCTTCCCAAACCTCTGAGGCAAGGGAGGTGTTTTTCTTATTCCAAGGGCATCACAGGTGCCTGTTGTAGCTGCTCAGTGGCTATTTGCTGATATAGTGGATGTTCAGGGAGCATCGAATGGCAAGATACTACCTAGGAATCTAGGCTCCTGACCGGGCGTGCTGGCTCACGCCTGTAATCCCAGCACTTTGGGAGGCTGAGGTGGGCAGATCACCTGAGGTCAGGAGTTCGAGAGCAGCCTGGGCAACATGGTGAAACCTCATCTCTGCTAAAAATACAAAAATTAGGCGTGGTGACATGCGCCTGTAATCCCAGCTACTTGGGAGACGGAGGCAGGAGAATTGCTTGAACCCAGGAGGCAGAGGTTGTAATGAGCTGAGGTTCCAGCGAGACTCTGTCTCAAATATATGTATATATATGGCCTCCTGACCCACGGCTGCATCTATGCCACCTGGCTGCAGCCCAAGGTCAGAGAACTCTTAGTCATTACCCTGGATCCGGCAGGAGGATGGTCCTGCCACCCCAGAACCAGCTACCCACTCCCATGGAACTTTGCGGATCCCTGGACACGGCATGACAACTCATGAGGACAACAGCTCTCCCACTCCTCTCTTCAGCCAAGGTGTCTCTTGTCACTTTGGCCAAGGGACAAGATGCGGAGTCGTTGGCCTACCTCATGGACACAGAGCAGGAGTCCCAGGAACAGGGCCAACCAAAACCACACCTGCTCAGAAGCCACGTGAAGTCACCCTGAACAACTGCCTCAGACCCTGAAAGGAAACAGTTATCCTAACTGGCCAGAAAACAGCTGCCAAATCCCATCCCTCCAGCCAGTCCTGGTGTCCCAGGGAACTCTTCCTTGGGATTTTGGCCCCAATTAGCAGCCCAGCCCAGCTGCTGCCTGCCTGGCAGGGGAGCCTCCAAGCAGCTCAGACTGCTCTTTTCCTAGCTGATAAGGAAAGGGGACCGGGGAGGAAAATCAGAGCTGTCCGCTCTCCTGTGACCATCCACACTTCCACTCCATCGCCATGACCCTCATCGAACCATCGTGAGAAAAAGGTGGGCCTAGGCTGGGCACGGTGGCTTATGCCTGTAATCCCAGCACTTTGGGAGGCTGAGGTGGGTGGATCCCTTGAGCTGAGTTGTTCAAGACCAGCCTGGGCAACACGGTGAAACCTCATCTCTACAAAAAATACAAAAACTAGCCAGGCATGGTGGTCCACACCTGTAGTCCCAGCTACTCGGGAGGCTGAGGCAGGAGGATCACTTAATCCTGGGAGGCGGAGGTTGCAGTGAGCCAAGATCATCCCACTGGCCACTGCACTCCAGCCAGGGCAACAGAGTGAGACCCTGTCAAATTAAAAAAAAAAGAAAGAAAGAAAGAAAGAAAAACTGGTAGTAGTGGCTCTGGGAGGAAGGACCTGAAGAGTATGGGGAGGTTTCCCAAGGTAAGGCCAGGAGCATCCCTCCCCTGAGGCCCACATGCCCAGGAAATGCCAGGAGTCCTCAGCTTCCAAGGTTCCAGCTCATAAAGCAACATGGTGGGGTGGACTGGGAAGTGAAGCCAGCAGCTGATCCTGCAGCCCTGAGGTCACCATCAGGGCAGGATGCCTAGGGCCTTGGGTCACTGCAGCTCACCCACCTGCCAGGCCCAGATGCCACACCTCCCATAGGCCTGATGAATTCACTTGCCAACTGGACACATCAGAGTGGCTCACCAGGCTGGAATGCAATGGTGGCCAATCACAAGTAACCTCAAACTCCTAAGCTCAAGCGATTCTGCCACCTTGGCCTCCCAAAGCACTGGAATTATAGGCATGGGCCACCTTGCCCAGCCCCAACCCCAGCAGCCTTTAGGAAGACTCCAAAGCTCCACATTTTACTTCTCCTGTTGCAAGGAAAGACAGCTGCCTCCAGGGTCCACCTTACCCGAGACAGCAGAGGGCAGATAGGGCTGATGGTGTTCCCTTAGGAAGACTTTGCTGGGCCCCACCCCATCTAGCTGGCTTTGGTCTTGGCTGCAGAAGCTCTATCACCCTCTTCACCCCTCTTGCTGCACAGTGGATGAGGCTCCACGGGCAAAGCAGCACTACTGCACCAGCCCCTCTCACCCAGCACAAAGGAGAGTTTCATCTTCTGATTCTGGAGCATCCAGCTGCAGGTAAGAAGGCTGCAAAGGGCTTGCCAGACACACCCTGAATCAGGGGACAGGGCTGCTGCCCTCAGATTAGGGGAATGAAGAGGACTTCTGTAGGCCCACCCCTCAGCCCCTGGCTCTGAGGTTCCATCACCACCGCCGTTCCAGGCTCCCTTTGTCAACGAGGGACGTACAGCACCCTCAGCCTCCTGACAAGTCTGGGAGCAGAGATGGAGGAGATGAGGGGAGTCTGAGAAGTATGTCTGATGGGCGAGAAATGCCCCAACCCCTATAGACCCTCTTCATATCCCCCTACTTGTCCGGAGACCCTCCTCTCTGTCACTACAGCACTGGCCCTGCTCAGAGTAGCTTGACTCAGATGTTCCTGTATGATGGAAGCCCAAATGGCCACTCCTTGGTGGCAGCTCCTACCCACTCAGAACCATTGCCTGGCCCCTGGGGCACTGCAGTAGCCCTGAAATGGCCTCATGATTCCTGGTTTGCCTTGCCCTGTCTCGCTCCACCTGTGTACCACTGCCTTATTGTCACAGACCTGCTCACAAGCCACCAGCAGCTTCTACTGCCTTGGCCTTCTAGGCCCTCCTAGGCCTGCCCCAACTCATCTCTAAGGACTTTCTGCCACTAAAAAAATTAATAATAAGGCCAGGTGCAGTGGCTCACGCCTGTAGTCCCAGCTACTCAGGAGGCTGAGACAGTAGAATCACTCAAACCCGGGAGGCAGAGGCTGCAGTGAGCTGAGATCATGCCACTGCACTCCAGCCTGGGCGAGAAACTCCGTCTCAAATAAATAAACTCTGTCTCAAAATAATCATCATCATCATCATCATCATCACAGGTTTACTTTGATATATTGCTCTTCACAAACACTGCAGTTTTTATAAATTGAAGGTTTGCATGTGTAAAGCCAGTATATCAGTGCCATTTTTCCAACAGCATATGCTCACTTTGTATCTCTGTGTCACATTTTGGTAGTTTTCACAATTTTTCAAACTCTTTTTTTTTTTTTTTCGAGACATTCTCATTCTGTCACCCAGGCTGGAGTGCAGTGGCGTGATCTCGGCTCACTGCCACCTCTGCCTCCAAGGTTCAAGTGATTCTCGTGTCTCAGCCTCCTGAGTAGCTGGGACTACAGGTGTGCACACTACACCTGGCTAATTTTTGTATTTTTAGTATAGATGGGGTTTCACTATGTTGGCCAGACTGGTCTCAAACTCCTGGCCTTTAGTGATCCGCCCACCTCGGCCTCCCAAAGTGCTGGAATTACAGGCATGAGTCACCGCACTCAGCCCTTTTTTTTGTTATTATTATTATATGTGTTATGGTGTTCTGTGATCAGTGATCTTTGATGTTACTATGATATTGTTTTGGGGCACCACGAACTACATCCATTTAAGATGGCAAACTTAATTGATAAATGTGTGTCTTCTGACTTCTCCCAGCCCTCTCCCTCTCCTCAGGCCACCCTATTCCCTGAGACACAACAATCATGAAATTAGGCCAATTAATAACTCTACAGAGGCTGGGCGCATTGGTTCTTTCCTGCAATCCCAGTACTCTGGGAGGCTGAGGGAGGTGGATCATCTGAGGTCAGGAGTTTGAGACCAGCCTGGCCAACATGGTGAAACCCTGTCTCTACTAAAAATACAAAAATTAGCTGGGCATGGTGGCATGTGCCTATAATCCCGGCTACTCAGGAGGGTGAGGCAGAAGAATCGCTTGAACCCAGGAGGCGGAGGTTGTAATGAGCTGAGATCATGCCATTGCACTCCAGCCTGGGCAACACAGTGAGACTCTGTCTCAAAAAAAAATAAAAAATAAAATAACTCTACAATAGCCTCTAAGTGTTAAGTGAAAGGAAGAATCTCACGCCTCTCACTTTAAATCAAAAGCTAGAAATGACTAAGTTTAGTAAGGAAGGCATGTCAGAAGCTGAGATAGAGCCAGGCATGGTGGTTCATCCCTGTAATCCCAGCACTTTAGGAGGCTGAGGCAGGAGGACTGTTTGAGTGCAGGAGTTTGAAACCAGCCCGAGCAACACAGCGAGACCCCATCCCTACAAAAAAAAAATGCCAGGTATGGTGCACACACCTATTGCGTGTGCTGTTGCACTCCTCAAGAGGTTGAGGCAGGAGGATTGCTTGAGCCCAGGAGTTCAAAGTTACAATGAGTTATGATCATGCCACTGCACTCCAGTCTGGGTGATGAAGCAAGACCCTGTCTCTAAAACCAAAAATAAAAAAAATTGAGATAGGCTGAAAGATAGGCCTCTTATACCAAACAGCTAAGCTGTGAATGCAAATAAAAGTCCTTGAAGGAAATTAAAAGTGCAACTCCAGTGAACATACAAATGATAAGAAAGTGAAACAGCCGGCCAGGCGTGGTGGCTCACGCCTGTAATCCCAGCGCTTTGGGAGGCCGAGGCAGGTGGATCACAAGGTCAGGAGATCGAGACCATCCTGGCTAACATGGTGAAACCCCGTCTCTACTAAAAAATACAAAAAATTAGCTGGGCGTGGTGGCGGGCGCCTATAGTCCCAGCTACTCAGGAGACTGAGGCAGGAGAATGGCGTGAACCTGGGAGGCAGAGCTTGCAGTGAGCCGAGATTGCACCACTGCACTCCAGCCTGGGCGACAGAGCAAGACTCCGTCTCAAAAAAAAAAAAAAGAAAGTGAAACAGCCTTCTTGCTGATATGTAGAAAGTTTGAGTGGTCTAGATAGGAAATCAAACCGGCCACAACCTTCTCTTAAGCCACAGCCTAATACAGAGCAAGGCCTTAACTCTCTTCAATTCTATGAAGGCTGAGAGGTGAGGAAGCTACAGAAGAAATGTTGGAAGCTAACAAAGGTTAGTTCATTGACTGGGCATGGTTGCTCATGCCTGTAATCCTAGCACTTTGGGAGACTCAGGCAGGAGGATGGCTTGAGCCCAGGGGTTGGGGCCAGCCTGGGCAACATAGGGAGACCCTGTGTCTACAAGAAATAAGCCAGGCATGGTGGCACACACCTGTAGTCCCAACTACTCAGGAGGCAGAGGTGGGAAGATCACTTGAGCCTGGGAAGTCGAGGCTACAGTGAAGCATGATCACGCTGTTGCACTCTGGCCTGTGCAACAGAGTGAGACTCTGTCTCAGTCAGTCAATCAATCAATGTTAGTTCATGAGATTTAAGGCAAGAAGCTGTCCCTGTCACATAAAAGTACAAAGTGGAGCAGCAAATGCTAATGTACAAGCTGCAGCAAGTTAACCAGAAGACCTGGCTAAGATCACTGATTAAGGCGGCTACACTAAACAATAGATTTTTAATGGAGATGAAACAGCCTTCTCTTGGAAGAATATGCCATCTAGGATTTCCTCTTTTTTTTTTTTTTTTTTTTTGAGACAGAGTCTCGCTCTGTCACCCAGGCTGGAGTACATTGGCACAGTCTTGGCTCACTGCAACCTCTGCCTCCCGGGTTCAAGCAATTCTCCTGCCTCAGCCTCCCGAATAGCTGGGATTACAGGTGCAGGCCACCATGCCCGGCTAATTTTTGTATTTTTAGTAGAGATGGGGTTTCACCACATTGGCCAGGCTGCTCTCAAACTCCTGACCTCAGGTGATCCGCCCACCTCGGCCTCCCAAAGTGTTGAGATGACAGGCGTGAGCCACCGCACCCAGCCAAACATCTAGGACTTTCATAGCTAAAGAGAAGTCAATGCCTGGCATTAAAGCTTCAAAGAACAGGCTGACTCTCTTGTTAGGGGCTCATACAGCTGGTGACTTTAAGTTGAAGCCAATGCTTATTTACCATTTTGGAAATCCTAGGGCCCTTAAGAATTATGCTAAATCTACTCTGCCTGTGCTCTATAGATGGAACAACAAACCCTGGATGACAGCATGTCTGTTTATAGCATGGTTTACTGAATACTTTAAGCCCACTTTTGAGACCTACTGCTCAGAGAAAAGGATGGCTTTCAAATTACTACTGCTCATTGACAATGCACCTGATTGAGATGTACAACGAGATTAATGTTGTGCTCTGATGGAGATGTACAAGAGCCCTGATGGAGATGTACAACGAGATTAATGTTGTTTTCCTGCCTGCTAACACAACATCCATCCTGCAGCCATGGATCAAGGAGTGACTTCACTTTTCAAGTCTTATTTTTAAAAGACATTTCATAAAGCTATAACTGCCATAGATAATGATTCCTCTGATGGATCTGGGCAAAGTAAATTTAAAACATTTTGGAAAACATTCATCATTTTAGATGACATTAAGAATATTCATGACTTGGCCAGGTGCGGTGGTTCACACCTATAATCCCAGCACTTTCGGAGGCCGAGACTGGCAGATCACTAGGTCAGGAGATTGAGACTACCCTGGCTAACACGGTAAAACCCCATCTCTACTAAAAATACAAAAAATTAGCTGGGTGTGGTGATGGGCGCCTGTAGTCCCAGCTACTCGGGAGGCTGAGGCAGAAGAATCACTTGAACACGGGAGGTGGAGGTTGCAGTGAGCTGAGATCATGCCACTGTACTCCAGCCTGTGTGACAGAGCAAGACTCTGTCTCAAAAAATAAATAAATAAATAAATAAAAAAGAATATGCATGACTCATGGGAGGAGGTCAAAATGTCAACATCAACAGGAGTTTGGGAGAAGTTGATTCCAACCCTCATGGATGATATTGACAGGTTCAAGACGTCAGTGGAGGGCCAATCACAGTGCCTCACACCTGTAATCGCAACATTTTGGGAGGCTGAGGTGGGCAGATCACTTGAGGTCAGGAGTTCAAGATCAGCCTGGCCAACATGGTGAACTCATCTCTACTGAAAATACAAAAAATAGCCAGGCATCGTGGCGCATGCCTGTAATCCAGCTACTTAGGAGGCTGAGGCAGGAAAATCACTTGAACCCAGGAGGCAGGGGTTGCAGTGAGCTGAGATCACACCACTGCACTCCAGCCTGAGCAAAAGAGCAAGACTCTGTCTCAAAAAAAAAAAAAAAAAAAAAAGGCCAGGCTGGGCATGGTGGCTCACGCCTGTAATCCAACACTTTGGGAGGCCAAGGCGGGCAGATCACCTGAGGTCATGAGTTCAAGAGCAGCCTGGACAACTTGGTGAAACCCTGTCTCTACTAAAAATATTTTTAAAATTAGCCAGGCATGGTGGCAGGCACCTGTAATCCCAGCTACTCAGGAGGCTGAGGCAGGAGAATGGCGTGAACCCGGGAGGCGGAGCTTGCAGTGAGCCGAGATGACATCACTTGCACTCCAGCCTGGGCGATAGAGTGAGACTCCATTTCAAAAAATAATAATAATAATAAATAAAAATAAAAGTAAAAAGTAGAAATACAAAAATTAGCCGAACATGGGCCGGGCGGGGTGGCTCACGCCTGTAATCCCAGCACTTTGGGAGGCTGAGGCAGGCGGATCACGAGGTCAGGCGATTGAGACCACCCTGGCTAACACAGTGAAACCCCAACTCTATTAAAAATACAAAAAATTAGCCAGCCGTGGCGGCGGGCGCCTGTAGTCCCAGATACTCAGGAGGCTGAGGCAGGAGAATGGCGTGAACCCGGGAGGCGGAGCTTGCAGTGAGCCGAGATCGCACCACTGCACTCCAGCCTGGGCGACAGAGCGAGACTCCGTCTCAAAAAAAAAAAAAAGCCGGGCATGGTGGCCGGTGCTTGTAATCCCAGCTATTCAGTAAGCTGAGGCAGGATAATTGCTTGAACCCAGAAGGTGGAGGTTGCAGTGAGCCGAGATCACACCATTGCACTCCAGGCTGGGTTACAAGAGCGAGACTCCATCTCCAAAAAAAAAAAAAGACTTCAGTGGAGGAAGTAACTGCGGATGTGGTGGAAGAAGAAAAAGAACTAGAATTCAGAAGTGTAGCCTGAAGATGTGACTGAATTGCTGCAACCTCATGATAAAACTTGAATGGATGAGGGGTTGCTTCTTACAGATGAGCAAAGAAAGTGGTTTCTTAAGACGGAAGCCACTCCTAGTGAAGATGCTGTGAACATTGTTGAAATGAGAACAACAAAGGATTAAGAATATTACGTAAGCCAGGTTTGGTGGCTCAGACCTGTAATCCCAGCACTTTGGGAGGCTGAAGCGGGCAGATCACGAGGTCAAGAAATCGAGACCATCCTGGCCAATGTGGTGAAACCCCATCTCTACTAAAAATACAAAAATTAGCTGGGCATGTCTGGGCATGGTGGCTCACACCTGTAATCCCAGCACTTTGGAAGGTCGAGGTAGGCGGATCATAAGGTCAGGAGATTGAGACCATCCTGGCTAACAAGGTGAAACCCCGTCTACTAAAAATACAAAAACAAAGATTAGCCAGGCATGGTGGCGGGCGCCTGTAGTCCCAGCTACTTGGGAGGCTGAGGCAGGAAAAATGGCATGAATCCGGGAGGTGGAGCTTGCAGTGAGCCGAGATTGCGCCACTGCACTCCAGCCCAGGCGACAGAGCAAAGACCCTCCACCAGCAAAAAGATTATGATTCGCTGAAGGGTCAGGTGATCGTTAGTATTGTTACGAAATAAAGAATTTTTAATTTTTTTAACATTTTTAGACACAATGCTATTGCATACTTAACAAACTATAGTATAGTACAAACACAACTTTTCAAAAAATGTGTGACTCACTTTATTGCGATGTTCACTTTATTATGGTGGTCAGGAGCCAAATTTGCAATATCTCTGAGATATGTTCGTTTCTTTTTTTTTTTTTCTTTTTTTTTTTTTTTTTTTGAGACGGAGTTTTGCGCTGTTGCCCCAGGCTGGAGTGCAGTGGCGCAATCTCAGCTCACTGCAACCTCTGCCTCCCAGATTCAAGCAATTCTCCCTACCTCAGCCTCCTGAGTAGCTGGGTTTACAAGCGTGTGCTACCATACCCAGCTAATTTTTCTATTTTTAGTAGAGACGGGGTTTTGCCATGTTGGCCAGACTGGTCTCGAACTCCTGACCTCCAGTGATCTGCCCACCTTGGCCTCCCAAAGTGCTGGGATCACAGGCGTGAGCCACCGCACCCGGCTGGTGTGTTCATTTTCATTTGAGTCCTTACTATGTGTTAGGCACTGTTATAAGCATTTTGTGCATGAGTTAACTCATTTAATTCTTGCATCCAAATACTCACCAGGCCTGACCCTGCTTAGTTTCCAAGATCAGAAGAGACTAGGCACATTCAGGGTGGTATAGGAGTAGTCCATTTAATTCTCATAACTCGTTGAGGTAGAAAATATCAATTCTCCCCTTTTTAGAAATGAGGAAACTGAGGCACAGGGAAATGGAGGGATTTGCATGAAGTCACACAGCTAGTAAGTGGCCAATTCAGGATTCCAACCCAGCCTGTCTGATTCCACAGCCCTTGTCATCCCCATCCCCATCCTGAGATACCCCCCAGTTGGGTCGCTTGCTGCTCTTCAGAAGTGTTTCCCCCTAGAGGTGTGGGTGACTATTGTCCTGTGGTTCCTATTGTCATTTAAACTATTGTTTACTTAACAATCCAGTTCATGCCAGAACTGTGGAGTCTAACACTTTAACACTTACTGTGTCCTTGGGTTTAACTCTCTGAGCCCCTGTTTCTTCATCTGTAAAATGGGGATAAAAATAATAGGCTGGCTGTGAAGATTAAAATGAGATAAGGCATGGCAAGAGCTGAGTACGGTGCCTGACACATGATAAGCAGTGTCACATTTCATGAGTTAGTTGTTATTGTTGTCATTATCATTGCCATCATCATCATTAGATCCCTCTCATTCTCAGGAACACCCAACAAGGGAAGAGAAAGAAGTGGGGCGCTGAGTCTGTGCCTTGGGCCTGGCCCCCGATGGCCTAGAGCCTAGAACCTGAATTGGGTCATAGAATCCAAGGACATGCTCTTCTCTACCAGAGATGCTCAAGGGAAGGAAATGGGATCAGCACCACCAGCTATGGGCCAAGCATTATATCCAGTCCCTAAATACCAGAATCCCAAAAGTAACAGTTGAGATGTAAGTATGGCTAGTATTTTCAAGGATATTTGGGAGAAGATTCCCAACCTGCCCCCATTCAAGATTGCTACAAAAATCAAGAGACATTGAGATACCTCCTCTCTGTGAAAGCATATGGAAAACAATCCTACCTTTTGTAATTCAAGGACACTCATCAGTGTGTACTATAAGCTGGGCCCTGGGGAAGCTCCACCCTCAAAAACCCATGGTGAACCACCAATTCCCACTAGGCCCTTGGTTCCAGTCTCAGAGGAAAATGGCAGGTGGCATGGCCCACTGCTATGGCCTGAGGACAGATCCCATGGCCTCCAGGTAATGGACTATTACCTTTGGGAATGTCATGCTCCAAGGAGTCCATGAAATCCAGGGAGGGGTCCAGGTCAGCCTTCTCAAGCAAGGTCTTATTCTTTAGCTCAACAGGCTCCCTGAAATGGAAGTAGGAGCTGAGCTTCTTGGCCTCAGACAAGGACAGTCCTAGAAAGAGGTGGCAGGCAGGAAAATGATGGTTAGCCCAAAACCCCCCAGCCCCCTTTCTGTCTGCACTGGGACCACATGGTAGGGCTTACAAAAGACCCTGTCAACCACTGTCAGAGAGCTAAAGGAAGGAAAGGGATTAGCATTCCCTCAGTCCAAACTCGGACCAGATCCTGCCACAAAGAGAGTCCAGCCAGGCACGATGGTTCATGCCTGTAATCCCAGCACTTTGGGAAGCCGAGGCAGGCAGATCACCTGAGGTCGGGAGTTTGAGACAAGCCTGGCCAACATGGCAAAACCCCGTCTCTACTAAAAATACAAAAATTAGCCGAGCGTGGTAGAGGGTGTCTGTAATCCCAGCTACTCGGGAGGCTGAGGCAGGAGAATCGCTTGAACCCAGGAGGCAGGGGTTGCAGTGAGCCAAGATTGTGCCACTGCACTCCAGCCTGGATGACAAGAGCAAAACACCATCAAGAAAGAAACAAAGGGAGGGAGGGAGGGAGGGAAGGAGGGAAAGAAGGGAAAGAAGGGAAAGAAGGGGAAGGAAGGAAGGAAGGAAGGAAGGAAGGAAGGAAGGAAGGAAGGAAGTCCAAGGAGGAAGGAGATAGGAAAAGGCAGGTAGCCCAGACCCATGTAAAGCCCTGGGACCAAGGGACTATATGCTCTCCCACTCCTCAAACTGAAGAGAGTCAGGGGCCAGGAGATGGGGAGCCCATACCGACCACTGGTGCCAGGTCACTGGGCACACCCTCCCAGGTGATAAGGTCACAGCTACTCCTTCTCTGATAAAGTGTGTAAGCCCCCCTGCTGGACTCCCAGACATATGTTCTACTGTGCTTGGGAAAAGATACCCCCAGCCCTTGAGAGGGGCCCCAGAGAACTCACCTTCAAAGGTCCGATTGACATGGGTGGGTCCAAAAGGGGTCTTGAAGAGGGCGCCTCGGGGGATGATGGCCACAGCCTTGTCAATCTGGTCAATGACAGACACCAAGCGGGTCTCTTCCTTGATCTGGACCTGAGGAGACAGGAGAGGAGCCCCCCTGCCAGGGCACTGTGCCCAGGCACCCCGGCGCAAGGTCCCTCTGCACGGCCATCTCACCCGCACCACTGCAGTGTAGTGGACCCCAGAGCCACACAGATCACGCTGGGCAGGCCCTCGCCTTCCTTCCTATCAAGATTTTCTTCCTTTCTTTTTATTTGTTTTTTAATTCGTAATACATAAGGGTGGTATGATATTCAAAACTACAGGAAAAAATCAGTCTTTCTCTCACCCCAGTCCGAGACCCTAGTTGCCCTCACTGGGGGCAGCCACCATTGAAGGTTTCTCATGTACTCTTCCAGAGGCATACCATCCTATCAGCATATTTAACTGTTGCTTATTTTGCCTTTTTAAAATATAAAAGTAATCATGCTCACTGTAGAATATTTGGATAATATAGAAAGACATACCAAAGATAACTAAAACCACTCATAATCCTACCTCCTAAAGATAATCACTGATAACATATTGGTATACTTTCTTCATGTTTTGTTGTTATTGTTGCTGTCATTTTGTTTTTGTTTTGAGACAGGGTCTCACTCTATCATCCAGGCTGGAGGGCAGTGGCACAATCATGGCTCACTGCAGCCTCAACTTCCCAGGCTCAGATGATCCTCCCACCTCAGCCTCCTGAGTAGCTGGAAGTACAAGCACATGTCACCACATCTAGCTAATTTTTGTCTTTTTTTATTATTATTTTTATTTATTTATTTCTGAGACAGAGTCCTGCTCTGTCGCCCAGGCTGGAGTACAGTGCAGGGATCTCAGCTCACTGCAATCCCTACCTCCTAGGTTCAAGAGATTCTCCTGCCTCAGCCTCCTGAGTAGCTGGGACTACAGGCGTGCATCACTGCACCCAGCTAATTTTTGTATTTTTAGTAGAGACAGAGTTTCACCATGTTGGCCAGGCTGGTCTTGAACTCCTGACCTCAGGTGATCCACCCACCTTGGCCTCCCAGACTGCTGGGATTATAGGCGTGAGCCACTGCGCCCAGTCAATTTTTGTATTTTTGGTAGAGATGGGGTTTCTCCATGTTGCCCAGGCTGATCTCCAACTCCCGGGCTCAAGCAGTCTCCCTGCCTCAGCCTTCAAAGTGCTAGGATTACAGGGTGAGCCACAGCACCCAGCCCTCTATGCATATATTTAAAGCAAAATTAGAGTCACAGTTTATATTGTTTCATATCCTTCTCTTCAGTTTAACATTATTTTGCAAGCATTTCCCCATATCATACCCTTTTTACACAGATGAAATTTAGTTACAATTACTATCTAGGGCAACTCTGAACAAAAGGATTTCATAGAGATTTTGTGGAAGAGCTCGACAGAGAATGCGTGTCAACAGAGGCCCCTAGAGAGTCACGGAGCCACCTATTTGCCATGGGCAGCCTACCTGAATGGTTTACAAAAGAAAGGTAGAAACTAAGCTTTAATAAGTGCTGAGGCCAGTGTCTTTAAATATGTCACCTCATTTAATCCACACAAGCCTGCAAAGTAAATACAATTATCTCAATTTTACAGAAAAATAATAATAAAACTGAGGCTCACGGCTGGGCCCGGTGGCTCACGCCTGTAATCCTAGCACTTTGGGAGGCTGAGGTGGGCAGATCACCTGAGGTCGGGAGTTTGAGACCAACCTGACCAACATGGAGAAACCCTGTCTCTACCAAAAATACAAAATTAGCAGGGTGTGGTGGCGCATGCCTGTAATCCCAGTTACTCAGGAGGTTGAGGCAGGAGAATCACTTGAATCCGGGAGGCGGAGGTTGCAGTGAGCCGAGACCACGCCATTGCACTCTGGCCTGGGCAACAAAAGCAAAACTCCGTCTCAAAAAAAACAGGCTCAGGAAGATTAAGTCAATCAGGTAGGAGTGGGTGAGGATGCAGCTGAGGGCTCACAGACCTAGACTCAGACTTTCGGCATCACCCAGGTTCAAGTGCAACAGCTGTGCTTTGAATTCTGGGATTGTATTGTTTCAAAACATAGGCTCCTTACTTGTTAACTTAGCAAGTCTATTTCCAGGAATTGACTTTCCCAGGAATTACACACAATGGAAGTGATGTCTATATGGTCTTTTTTTTTTTTTTTTTTTGAGACGGAGTCTTGCTCTGTCACCCAGGCTGGAGTGCAATGACGCGATCTTGGCTCACTGCAACCTCCGCCTCCCGGATTCAAGCCATTCTCCTGCCTCAGCCTCCCGAGTAGCTGGGATTACAGGCGCCACTGTGCCTGGCTAATTTTTTGTATTTTTAGTAGAGACGGAGTTTCACTATGTTGGCCATGCTGGTCTCAAACTCCTGACCTCGTGATCTGCCCGCCTTGGGCTCCCAAAGTTCTGGGATTACAGGCGTGAGCCACCATGCCCAGCTATATGGTCATTTATTATGGTACTGTTTGTTAGAACTAAAACTTGGAAATCAGCTGGATGAAATGGCTCATGCCTATAAATCCCAGCACTTTGGGAGGCTGAGGTGGGAGGATTGCTTGAAACTAGGAGTTAAGACCAGCCTGGGCAACATAGCAAGACCCCATCTCTACAAAAAAATACAAAAATTAGCCAGGTATGGTGGTATGCACCTGTAGTCCCAGCTACTTGAGAGGCTGAGGCTGGAGGATCACTTGAGCCCAGGGAATGGAGGCTGCAGTGAGCCAAGATCGTGCCACTGCACCCCAACCTGGGTGACAGAGCAAGACTCTGTCTCAAAAACAAATAAAAATAAAATAAAACTTCGAAACCTACATTTTCATAAATAAGACACTGGGAAAATTATGGTACATTCCCACAATGGTGAAAAAAAAAAAAAAAAACCGGAAGTTGGGCATGGTGGCTCACGCCTGTAATCCCAGCACTTTGGGAGGCCGAGGCGGGCGGATCACCCGAGGTCAGGAGTTGGAGACCAGCCTGGCCAATATGGTGAAACCCCGTCTCTACTAAAAATATAAAAATTAGCCAGGCGTGGTGCCAGGTGCCTGTAATCCCAGCTACTTGGGAGACTGAGGCAGGAGAATCACTTGAACCCGGGAGGCAGAGGTTGCAGTGAACCAAGATCATACTACTGTACTCCAGCCTGGGTGTGACAGCGAGACTCCATCTCAAAAAAAAAAAAAAGAATGGGAAGGCTCTTTAAGACACTGATATAGAAAGATCTCCAAAATATATCATTAGGTGAAAAAAAGCAAGGTTCAGAATCATGTGTATAACATGCTGCCATTTTTTTTTCTTTTTTTTTTTTGAGACAGAGTCTCACTCTGTCGCCCAGGCTGGAGTGCAGTGGCCCGATCTCAGCTCACTGCAAGCTCTGCCTCCCGGGTTCATGCCATTCTCCTGCCTCAGCCTCCCGAGTAGCTGGGACTACAGGTGCCCACCACCACACCCGGCTAATTTTTTGTATTTTTAGTAGATACAGGGTTTCACCGTGTTAGCCAGGATGGTCTCAATCTCCTGACGTCGTGATCCACCCGCCTCAGCCTCCCAAAGTGCTGGGATTACAGGCATGAGCCACCGTGCCTGGCCAATGCCCAGGGGATTTTTTAGAAGGCAGATACCTGATGCTGGGGCCCAAGATCCTACATTTCTAACTCTTAGGACATGGTGAAGCTTCTGATCCAGACTCTACTTGGAGCAGAAAAATTTAGACACACAAGTACACATATGTACACACACATGCACATGCAAAATAGTTAACGTCAGACTGTGTGCGGTGGCTCACGCCTGTAATCCCAATACTTTGGGAGACTGAGGCGGTCGGATCACCTGAGGTCAGGAGTTCGAGACCAGCCTGGCCAACATGGTAAAACCCCGTCACTATTAAAAATACAAAAATTAGCTGGGTGTGGCATCAGGCACCTGTAATCCCAGCTACTCGGGAGGCTGAGGCAGGAGAATTGCTTGAACCCAGGAGGCGGAGGTTGCAGTGAGCTGAGATGGCGCCACTGCACTTCAGCCTGAGCAACAAAGCAAGACTCCGTCTCAAAAAAAAGAAAAAGAAAGAAAGAGAGAGAGAGTTAATGTCCCCTAAATAGAGGACCTGTGTGACTGGTGGACAGAGATGGGAGGAAACTTTACTATATTCCTTTTTGTACCTTTGAATTTTGTACATGCGGATTTATTATTTTGTGAAATGAAAACTGATACTAAAATATAAGAGCCTGTGCACATTCCCTGACCCCAGAGTACAGCACAGAGCACCCCCTCTTCCCAGTCCCCACCCCAGAGCCTACCCACTGCCTTTATCCAGTTGCTTAGGAGGTAGCTGTGTGTGGCCTTGGGCACATCACTTAACCTCTCTGAACTGGTAGGAGAATGTCCTCTTCTCTACCACCTGGAAACCAACTCCATAGGGTTTTAAGGATGAAATGAGATGATACAGGCACAGTAGCACATTGCCTAGCACACCCAGGTACCCAATAACCAACGTGTCACAAAGATAATAATAACATTAGTCATCAGGGATGCTGGCTCATGCCTGCACTCCTAGCTACTTGGGAGGCTGAGGCGGAAGGATTATTTGAGCCCAGGAGTTTGAGACCAGCCTGGGTAACATAGTGATATTCCTGTCCCAAAAAAAAAAAGGAAATAATGATCGTACTTGTTGCCATAATTTCTTTTTTTTCTTTTCTTTTTTTTTTTTTTATAGACAGGGTCTCACTCTGTTGCCCAGGCTGGAGTGCAGTGGCGCGATCTCAGCTCACTGCAAGCTCACCTCCTGGGTTCATGCCATTCTCCTGCCTCAGCCTCCCGAGTAGCTGGGACTACAGGTGCCTGCCACCACACCCAGCTAATTTTTTGTATTTGTAGTAGAGACGGGGTTTCACTGTGTTAGCCAGGATGGTCTCAATCTCCTGACCTCATGATCCACCCGCCTCAGCCTCTCAAAGTGCTGAGATTACAGGCGTGAGCCACCGTGCCCAGCCTGTTGCCATAATTTCTATTAGGCTGGGTTTTGGATGAGCCCAGGCTCTCTTTTAGGCCCTCCTCCTGCTCTCCTCTTCACTCACCACTATTTCTTCTTCAAAGACTTTTTCACCTTCATTCACCTTCTGCAGCTCAGTGTGTTCATATTCGTATGATGGGTCCCCCATGAAGCGGCCCTTCACCACAGACGACTGCGCCACCATCTCCTCTGTGGCAGGGGGCAAGAGGCTCCACTCTGTGCAGTTCAGGCTGCCAACAATATTCACATCACCCCTGGATTCCAACTCCCTTCTCACCCACTATTCCTATTATCTTCCCTTCTGTCTAGTGGGTTGGGCCCAGGAAAAGCTGTTGAAATGGCCACCTTTCCTCCCAATGCTGTCGTGAGACTGTTAGAAGCCCCAAGTGCTGACTGGGCACGGTGACTCACACCTGTAATCCCAGCACTTTGGGAGGCTGAGGTGAGCGGATCACTTGAGGTTAGGACTTTCAGACCAGCCTGGCCAACATGGTGAAACCCCGTCTCTACTAAAAATACAAAAATTAGCGGGGCATGGTGGCACATGCCTGTAGTCCCAGCTACTCAGGAGGCTAAGGCAGGAGAATCGCTTGAACCAGGGAGGCAGAGGTTGCAGTGAGCCACGACTGCACCAGCCTGGGTGACAGAGCAAGACTCTGTCTAAAAGAAGTCCCAAGTGCCAATGGTGAACCCACTCCTCATATGTAATAAACAGATTCAATTTCATTCATTCCATGTATGCTGAAATTAAATGAGCCTCTTCCTAGATATCCGGACTGTGAAATTCTGGATGAGTTTCTGGTAGCTGAACTTTCCTCAATTGTGTGGATCCATGTTTTGGTGGGCCCTAAATTCATGCTCAGCCTGCCCACTGAGTCAACAGCACAACCATTTCCTCCCATTTCTCAGGAATGCCCAGCCTATGTTCAAGAACTTCTCCTCTGAGGCCTTCGGGAGCACTCACCAGGCCCACCTGGTTCCTTCTTTCTCACTTCCTTCTGCTGGGAGAGGAGGTCCTTCCCACTCCTCTCAAATATACCCTGGGCCTAGGTCCCCAGCCTGGTCTCTGCTTATCCTCCTGCCCTTCACTCTCCACCAGTTCCCCCTTAACATAAAAATGGCTCAGCTGACCAGGCGCGGTGGCTCACACTTGTACTCCCAGTACTTTGGAGGCCGAGGTGGGCAGATCACACGAGACCAGCCTGGCCAACATGGTGAAACCCTGTCTCTACTAAAAATACAAAAAAATTAGCTGGGCTTGGTGGCGGGCGCCTGTAATCCCAGCTAATCAGGAGGCTAAGGCAGGAGAATCACTCAAACCCAGGAGGCAGAGGTTGCAGTGAGCCGAGATCACACCATTGGAATCCAGCCTGGGCAACAAGAGCGAAACTCCATCTCAAAAAAAACAAAACAAAAACAAAAACAAAACAAAAAAAAACTGCTCAGCCTACTAAAACAGCAACCCTCCAAATCCATGTCCTTCTAGAAAATGCTGTTCCTGTCCTTCCCTCCCTCTTTCCCAACTTTCAACAATAATCTCAGAACAACAATTGCCCTGTGGGGGACTTTCCTCCCCTTCCTTTTCACTCTTCAGCCCACTGTGCCATGATTTCTGCCCCACCACTTCAAGAAACTGCTTGGGAGAAGGCCATCCTTGACACCTAACGGCCAAGAAATGCATCTCCAGTTCTATTTCCTCTGACATCTCCCTTCCCGCTCCTCCAGGGCCTTAAGTATTTCCAGGGACCCATTCTCACCCCTCTTTTCTTTTTGCAATCTTTCCCACCTGCCTTCCAGAGCCCCAGCTACTGCCTAGTCTGTATCCAGAATCCAACCACTTCCACAGCTCCCACCTTGGCCCAAGCCACCATCCCCTACTGTCTAGATATTGCCATCGACTCCTAACTAGTCTCCCTGACTCCACATCTATTCCCCCTTTGGACTAGTCCCCACCCAACTGTTCACACCTAAGCTGTCATGTCACTCCTCTGCAGAACCTTCCAATGGCTTCCAATTAAGCCAAGTCTTACAATGCCCCACAAGGCCCTGCATGATTGTTTCCTACTCCTCACCTCTCTGACCTTGTATCCTACAACACTCCCCTCACTTATTCTTCTCTAGCCACACTAGTCTCCATGCGGTTCCACAAACACACTAAGCACACACTTGCCTCAGGGCATTTGCACTTGCCTAGAATTCTCTTCCCTCAGATATTTACATAGCTCACTCTCTCAGTCACTTCAGGTGTCTTCTCAAATGTGACCTTATCAAAGAGGCTATCCCTGACCAAACTATTTAAAATAGTACCCCATCTTGTATTCTTTTTTTTTTTTTTGAGACAGAGTTTCGCTCTTGTTGCCCAGGCTGGAGTGCAATGGTGCGATCTCAGCTCACCGCAAACTCCACCTCCTGGGTTCAGGCGATTCTCCTGCCTCAGCCTCCCAAGTAGCTGGGATCACAGGCTTGCAACACCACACCTGGCTAATTTTGTATTTTTAGTGGAGATGGGGTCAGGCCATGTTGGTCAGGCTGGTCTCGAACTCCTGACCTCAGGTGATCTACCTGCCTCTGCCTCCCAAAGTGCTGGGATTACAGGCATGAGCCACTGCGCCCGGCCCATCCTGTATTCTCTATCCCCTTTAGCTTTTAACATCATCTGACATCTAATAGATGTGTGTGTTCAGCTGTTGTCTATCTTCCGTTCCCTGCCCCCTGAACACACACTACAATGTAAGCTCCATAAAGACAAGGATTTCATTTACCACTGAACTCCTGGTGCCTAAATCAATGCCTAGCACATGGTAGCACATAGTAGGTGCTCAGCAGATGCTTATAGAATAAAATGAAATGAATCCCAAATCTCTATCTTCAGTTCAACTTTTTCTTCTGTATTCTACATCTGTACTTTAATATACCTTCTTAACACCTTGTAACTCAGGCACCTCACATCAAATTCACTATGTCTTCCCTAGTCCTGCCCCTGAATTCTCTCCTACTGAGTGGTGCTGGTACTTAACTTACTCAGCTGCCTAAGCTAGGAGGGGTCAGCCTTAACCTCTCCTTTATAACCATCCTTATTCAATGAGTTACATGTCCTGACAATTCTAGCACTTAAATCTTTCCAACCCATCACCTCCTCTGCATTCCCTCGGATACCTCTTCCTTTCAGGCCTCATTCATATGGACACTACAATGGACTCCTAACCACAGTGCTCACCACACTTTCAGGCCATTTTGCCCACTCTGATCGGAGCAGGCTCTTCTTGCAAGCCCCTCAGTAGCTCCTCATGGCCTATGAACAAAGACCCATATCCTTTTGCCTCTAGAACCAGTTCTACACAACATCATACTACTGTTCTCCCAAACACTCTGAGACTTCCCCAGCCAACAAGTTTGTCTAACTGTTCCCTAAATAAATAGGCCGTTGCTGGCCTATTTATTTTTAAAGTTTGTTTATTTATTTATTTATTTGTTTTGAGACAGGGTCTCGCTCTGTCACCAGGCTGGAGCGCAGTAGTGATCCATAGTTAACTGCAGCTTTGAACTCTCGGGCGCAATCCTCCCACCTCAGCCTACCGAGTAGCTGGGACTACAGGTATGCACCACCATGCCCTGCAAATTTTCCTTTTTTTTTTTCTTTTTTTTTTTTTGAGACGGAGTCTCACTCTGTCACCCAGGCTGGAGTGCGTGGCATGATGCCAGCTCACTGCAACCTCCGCCTCCCAGATTCAAGTGATTCTTCTGCCTCAGCCTCCCGAGTAGCTAGGACTACAGGCGCCCGCCACCACGCCCGTCTAATTTTTCGTATTTTCAGTAGTGTTTCACCGCGTTAGCCAGGATGGTCTCAATCTCCTGACCTCGTGATCCGCCCAACTCTGCCTCCCAAAGTGCTGGGATTAAAGGCGTGAGCCACCACACCCTGCCTTTTTTTTTTTTTTTTGTAGTGATGAGGTCTTGCTATATTGCCCAGGCTGGCCGAATGGACTGCTTTGTAAGGTAGTAAGCTCCCCTTTAGTCAAAAAGAGGCTGGCCGGGCATGGTGGCTCACGCCTGTAATCCCAGCACTTTGGGAGGCCGAGGCGGGTGGATTACTTGAGGCCAGGAGTTCGAGACCAGCCTAACCAGCATAGTGAAACCCTGTCTCTATTAAAATTACAAAAATAATAAATAAATAAATAATTGCCAAGCGCGGTGGGTGATCCCAGCACTTTGGGAGGCTGAGGCGGACGGATCACGAGGTCAGGAGATCGAGACCATCCTAGCTAACACGGTGAAACCCCGTCTCTACTAAAAATACAAAAAAAAATTAACCGGGCATGGTGGCGGGCGCCTGTAGTCCCAGCCACTCGGGAGGCTGAGGGAGGAGAATGGCGTGAACCCAGGAGGCGGAGCTTGCAGTGAGCCGAGATCGAGCCACTGCACTCCAGCCTGGGCGACAGAGCGAGACTCCGTCTAAAATAATAATAATAATAATAATAAATAAATAGCCAGGTGTGGTGGCACGTGCCTGTAATCCCAGCTATTTGGGAGGCTGAGGCAGGAAAATCGCTTGAATCCGGGAGGCGGAGGTTGCAGTGAACCAAGATAGCGACACTGCACTCCAGCCTGGGTGACAGAGCAAGACTCTGCCTCAAAACAAAAATAAATAAATAAATAGCTGGATGGTCCTGTATGGTAGTGACCAGGGAATTTTCCCCAGCTCTCTCCCCATTCCGCATTCGTTCTCTATTTCCAAAAGCGCCTCCAGCTCCAGAGCAGATACCTCTATCAAAGAGCACCACCCTCTCCCTCTGGCGTCTGACTCTTCTCCAAACTGAGCCTTCTCCAAACTGAGCCAGGCCCAGCACTTGGCTGGAACCTGGCTTCTTCTCCAGGTCCGCATTTTCCAGAAACCTTCCCACTGCTTCACCTGCGTTCTTGGCCCTGTCTCTCTTATAAACCCATCCGCATGTAAGTTTCTCTTGGCCTCCTCAGGCGGAGAACAAGCTCTCGCAAGGCCCCGCCCTCCGGGGGACATCGCCCGTCCATTGCCCCGCCCTCTCAGGCTCCGCCCTAGCCTCAGATTCCGAGACATCCCCATCCCCGCCCTTTCCCTCAACCACCTCTTGACCGTCCCCAGGCCCGCCCCCCAGGGTCTCCCCCATTCCACTCATCTCAGATCCCGCCCACACCTCCCTTGGCCCCATGGGCCCCGCCCCTTTCAATTGCTGCGACCCGCCCACCCCGCCCTGCCTCCAGGTAGCCACCCTCTGGGGAGCCCGTCCCGGGGGCCTCCTCACCTATAGAGCGTCTTGCGCGGTGCGAGCTGGTCCTCACTCAGGCCCTGCGCGATGTAGTAATCGGCGACGAGGCCAAGGATGCGGCCCCAGAAGAGAACCCGATCATAGCGGTAGTCGCGCTTAACCAGCATAAGAGACGTGAGCAGCGAGGCCCGACGGTCCGGGCTGAGGCCCTGCCCACTGCCGGACGCCAGCTCCAGAGACAGCAGGAGGCTGTCGGCGTCCATCAGGTCAGCGGCTCCGCTCAACGCCCGTCGAGTTGCTAGGAGAAGCCGCCTCCATGGAGACCTGAAGCTCCGCCCTTCCGCCTAGCTGGACGCTAGGTTCCACCCACCCCACCGCCTACCGCCCAGACCTCCTCCCCACGGAGGCCTAGGCATCAGCCCCCTCCCTCATCCTTTCCAGAGTTTGGGACGGGATGTCTTCAGTTGCCACGGCCACAGTATGGCTTCCCCTACAGTTAGGCTACAGTTGGGGTTGTAAGTCCAAACCCAGCCTTTTTCCATAGATATTTGGCCTTCCCTGAGCCCTTTCACATAGTCGACATTTAGAGTCTTTACTGTATATGGACCTGGGGTCTGGAAAGAAAACAATACAAAACCCCAACACTGACACTAACTGTACTATTTCACCCCAGTCATGTCACTTCTTGACCTCAGAATGATCTGTGAAGAATTTGAGATTCCTCCTGGCTCTAATTAAGATTCTGTCAACCCGACTACCTCCACCCGCACCCCACCCCAAGCCAGGTCTTACAGAATGAGGTCCATCCATTCTCTTCCATCTTCACCAGCTGTCTTCTTTATCTACCCTTTCCATAGAAATATTCTAAGTGACAAATGAAAATCTAGGCAATGGGGGCAAGGTATAGGGTAACACCTTGGGAAAGGAGGGTGAGGAGAGAGATACAAAAAGGGGGACTTTTATAGACTACACTTTCTCATCAACTACCACCTTTCTCATCAACTACCAACTACCACCAACTGTTGTTTTTAGATCCAAATGGTAGCAAGAGATGAAAGGCCAGAACCTCACTGCAACTGGAGCTTCACTCCCTGGGCTAGATCACTTCTCCACATTCACTTCTTGAGTCCCCAGCCAAGGACAAACAAACAGGTTCCTCAGCAAGCTTGTTGCCACAGGAGATGGGCTTTATCGTTAATGTTGCTAGTTGATATTTTCATTTCTGGATTCCTTTGAAGAGCACTCAGGAAATCAGAATGACCTGGGCCCCAGCTGATAAATAAGTGTGTAAATAACCCAGATAATTACTTTTTTGATTGTCTGGGCATTGTTGGTTTTCGGGGGTTGAGACAGGGTCTCACTTTGTCACCCAGGCTGGAGTGTAGTGGTGTGTGATCTCAGCTCACTGCAGCCTCAACCTCCTGGGCTCAAGTGATCTTCCCACCTCAGCCCCCCAGGTAGCTGGGACTACAGGTGTGTGCCACCACACCCAATATTTTTTGTATTTTTAGTAGAGACGGGGTTTTGCCATGTTGGCCAGGCTGGTGTTGAACTCCGAGCTCAAGTGATCCACTCACCTGAGCCTCCCAAAGTGCTGGGATTACAGGTGTGAACCACCACGCCCAGGCTTAGGCATTGTTTAGGAAGGCATTGTTATGAGATCAGCCTGACCAACATGGTGAAACCCTGTCTCTACTAAAAATACAAAACAGCCGGGCTTGGTGGCCCACAGCTGTAATCCCAGCTACTCGGGAGGCTGGGGCAGGAGAATGGCTTGAACCTGGGAGGCAGAGATTGCAGTGAGCCAAGATCATGCTACCGCACTGCAGCCTGGGCAACAGAGCGAGCCTGTCTCAAAAAATACAACTAACTAACTAAATAAATAAATAAAATTAGTATTTGAGGGAGTTGATTTGGCTTAATGTGTTATCTCAAAACAATTTATGGCTCTCTTGTTCACAACCACCCCCACTCCCTTTAGGCAGACCTCTCAGCCTTTCCTTTCCCTGAGCGGGAGATACGGCTCAATCTCTCTTCTATAATAGCATTAAACAGAAAAACAGTCAAAATTCTGGCTGGCAGTAAGGGAGGAGACCACCCCTCATATTGTCTTATGCCAATTTCTGCCTACAAAGAAGTAAAAACTAAAAGGCAGAAATGAAATCCACGGGCAGACAGCCCAGCACCGCGCCCCGGGCCTGGTAGTTAAAGATCGACCCCTGACCTAATCGGTTATCTATAGATTACAGACATTGTATAGAAAAGCACTGTGAAAATCCCTATCCTGTTTTGTTCCGATCTAATTACTGGTGCATGCAGCCCCCCGTCACGTACCCGCTGCTTGCTCAATCAATCACGACTCTGTCACGCGCACCCCCTTAGAGTTGTGAGCCCTTAAAAGGGACAGGAATTGCTCACTCGGGGAGCTCAGCTCTTGAGACAGGAGTCTTACCGACACTCCCGGCCGAATAAACTGCTTCCTTCTGTAACTCGGTGTCTGAGGGGTTTTGTCTGCAGCTTGTCCTGCTACAGCAGAATATGCTTCAAGTGGTCATAGCACAGAAAAGAGCCCAGGCATTTTGCTTTCACTGATTTCATACTTAGCACCTATTGCAGGCTCCATGGCAGACACCAGAATCTGAAGCCAGAGAGGAGAATCTTACAGCTTCCTGATGCTAATACCTTTGGCAAGGCAAATCCTGGCTAAATATTTCAGAGTAAAACCACATAGGATGTGCAGTAATGTAGGCGAATCCAAGTTTCACCACTTAGGCAAGCTGCTCAATTTCCCCTGGCCTCATCTATAAAATGGGGACAATAATTCATGCACTGCAAAGTTGTTAGGGTTAGATAATGTAAGTGCTTAAAACAGTACATATACTTTAAAAATAGTATATTTTAGGTGTACGTATATGTATCTTATTCTATGTACATATGTGTACGTATGTACCTTTTTTTTTTTTTTTTGAGATGGAGTCTCTCTGTAACCCAGGCTGGAGTGCAGTGGCACCATCTCAGCTCACCGTAACCTCCGCCTCCCGGGTTCAAGTGATTCTCCTGCCTCAGCCTCCCAAGTAGCTGGGATTACAAGCGCCCACAACCACGCCTGGCTAATTGTTTTTCTTTTTTCTTTTTTTTTTTTTGAGACCGGGTCTCACTCTGTTGCCCAGGCTGGAGTGCAGTGGCGTGATCTCGGTTCACTGCAACCTCTGCCTCCCGGGTTCAAGCAATTCTCCTGCCCCAGCCTCCCCAAGTAGCTGGATTACAGGCACTCGCCACTAAGCCCAGCTAATTTTTGTATATTTAGTAGAGACAGGGTTTCACCATGTTGGTCAGGCTGGTCTTGAACTCCTGAACTTGTGATCCACCCATCTCAGCCTCCCAAAGTGCTGGGATGCCAGGCATGAGCTACCATGCCCAGCCTTTTTTTGTGTATTTTTAGTAGAGATGGGGTTTCACCATGTTGGCCAGCTGGTCTCCCTCCTGACCTCAGGCGATCTGCCCACCTTGGCCTCCCAAAGTGCTGGGATTATAGGCATGAGTCACCCACCTGGACTATACATACCATTTATATATTATACATACACACACATATACCTATCCCGAACATCAGCAAGGTGTGGATTCTGTCTTCAACTTGCTTCCAAAAACTGAGGTGTTTGGCCAGGCACAGAGGCTCCTCCCCTCTCACTATTCAGCACACACCTGCTCACAGTTTACTACAAACCAAGCACCTAGCCAGACTATTTCCCAAAATCACTGCTCTCATTCAATGGCCTGCTAAGCTAAGTTCCTTACCACAATCTTCCCACATAAAGGTGACCTCTGCTTTGGGGGATACAGAATTTAAGCATCACAAAAATCTGTATGGGATAAGAAAAGCACGTTGGCTAAAAGATAGCTAATGAGGACTCTAGTCCTAACTCTGCTATCAAACTACATATGCACTTGGCCAAGTCACTTAATTTCCTAGACTAGCCTGGGGCTGAACAAGAGAAAAAATCATTAGTAAAAAAATCCTAAGGCCAGGCACGGTGGCCCACACCTGTAATCCCAGCACTTTGGGAGGCCAAGACAGGTGGATCACTTGAGGGCAGGAGTTCGAGACCAGCCTGGCCAACATGGTGAAACTCCATCTCTACTAAAAATACAAAAATTAGCTGGGCGTGGTGGTGCACACCTGCAATCTCAGCTACTCGAGAGGCTAAGACAGGAGAATTCCTTGAACCTGGGAGGTGGAGGTTGCAGCGACCAAGATTGTGCCACTGTACTCCAGCCTGGGCGATACAGCGAGACTCCATCTCAAAAAAGAAAAAAGAAAAAAAAAAAAAATTCGAGAAGCCCTGAAGCAGAAGAGGCCAAGGAGAAAGACAAAATAGCCTAAAACCTGACAAGTTAAGTCAAAACAATTTCAGGAAAATATAATAAGAATCTATTTATTTTATATTTAAGTTCATAAGTCACATCCACATTATGTTCCTGGTAAAAATTCTGAAAGGACACAGCAAAGAGCAGAAAGGGACACCTCCATAGAGTGTCTATGGACCCATTTTTGCTTTCCAACTCCTAATAGAAATGCCTGACCCAGCACCCTCTGGGAAAATCAACCTTTGATTCAAAGAGATGTTGTTCAGCAATGATTACAGTCACAGTCACAGCCACATGCCATCAGCCTATCAGGAAATCTGAGGGGAGGCAGACAACCAGAAGGAGAGTTGCTTCCTCTCTCACCAGGAAGCAACTCTAGCTCCAAACCAGATGGGTGATTCAGCGCCACATGGAGAAAGATAATTCAGCCATTGTGTTTTTAGGATTAAGAAGCACTCATTCACTCGCGGAAGCCTTTAAATGTCACTGGTGCCTGGAACCAAATGTAGTCTTCCCAAGCCGTGGTTCGGATGGAAGGTCTGCCACATGACAGGGTCACAGTCAGTTTATGGCCCCGGCTGGGCACTCGATAGTTGAGCTTGGGTCGAAACCAATCTTCTCCACAGTTGCGGTGTCCCTGTGCCATGACGACGGTGCCCATGAGTGGAGGAGCCTGAAGCTCGCTAAAGGCATCAGCCATGAATATGGCTCGGAAGAGACGGCGCAAACAAGCTGCTGTGCTCAGGCTCTGGTCCACGCTGTAGGGGGCCAGCAGAGACAAGTCGAGTTCATAGAACTCCTTGGGGCTTAGGGCATTGCCCCCAAGGAGAATCAGCACTCGCGGTACTAGTGTCCGTGCAAAGAAGTCCTCCAGGTGGCTGAGGACACTCTCCAGTTCTGCCAGGGCTTGTTGGCATTTCCTGCTGCTCACCTCAGTGGTGGCCCGAGGTTTCTTCTTCAGCATCTCCTCTGCCTGTGAGGACAAAGAATGGTGGGAGAGAAGAACAAGGCAGGGGGAAGCTAATGCTCTTTGAAAAGAACCCTGCTGGGATGTGTACATAGACTTACAGGACTTAATTTCTAGCTCAATGAACCGCCACAGCCAAAACACTGTGTTTTATCAGAGGGTATTATACTGAAAAGGAAAATATATTATTTGTACAAAACCATAATTCTCCCACATTTAGAACAGCAAACACAGTGTTCTGAAGGTGGAGGATATCCAGATATAAGCAACTAAAATAGAAATTTGGTGACATGACAAAGTGACAACAAATTTTTGCTGTATGGGGAGTGATAACAGGAATGAGGATTATTTGGTCTAATAAACATGACTTTGAACTTGTTCTTCCACTTAAACATAGTAAACTGAACACATGCTTATTTGCACTTCCACCTGAAATATTACAAAATGAGAGAAAAGAAATTAAGAAACAAATGAAGGAAAGAAGAGGAAAGACTGACAAAGAAAACTCCCAAGAGGAAAGAACTGGAAACTACACAACACTAGCCAAATGCAAACACAGAAGTTTTGGAAGATAGAAGATGAAGAGTTGGCTGGGCGCAGTGGCTTACGCCTGTAATCCCAGCACTTTGAGAGGCCGAGGCGGGCGGATCACAAGGTCAGGAGATCAAGACCATCCTGGCTAACATGGCGAAACCCTGTCTCTACTAAAAATACAAAAAATTAGCCGAGTGTGGTGGTGGATGCCTGTAGTCCCAGCTACTAGGGAGGCTGAGGCAGGAGAATAGCCTGAACCCAGGAGGCAGAGCTTGCAGTGAGCTGAGATCACGCCACTGCACTCTAGCCTGGGTGACAGAGCGAGACTCTGTCTCAAAAAAAAAAAAAGAAAGAAGATGAAGAGTTAAGAGTTCAAGAGAGCTGAATACCAAGTGCTGACAGAAGGGACCCCCAAGGGATGCAAACTGATCCACACAGCAGAACCCCAGAAAGGTTTAGGAAGTGGTGATACAGGCACCACAGAGGCAAGAGTGAATATAGGGGAAATGAATGAAAATCTGTGTGAAGATGCTTAGATCATCTGCCAAATTTCTCCCCCATCCAGAGGGAAGACTTTCCAATCCCCACAAAGAGATCACCAGGTTCCCACCTAATCTCCTTATAGTGAAGTCTATCAGCTCATAAGGCCCAGGCATGCACACACAGCTTGCAATGATTTATTCTTTTTTTTTTTTTTGAGACAGAGTTTCGCTCTTTCGCCCAGGCTGGAGTACAGTGGCGCAATCTCGGCTCACTGCAACCTCCGCCTCCCGGGTTCACACCATTCTCCTGCCTCAGCCTCCCGAGTAGCTGGGACTACAGGCGCCCACCACCACGCCCGGCTAATTTTTTGTATTTTTAGTAGAGACAGGGTTTCACCATGTTAGCCAGGATGGTCTCAATCTCCTGACCTCGTGATTCGCCTGCCTCAGCCTCCCAAAGTGTTGGGATTACAGGCGTGAGCCACCGCGCCCGGCCAATTTATTCTTAAATATTCACCAGACACAGAATAAAACTCTCCAACATGAAAGTCAAAGTCCAGAACAAAACAAATGGGGAATGGATTCTAGAAGAAACTGAGATGCCGCAAGGAACAAAGAAAAACTTAAAAATTCAATAATTAATATCCTCAGGCAAAAGAAGTTCATGGCCTGGCGCAGTGGCTCACACCTGTAATCCCAACAACACTTTGGGAGGCTGAGGCAGGTGGATAACCTGAGGTCAGGACTTCGAGACCAGCCTGGCCAACATGGTGAAACTCCATCTCTACTAAAAATACAAAAATTAGCCAGGTGGGCCAGGAGCAGTGGCTCACGCCTGTAATCCCAGCACTTTGGGAGGCCAAGGCGGGCGGATCACTTGAGGTCAGGAGTTTGAGAGCAGCCTAGCCAACATTGCGATACCCTGTCTCTACTAAAAATACAAAATTTAACCAGGTGTGGTGGCACATGCCTGTAATCCCAGCTACTTCGAGGCTGAGGCAGGAGAATCGCTTGAACCCAAAGTGGAGGTTGCAGTGAGCCGAGATCGCTCCACTGCACTCCAGCCTGGGCCACACAAGAGCGAGACTCCTTCTCAAAAAAAGAAACAAACAGGCGGAGCACGGTGGCTCATGCCTGTAATCCCAGCACTTTGGGAGGCTGAGGCAGGCGGATCACCTGAGGTCAGGAGTTCAAGACCAGCCTGGCCAACATGGTGAAACCCCGTCTATACTAAAAATACAAAAATTAGCTGGACATGGTGGCGCATGCCTATAATCCCAGGTACTCAGGAGGCTGAGACAGGAGAAGCACTTGAACCTGGGAGGCGGAGGTTGCAGTGAGCCAACATGGCACGACTGCACTCCAGCCTGGGTGACAGAGTGAAACTCCCTATCAAAAACAAACAAACAAACAAAAAATTAGCTGGGTGTGGTGGTGCATGCCTGTAATCCCAGCTACTGGGGAGGCTGAGGCAGGAGAATCACTTGAACCTGGGAGATTGGGGTTGCAGTGAGCTGCGATCATGCCACTGTCCTCCAGCCTGGGTGACAAGGCGAGACTCTGTCTCAAAAAAAAAAAAAAAAAAGAAGAAAAAAGAAGTCCATACAGAAATTAAACAACAGGATGCTATTAAAGAAACATGCAGGCCAGGCGCGGTAGTTCACGCCTGTAATCCCAGCACTTTGGGAGAGGCCAAGGCGGGCAGATCACTTGAGGTCAGGAGTTCGAGACCAGCCTGGTCAACATGGTGAAACCCCGTCTCTACCAAAAATACAAAAATAAGCTGGGCATGGTGGCACGTGCCTGTAATCCTAGCTACTGGGGAGGCTGAGGCATGAGAATCGCTTGAACCTGGGACATGGAGGCTGCAGTGAGCCGAGATCACGCCATTGCATTCCAGCCTGGGCAACAAGAGAGAGACTCTGTCTCAAAACATAAAATAAATAAATTAATTAAAATACAAAAATTAGCTGGGTGTGGTGGCAGGAGCCTGTAATCCTAGCTACTCGGGAGGCTGAGGCAGCAGAATCGCTTGAACCTGGGAGGCGGAGGTTGCAGTGAGCTGAGATCTCGCCACTGCACTCTAGCCTGGGCAACAGAGCAAGACTCTGTCTCAAAAGAAAAAAATGCAAAGAGCCAGTTCATTAAGTCCAAATGCAACACGTGAGTTTCAGAAAGAAAGAACAGTTGAAAAAGCCAGAAGGGTTAGGCTACCAAAGACTAGAGTGGGGAGAAAGTGACCGAAGCCCTGGAAGCTGCTTATTCTCTCAGGCTTTGAAGATTTCTTAGACCCCCTTTCTACCTGCCTCCCATCTAAGAGCCACAAAGTCTTCCCACCAACTTGCTCCCAAAGCCTGTGCCTACCTGGGGAGAAGGTTTTCGGTAAAAGTGCTTAAGCTGTTCATAGGGCAGAGGGAGCTGCTGGCGTTGATACATGATATGCTTTAGAAGTTCACAAGTAAACTGACAGCAGCCTTCCTGGCTCACAGGCCCAGGAAACACCACTGGTACCATGCAGTCTCTTGGGCAAAAGGCCTCCGAAGCGTTGAGAGGTTCCTGCGTAGAGCTTGTCTCAAGTAGTTCTATCTGGGAGGCGTGAGTTTCTTCGGACTTCTCATACCACTCCAAATCTGGTAGATGAAAAGAGGGACAAGAGAGAAAAATTAAAAACCTAAAAGCCAGTCAGTCTTCTCATTCCCTGTGGCCGACAAACCAGCCACCCTGAAAAAGCAGGCACTCCGACATACGCCCATATCCTCCGCAGCCTACAGTATGGGCCGTGGCAGGGAGAGATTCCTGATCCCTGTTGCCTGAGGAGATTTAATCGACTGCAAGATAGTGGGGGGATTTCGGAGGGCTCCCCGCTCAGAAAGCTGCGGGACTTGATCTGGGGAAATGAGTCAAAAGTGTAGTCAAGCAGGGTCCAGTGCGACCCAGGGCGATGGAGTCACAGCCAGAGCCGTGTAGGACACCCGGAAGACAGGGAAGACGGGCTAGGGAGAGGACCAGCGGATAAACGAATGGATGGCGCGGCGGTAGGGAAGAAACAAGTCCCCAAGGCTCCCCAAACTCTTGGCCCCACGCCTTACCAGGGACTGCGGCTGAGGACAGAACCTCCGCCTCCGGCGCCGCCATCACGACCTCCCCTCCGCTACTCCTTGCGGTTAGAATAAAGGTCTCGCGGGGCATCATGGGAAGCCCGCGCCTCCACTTCCGGCTCAGTTGGGTCGGAAAAAAGGCGCGGCGTCGCCGCAGTGTGGGGGAGGTTAAGTGGAGCTGGGATTTGAACCCTGCGTTCCTCCTTTAACACCCTGGCAAATGTACGCCTAACCCTTGCCCAGCAGGGAACCCAGGAGTTCTCAGCCACTGAGCGCTGCTTTCTAAAAGACACCAGCCCTCTTGCATCTATTCACTCCAGCATTCACTACTCACTGTGCACCTACTTCGTGCCAGGCCCTGTCCTAGGTGCTGGAGACAGCGGAGAACAAGCCAGGCGCGGGCCCCGTGCTCAAGGGGTTCACTGCCTGTAGATACAATACAATGTGATGAATTATACAGAAAAGTGTACACGGGGTGTGGAAGTGAAAAACAAGGGTGGCTGACCCACAGAGGGTAGGGGCTGGGAAGGAGTGGTCCCAGAAGAAATGTGTGAAGCTGTGACCTGTAGGATAAGTCAACAAGGTAAAGAGGAGGGCCTAGTGCTCCTGGAGACCTTGAGACAAGAGCATACTCTGTACAAGGAATGAAAAGAGTTCATATTATAAAGAGTTAAGGCTGTAGTGAATAACAGGAGCCAGATCATGGCAGGACCGTATAAGCCACGTGAGAGTTTGGACTTGATCCTGTAGGCAGATGGGGAAGCCTTGAAAGGTTTAAGTAGGAGAGTGGCATGATTAAATTTACATCTTATAAATTTAATCTCTACCCTGGCTGCAGGATAGAGATTGGATTACAGAGAGGATAAGAGAGGAGGCAGGGATACCAGTTAGAGGTAGTGCAATTACCCGAGTACTTGATGAAAGCAGCCTAACCTAGCGTAGTCACAGTGGGGTGGAGATAATTGGGTAAACTCGAGATATTTAGGAGGTCCAGTGAACATAACTTGGGGATTGATTTACAAGGAGGAGGAGGAATAGAAATAGACTGAGAAGAGGCCAGGCACGGTGGCTCACGCCTGTAATCCTAGCACTTTGGGAGTCCAAGGCAGGTGGATCACGAGGTCAGGAGTTTGAGACCAGCCTGGCCAACATGGTGAAACGCTGTCTCTACTAAAAATACAAAATTTAGCCAGACATGGTGGCATGCACCTGTAATCCCAGCTACTCAGGAGGCTGAGGCAGGAGAATCGCTTGAAGCCGGGAGGCGGAGGTTGCAGTGAGCTGAGATCGCACCACTATACTCCAGCCTAGGTGACAGAGTGAGACTCCATCTCAAAAAAAAGAAAAAAAGAAAAAAAAGAAAGAGACTGACAAGAAAACAAGCAGGTTTCTGACTTCAGCAATTGTATGGGAAATTGTACCATTCAATGACAGAGGGAAGCAGGGTGCCGAGGCCAGGAGTTCAATACCAGCCAGGACAAGATTGGGGACCCTGTTTCTGCAAAATTAAAAATTTTTTTTTAAAGTTAGCCAGGTGTGGTGGTGCACAACTGTCGTCCTGGCTATTCTGGAGGCTGAAGCAGAGGATTGCTTGAGTCCAGGAGTTCGACACTTACAGTGAGCTATGATCATGCCACTGCACTTCAGCCTGGGCAGCAGAGCAAGACCATGACTCAAAAAAAAAAAAAAAAAGAAAAAAAGAAAAAAAAAAAGGATGGAGGAAACACTAAAATAGGAAATAAGACCAGGTTTGTTGGGGTGGGAGGTGAGTAGGAGAAAAGATGAGTTCAGCTTTTCACAGATTGAATTTGACATCTCCATAGGATAATGAATAGAGATATTTAGGAATGCCATTTGCAATAAAGGTATGTATTTAAGAGCCATCAGCATGTTAGTGAATAAGATCACCCAGGGAGGGTGTAGAATGAGAATGGGCTAGGATATTGAAGACACTAATGTTTAGGGGATGACCAGAGAGACAGAAGCTATGGAGAAGACTAAAGAGTACCCACAGGAGGATAAAGAAAAATAGACAAATGGCCGGGCAAGGTGGCTCATGCCTGTACTCCCAGCACTTTGGGAGGCTTAGGTGGGAGGATTGCTTGAGCCTGGGAGGTTGAGGCTACAGTGAGCTGTGATCGCACCACTGCCCTCCAGCCTGGGTGACAGAGGGAGACCCTGCCTCCAAAACCAAAATAGACAAGTGGGGCCAGGCATGGTGGCTCATGCCTGTAATCCCAGCACTTTGGGAATTCAAGGCAAGGGGAGTGCATCAATCCAGAAGTTTGAGACCAGTCTGGGCAACATAATGAGACCTTGTCCCTACCAATAAATAAATAAATAAATTAAATAAGTGTCAGGTCATGGAGGCCAAGAAAAGGGCGTGTTTCAGGAAGTAGGGACCAGAGGTCAAAACACACTATAAAAGTACAGCAATTAGAGGCCAGGCACAGTGGCTCACGCCTGTAATCCCAGCACTTTGGGAGGTCGAGGTGTGCAGATCACCTGAGGTCGGGAGTTTGAGACCAGCCTGACCAACATGGAGAAACCCCGTCTCTACTAAAAATACAAAATTAGCCAGGCGTGCTGGTGCATACCTATAATCTCAGCTACTTGGGAGGCTGAGGCAGGAGAATCCCTTGAACCTGGGAGGCGGAAGTTGTGGTGAGCTGAGGTCATGCCATTGTGCTCCAGCCTGGGTGACAGAGTGAGACTCCGCCTGGAAAAAAAAAAAAAAAAAGTACAATGATTAAAATACTGGGTCTGACTGGGCATGGCAGCTCCAGCCTATAATCCCAGCATTTTGGGAGGCCGAGGTGGGAGAATTGCTTAAGGGCAGAGGGATTGCTTGAGTCCAGAAGTTTTTTGTTGTTGTTTGTTTGTTTGTTTTTAGATGGAGTTTTGCTCGTGTTGCCCAGGCTGGAGTGCAATGGCGTGATCTTGGCTCACTGCAACCTCTGCCCCCAGGGTTCAAGCAATTCTCCTGCCTCAGCCTCCCAAGTAGCTGGGATTACAGGTGCCCACCACCACACCCAGCTAATTTTTTGTATTTTTAGTAGAGATGGGGTTTCACCATGTTGGCCAAGCTGGTCTTGAACTCCTGTCCTTAGGTGATCCACCTGCCTCAGCCTCCCAAAGTGCTGGGATTACAGGAGTGAGCCACCGCACCCGGCTGAGTCCAGAAGTTTAAGACCAGTCTGGGCAACATAGTGAGATCTTGTCTCTATTAAAAAAAAAAAAAAAAAAAAAAGACAAGTGTCAGGTCATGGAGGCCAAGAAAAGGATGTGTTTCAGGAAGTAGGGACCAGAGGTCAAAACATACTATAAAAGTACAATGATTAAAATACTGGATCTGGCTGGGCATAGTGGCTCACGCCTGTAATCCCAGCATTTTTGGGGAGGCCAAGGTGGGAGAACTGCTTGAGTCCAGGAGTTCAAGACCGGCCTGAGCAACACGGCAAACCCCTTCTTTACAAAAAATACAAAACTTAGCCAGGCATGGTGGCATGCCCCTGTAGTCCCAGCTACCTGGGGGGCTGAAGTGGAAGAATCACTCTCTAGGGTTGGAGGTTGCAGTGAGTCAAGATTGTGCCATTGCATTCCAGCCTGGGTGACAGAAGGAGACCCTACCTAAAAAAAAAAAAAAAAAAAAAAGTCAATCAATCAATCATTTTCTCTCTTCCTCCTCCTCGCCACCCTTAAAAAATAAACAGGGCCGGGCACGGTGGCTCACACCTGTAATCCCAGCACTTTGGGAGGCCAAGGCAGGCGGATCAACTGAGGTTGGGAGTTCGAGTCCAGCCTGACCAACACGGAGAAACCACCGTCTCTACTAAAAACACAAAATTAGCCGGGTGTGGTGGCATATGCCTGTAATCCCAGCTACTCAGAAGGCTGAGGCAGGAGAATCGCTTGAACCCGGGAGGAGGAGGTTGCCGTGAGCCAAGATCGCGCCATTGCACTCCAGCCTGGGCAACAAGAGCGAAACTCCATCAAAAAACAAACAAACAAACAACAACAACTTCTGGACTCAAGCAATCCCTCTGCCTTTAAGCAATTCTCCCATCTCGGCCTCCCAAAATGCTGGGATTAAATAAATAATAAATAGATAAATAAATAAAATAGTAGGTCAGGTGTGGCAGCTCATGCCTGTAATCCCAGCACTTTGGGAACCCAAGGCAAGAGGATTGCTTGAGCCCAGTTCAACACCAGCCTAGGAAACACAGGGGGACACCATCTCTACAAACAATAAAAACAAAAATTAGCTGGGCATGGTGGCTCGCACCTGTAGTTCCAGCTACTCCAGAGGCTGAGGTGGGAGGATCTGCTTGAGCAGGGGAGGTTGAGGCTGCAATGAGCTGTGATCACACCACTGCACTTCAGCCTGAGTGACAGAGGGAGACCTTGTCTCAAAAAATAAATAAAAATAAAAATAATCCATGTATATGAAGGGACACATGTTATCAGACAAGTGCAGCAGGCTCTGGTTATCAAGAGGGCCCAGGGCTGGTCATGGTGAGAATGTTGGGAGAATGGTCTTATCTCTTCCTTCCAATTCTCATCCTTCTTGAGATCTCTCACTGAGTTCCCTAGTCTCTGTCTCTAAGCAGCAGTTTCCCTAGTAGGCCTGTGCCCCTGGCTAGCATTGACCTCTACGGCATAACCTTTCCTTCAGTGGCACAGGACTAAGAAAAGTCACATGTGCTTTCAACCACTGAAGACCCACATAATTGGCCTATGGTCAGCTAGGCCCTTTTGCAGATTTTGGTCTCTCTGCTCTCACTGCTTTGGGAAATTATGCTATGTGGACAGCATGATCAGTAAACCTGCCTCCCTCCTTGTGGCCCTGGGAGGAAGCCATGGACTCTACCAAGTCTGAACCCCTGAAGGGATCACCAGAGGTAAGTCATTATTGCTGCTTCTAGTTTTCCAAGGACAACTGAGGTCTGGAGAGAAGAGTTGCTTAATTTCTTTTTCTTTCTTTTTTTTTTTTTTTTTTTTTTTGAGACGAAGTCTCGTTCTGTCACCCAGGCTGGAGTGCAGTGGCATGATCTCAGTTCACTATAACCTCTACCTCCCGAGTTCAAGCGATTCTCCTGCCTCAGTCTCCCGAGCAGCTGGGACCACAGATGTGCACCATCATGCTGGGCTAATTTTTTTTTTTTTTTTTTAGTTGGAGTCTCGCTCTGTTGCCCAGGCTGGAGTGCAATGGCGTGATCTCGGGTCACTGCAACCTCCGCCTCCCGGGTTCAAGCGATTCTCCTGCCTCAGCCTCGCGAGCAGCCGGGATTACAGGCATGCGCCACCACGCCCAGCTAATTTTTGTATTTTTAGTAGAGACGGGGTTTCGCTGTGTTGGCCAGGCTGGTCTCGAACACCTGACTTCAGGTGATCCGCACACTCCTTGGCCTCCCAAAGTGCTGTGATTTACAGGCGTGAGGCACCGCACCCGGCTGAGTTGTTTAATTTCTTGACCGTGTATGAGCACCTCGCAGTTCGAGAAGAGGGGAGAAGTGGACACACTGTGAGTGGTCTGAGTCATGAGACAGCCATGCGGCTGTGAATTGAGCCCTAGCGTCCTGACTCGCAGCTCAGCAACATAACTGCTTTTCCACCCTGCCTTTCTGTGTTCTGTGCACTGGCTTATGTCGCTGAATGTATGTACTCTGTAGAGTGCAACAGCACTAAAGAGCTGGAGATTGCTTCACAAGAGAGTCAAAAGCCAAAAATCCCCTGTGGCCCTAGGCCAAGTTTCTATTCCCGGCCACTGCCCCGCCCTCGTGGTGGTTGGTGTAACCCGAGCCCTAGCCCCGCCCGAAGTAGGGGCCAGGCCCCTCCTACAGTCTTGGCCGTTTAAAACCAAACTCAGTTCTTCCCGATTGGTTCTGCTTCAAAACAAAGGGGAGGAGGAATACTCGCTTTGGGTATGCTTGCAGCCTTCGGGGAGGAAGCTGGTTTACGGGTTCGGGTCTCGTGTCGGGGCCACCGCGGTGCCTCCGGTTATTAAAACCAGCCCCTGGACGGTGCCAGCCTGGTAATAAAGCAGTGACTACTATGTAAAGGTAGCATAATCATCCCAACAATAACAGCCGTAATTTGGCTAATCACCATCCGCCTCCGCCCTGGCGTTCGCCCTGACTCACCCCAGCGGCACGCGGGCCATAGGGGAAGAAACTGAGGCAGAGGCGGAGCCAGCAGGCTGGCGGCACCAGTAGCCTCAGTTCTGCAGCTCTCGAGGTCCAAAACCTGTTGTCTAGGATCCGCGCTAAAGGGCCAAATCCCGGAGCGCCCACAAAGCTCGATTCTGATGTAAGCTCTTCTACGCTGGTGTCCTCGCGTCCCCACCCCAGGCCTCGAGGCTCTAAATTCCCCCCAAGTCCTAGAAAAAGAACATAGCGCGAGGACTGGAAGTCAGACTACAGCTCCCTTAAGCCTTTGCGCGCCAAGGCGCGCTCCTTCCCCACGCCTCCGACGACTCCCGCGGCCACTTGCGCCGCGATGCCTCCTGGGAGTTGTAGGGCGGCGACGTGTCATTTAAGTGAATTCCCAGGCCTGGGGACTCTATATCCCGTGGTGCCCCGCGGCTGTTTCTGACGCGACCCGGAGGCCAGGGAGGTGGGGGGCGTAGCTTGTGCAGAGCCCCACCCCACTCTGCTCAGGCCGGCCGGACACGGCAGTGGCAGTAAGGGCGGCGGCGACGGCGGCGGCGGTCGGGGGAGGGGCCGGGCGGGGGGCTGGCGGCAGCGGCGGATGGACTCGCGGGTATCGGAGCTGTTCGGCGGCTGCTGCCGGCCCGGAGGGGGCCCGGCCGTGGGCGGAACCCTCAAGGCTAGGGGGGCCGGCAGCAGCAGCGGCTGCGGGGGGCCAAAGGGAAAGAAGAAGAACGGAAGGAACAGAGGGGGCAAAGCCAACAACCCCCCGTATTTGCCCCCCGAGGTGAGCACCTGAGAAGTGGTAGGGCGGGAAGAAGCCACTCTTTCCGGCCCAGGACTCTAGGGAGGCGGGACCCAGATAATTAATCTCCCCTTCCGGTGTCGAGACCCCAGGGAGGAGGGGCACGGGAGGAGAACACCTCTTTCAGGTCCCGGGACCCCAGGGAGGAAGGGCAGAGACTGGACTCTCAGGTGACAGGACCTCAGGGAGGAAGAGTGGAGAGGGAGGACTCCCCCTTCTGATCTAGATTACCCCAGGAGAGAAGTAGAGAAAGGGGATCCCAGGAAGAGCACCCCGACCAACTGCGTGTGCCGCCATAGGGCAAGAGAGACTGCATCCTGGGACGAGAGGCAGACAGTAACCACCACTTCTTCTAAACTTGTTCCACAGGGAGAAGGGGAGTACCCGGGAAAAGAGCAATATGTTCCACACGGACACACACACAGTACTCGGGAAAAGAGCAGTATGTTCACTACACACACACACACACACACACACACACACACACAGCCTAAGCCAGTGGTTATCAAACTTTGGCATGTATCGAATCACCCGGATTGCTGGCCCCCAACGCCTGGCCAATTTTATTTTTTTATTATTTATTTATTTATTTTTTTTGAGACGGAGTCTCTGTTACCCAGGCTGGAGTGCTGTAGGGCTATCTCAGCTCACTGCAACCTCGGCCTCCCGGGTTCTCAAGCGATTCTTCTGCTGCAGCCTCCCGAGTAGCTGGCATTACAGGTGCCCGCCACCACGCCCAGATAATTTTTGTATTTTTAGTAGAGATGGGGTTTCACCATGTTGGCCAGGCTGGTCTCAAACTCCTGACCTCAGGTGATCCACCCGCCTCGGCCTCCCAAAGTGCTGGGATTGCAGGCGTGAGCCTCCGTGCCCAGCCTAGAATTTCTGATTCTTTCTTACTAGTGAGGATGGGCCTGAGAATTTGCATTTCTTATAAGTTCCCGTGTGATACTAATGCTGCTGGTCCCAGGACCTCACTTTGGGAACCATTGGTCTGGGCCCTAGACTGTCATTCTTGTACCACATTTTTTGAAGCCACCCATCCCCAGAAAAATGATTAAAAGGTTTTTATTGATGGGGAAAAAAAATAATCTCCTTAACACACCATGAAGTGGAGATTATGAGTGAAGACCTGTTAGGGCCTGGGAGCCAGACAGCCTTGAAGGGATGGAATGATAGGAAGGGAAGAGGAAAACTAAAATATCCAGAGAGGCGGGTAGAAAAATGCAGACTGGCCAAACAGGCAAATCCCATATCCCTTTGTACCTGGGAGGGGAAGCCTCAGGTAACAGGGTGCTTCTGTGCTGTGCTACCCACTGGAGCTAGAAGAGACTGTGGGGTGGATTCAGGATTTCACCTCCACTGAGGTTAGGGGGCAAGAGGTAAAGGCCATAGCGAGTCTGTCCGCTTCATTACATTTTCTGAGTTTTTCTGTTCCTCTCAGCCCCAGCTTTGGAGCTCTTCTCCTCTCTCACCTAGATCTTCTCGGTCATCAGGCTTGTAGTGACCATTGCTGAGCTCACCCTTTGGCTCTGATCCAGAACCTCTTGCAGCCTCTTACTCTAGATGACATCAGCTGAAAGGGGCAGGCAGGGAGGAAATGGTGTTTCCTAGACCAGTGACAAAGAAAGGTTTTAACAGCCTGGGCACAGAGGAGACATAGACTTCTGGGAAAAGCAGGTTTGAGGCCCTGGAGGTGGGGAGGAAGGGATGATCTTGCATCTAGGAAGAACGTGCTGCCAGTGATCAAAGAATGGATTGATTCAGTGTTCTGTTCCTGGCTTAAATGGGTGACTCCTTGTGTCCTTATAGGCCTTCCCTTCATAGAGGCTATGCTGGGGGTGAATAGAGGATCTTGTCTGCCACTGACCTTTGACAGGCACTTGCCTAACCAAGTGCCAGTGGGGCTTCCTGCTTTCTCAAGTTAGCTACCTGGACCCAGTGGGAATTGAGGGGAAGTAGGGATTGGGTCTGTACAGTGTATGGTAACTGCTCACTGTTTCTTTTCAGGCTGAAGATGGAAACATTGAATATAAAGTGAGTCCTAGGCTGGGGAAAAGCAGGGGCTGGGGTAGGTTGTCCTTGCCAGTGTGGGATAATTTCTTTTTTCTTTCTTTCTTTTTTTTTTTTGAGATGAAGTTTTGCTCTTGTTGCCTAGGCTGGAGTGCAGTGGCGCAATCTCAGATTCTCCTGCCTCAGCCTCCCAAGTAGCTGGGATTACAGGCATGCGCCACCATGCCTGGCTAATTTTGTATTTTTAGTAGAGATGAGGTTTCTCCATGTTGGTCAGGCTGGTCTCGAACTGCTGACCTCTGGTGATCCACCAGCATGGGATAAGTTCTCTGAGAGCCTTCCAACTTCATAATTATAGCAGTTTAAGGATATGGTTCAGGTTAAGGGCTCTGTACCTCGTTCTGTTGGAGGGGGATCAGGTATGAGTTTAAGTGGAAAGAGAAAGTCCTGGTCCTTGCAGCAGAACAGGTGGGGACCATGTAGGTTTGGGAGGAACACCTCTGATTTCACCTTATGATACCCCACTTGCCCTAAGTTGAAGCTGGTGAATCCATCCCAGTACCGCTTTGAGCACCTGGTGACACAAATGAAGTGGCGGCTCCAGGAGGGACGTGGTGAGGCCGTCTACCAGATTGGGGTAGAGGACAATGGGCTGCTGGTGGGGCTGGCTGAGGAGGAAATGCGAGCTTCGCTCAAGACCCTGCACCGGATGGCAGAGAAGTATGCTTCCCCTTCCCCACCAGTTCTCCTTTACCTGACTTGGGGGGACCCATGCATACCCAGTTACCTAGGGCCTGAGGGGCCAAGGTGGGACTTTCCTTCTCTTGACAAAGGGCTGAAGTGGGGAGGGTTAGTGTTTTGGTCCCCTCCTCACTGGACCTAGGCTGTTTTGCTCCTTGAATTAAGATATGTATATTTGTTTTAAAGGGAACTGTGAATGAGGAATAGATTGGAGGGTGGTAGGAAGTGCACTAAGGTATTGGGAGCTCTGTGGGAGGTGCAGGAAGTCTGTAGGTCCAGAGCGAGCCTGGAATAGGAGAAGGACAGGTGAGATATGGCAGCTGTGGCCTTGCTGTGACAGGGTTGGGGCAGACATAACCGTTCTTCGAGAGCGAGAAGTGGATTATGATAGCGACATGCCCCGGAAGATCACCGAGGTGCTAGTACGAAAGGTCCCTGACAACCAACAGGTGAGCACACACCCATCCCTGTCTCTCATGTCCACACTGTGGAAGGGCCCTGTGGTGGCAGGCTGTCTCCTGGCCTGGGATCCTGGGGGCTTCCAGTTCATCACTTGCTCCCTAGGGAGCGTCACTGCCCTTGACCCAGTCTTCAGTTAGAGGGGTGAGAGATTGGAGTTCTTATCTCTGGCAATTCATCCACAGTTCCTAGACCTCCGTGTGGCCGTCCTGGGGAATGTGGACTCTGGGAAGTCAACTCTGCTTGGAGTCCTGACCCAGGGAGAGCTGGACAATGGGCGGGGCCGGGCTCGGCTCAACCTTTTCCGCCACCTGCATGAGATTCAGTCTGGCCGAACCTCCAGCATCAGCTTCGAGATCCTGGGCTTTAACAGCAAGGGAGAGGTGCATGGGATCAATGGGACCCAATGGGGCCAGACTCTGAGGATGGGATGGTAGTAGTGAAGGACATAGGATGGGGGTAGAGTGTGGAGACTTTTTGAAATAGTATAGATGAATGCCCTGAGGGGACTGTGAACAAGCTCTGCCCCTCTTAGGAAATCAATGGGGAATCAACTAAATTAAATAAAAAATGGGGTCAAGATTAAGAGGCAGGGTCACCCAGGGAATGGTTTAGGTCCTGGCAACTCTGAAGGGGTTGGAAGGGCTGGCAGGAGGCACTGAGGGCCCTGGGCCCTGGGCCAGGTGGTGAATTACAGCGACTCACGGACAGCAGAAGAGATCTGTGAGAGCAGCTCCAAGATGATCACCTTCATCGACCTGGCAGGCCACCATAAGTACCTACACACCACCATCTTTGGCCTCACATCATACTGCCCCGACTGCGCCCTGCTCCTCGTCAGTGCCAACACTGGGATTGGTACGAGGCATTAGGGCAGGGACAGGGCTGAAGGGGGGTGCTGACTCTCCTACCCTGGGCCTCAAATCTTGGAGACAGACCAATGCTCCTCTTCTTCCCTCTCCTCCCTCCTGCATTCTCACTCTTCTCTCCTGCTGCTTGCTGTCCTTATGAGGCAGCTGGCACCACAAGGGAACATCTGGGGCTGGCCCTGGCCCTGAAAGTGCCCTTCTTCATCGTGGTCAGCAAGATCGACCTATGTGCCAAGACCACAGTGGAGAGGACAGTACGCCAGCTGGAGCGGGTCCTCAAGCAGCCTGGCTGCCACAAGGTCCCCATGCTGGTCACCTCTGAGGATGATGCCGTCACTGCTGCCCAGCAGTTTGCTCAGTCACCCAAGTAAGCCCACCTTACTCTAAAGCCCTGATCCACTAGGAAGGCTGCCACAGAGCCCAGGGCCCAGAAGCATGATATCCTACTTCTCCAGGGCCAGACCAGTTCTGGCTTAGTTCTGCGGGTGTTTCAGCTTGGGATTGTGGAGGGGCATCTTGCTAAAGGGCTTGACCCTCCTCCCGAGCCAACCTGGAGCACTGCTGATGCCTGGGACCATGGCGATGAAGTGCTATACCAGGCATTTGCTGTTTCCCTTGGGCTCGGATGGGCTTTTTGTGTGACATTGCTCGACTGGCTCACAAGAAGGCCCAGAGTTCCTGAGCCATTTGCAGACAGGAGAGAGGGGCCCCCAGCCAGAACAAAGCTCACCTTTCCATGTATGGGGCTCTGGCCTCTGCCTCCTGTTTGGACTGTCTTCATCTGTCCATTCCATGCCTCCCTCTACAGTGTCACCCCCATCTTCACATTGTCCAGTGTGTCTGGAGAGAGTCTGGACCTCCTCAAAGTCTTTCTGAATATTCTGCCGCCACTCACCAACAGCAAAGAGCAGGAGGAACTCATGCAGCAGCTGACGGAGTTCCAGGTAGTTGACTGCCCAAACATCTAATAGGCTGGGAAACAGGGAGGGGCTGCTTCAGACCAAACCCAGAGTCTGTTTAGAGATTTTGGACCCACCAGCCCTACTTGGCAGGCCATTGATAGCGTTTTCTTTGGCTTCAGGTGGATGAAATCTACACAGTACCAGAGGTGGGGACTGTTGTTGGAGGAACACTTTCCAGGTAAATTGTCTTGCTTGCTACCCTCCCCACTCAGCCCTCACCTATATACTCAAAGACATCCTGGCCCAAAGGAGGAGACCCTGGAATTGAACGGAACCCATTTAAAGGACATGCTTATTTGCAGATTAGGCTTTCACTATCAGAAGAGCTGGAGAACGGTAGTCTGTTGGCTTTGGAGGGAAGAAACAGTATTGCTGCCTATTGGGGAATCTCCAGGCCCCTGAGAGAGAAGTGTGGGTCTTGAGCTCCAGGAAGAAAACTAGAGTGTATTCAACTGACTTCATCTCACACAGGGAAATGAGAGACGTCACTTAAGACTCTTCTTTCTTTCTTTCTTTCTTTTTTTTGAGACAGAGTCTCGCTCTGTTGCCCAGGCTGGATTGCAGTGGAGCGATCTTGGCTCACTGCAACCTCTGCCTCCTGGGTTCCAGCAATTCTCCTGCCTCAGCCTTGAGTAGCTGGAATTACAGGCGCCTACCACCATGCCCGGCTAATTTTTGTATTTTTAGTAGAGATGGGGTCGTCACCATATTGGCCAGGCTGGTCTTGAATTCCTGACCTCAAGTGATCCACCTGCCTCAGCCTCCCCAAGTGCTAGGATTACAGGTGTGAGCCAACGCGGCTGGCCTAAGACTCTGCAAAGCAGAGAATGAAACCCAAGGGGATAACTTGCTCCTTCAGTGATTAGGTGTTCGGTGTTGTTAAACCAGCAAGTGTCTCTCTGTCCACCATCACTGCTGGCCTTTTATGAAATTAGTCTTCTGATTCTGAACTCTGGCAGTGAGCCCTGTTACATCCAAGTCAGAATTTAGGGTTCTTCCCCACTTGAGGGACTCAACCCTAGAAGGGAAGGAATGCTCTGGGTGATCCTAATAGAGAAGTAGGTATGGGGACCTTGGCTGACACTGTGCCACCTGCCCTCTGGGCTGCAGTGGGATTTGCCGTGAGGGGGACCAGCTGGTGGTGGGCCCCACGGATGATGGCTGCTTCCTGGAGCTGAGAGTATGCAGCATCCAGCGCAACCGCTCTGCCTGTCGTGTGCTGCGAGCTGGTCAGGCTGCTACACTGGCGCTTGGGGACTTTGACCGTGCACTGCTTCGCAAGGTGAGGTGGGTGCATGGGTTGGGGAGGGAACGCTAAGAGAAGTGCCTAGGAGACTGGCTACTGAATGAGCACCTATCTAAGGTGCTTCAGAGAAACTCAGAGGAAACACACTCTCTGACCCAAGAAGCTTCTGGTCTAGCTACGTAGACTATAAAAACAGCTTAACGTACTCATGAGGTACAGATAACTAAATATGAATCACTATGTTACACTGTTTTTAATGAACACTATTTTTAGTGTTCAGGACCCTAAAAATGTGAAGCGTTAGATGGGCTAGAGGACGTAGGAGGTGGGTAAAGACTCATTCCCTCTGAGAGTTTTGATTATTGTCTTTTGAGGTCTTTGTGTTTAGAGTTGTGTAGAGGAAGAGGAAATTCAGGAGCTATAAAGGGTGTGGGGTGGCTGGGGAGGGAGAGTCTGATGTTAGAGCTGCCCTTCCTGGGCCTGGGGTCTGTTCCTCCCCAGGGCATGGTGATGGTGAGCCCGGAGATGAATCCTACCATCTGCTCGGTGTTTGAGGCAGAGATAGTCTTACTGTTCCATGCCACCACCTTCCGACGAGGATTCCAGGTGACAGTACACGTGGGCAACGTACGTCAGACGGCAGTGGTGGAAAAGATCCATGCCAAGGTGAGAGGGACCTGGCCTTCCATTTCTCCAGAGGTCAGAAAAGAGGGAGGCCTGCCCCAGACTGGCAGAGAACTCCTTGATCCCACAATGGGAATAAAACCCCACTTAGGGTGGGTAGCGGCCTGATAGGCCTCTGGAGGGTGGAGAGCCACGGCTGGCAGAGAATGGGACAGAAGGCACTGGCCAGGGGAGTGACCACTTATTTGCTGCAGGACAAACTGCGGACAGGCGAGAAGGCAGTGGTACGTTTCCGCTTCCTGAAACACCCAGAGTACCTGAAGGTGGGCGCCAAACTGCTGTTCCGGGAGGGTGTCACCAAGGGCATCGGCCATGTCACTGATGTACAAGCCATTACAGCAGGAGAAGCCCAGGCCAACATGGGCTTCTGAACCCTTCAGGCAGGGACAGTTCTATTGCTGTCCCTACAATATATAAGGTGACTTCTGGCCATGCTGCCCTGCCATTGGCGGCTCTGTGTGTTAATAGGCTAGGGAGAGAGGGGTGCTGTCTGCCACTTGCTCCCTGCCAACTTTCTGGAGAGGTGCCAAACTTGGTGTGGCCAGGAAAGGGCAGTCCTGAGGGAGAAGACAGGATTCAGGGCAGTGCTCCGAAGCTGTGTGCTCACCTGGTTGGCTCATCAAACCTGGCAACCCTGTGGCCTGTCTGCCGGAGCTGACTGGATCCACTCATCAATTCTTCGTCCCCACTACTAAGACTGGGCATGTTTTGCTGGTGTGGTCTCTGCACTTCAGGAATGGTCACAACAGGGGGTAGCCCTCAAAAGCACTCCTTTTTCTATACCTCTTCTCAAGGCCATGTAAGTTGCCCATCTCTACCTGGCTGTGGACAAAAGGTTATCTGCTCTTGGCCATCTGGTGGTGGTGGCGGCCCAGAGTCTGAAGAAATGGCACAGGGACAGTGAATGGTAGTGTTGCCACCCTGTGCTGAGGCCTGAGGCCTCTTCCTCAGCTTTATCTCCCTTTCCTTCACTCAAGGGCCATTTCCCCAGTCCCTATCTCCCCCATCCCCTCCCGGCTTATAGGCCCCACAGGTGCTATTTGTTGTGCTGGCCCAGGCGTGGGGCTACCAAGCAAAGGCTTGGCATATACCAAAGGCCAGCTGCATGCCCATCAGTCTGGTCTTTTTCCTCTGCGGTCATGTTGGCTTTCATGCTGGATCAAATGTTTTACTTTCCCAGACTGGTGGCATCTGAGTTCCCCATCCTACCACTCTCACCCCACTTTCCTGCCCCACCTAAACCCTCGTTTTAGTAATTTGTAGTGACTGTTCCCTTCCCTCTGTTGCAGGGAACCAGGAGGAAAGGGAAAGATGTTGCCATATTTCCTACTCTTTAGGCATGGACTCTCCTTTCCCTTTGTTAGTGTCCTGGGTTCCCATGGACTCAGGGATTTGTTGGCTAAGGTTTCTCTGTGCATATATATATATATACATATGTATATATATTTAAATACACATATATATTGTACAGAATAAAAATGTTTTATTGAATACACTGTGCTTATGCGTTAGCTACAGGCTCAGCTTCCTTCCAGGGCTAGATACCTCTTCAGGATTAGAGACAAGTGAAACCCCAACACTGCTGAGCCCTGAATGTGGAAAGAGCCCAGCTGGTATCTCGTTCACCATTGTTTTTCTCTCCTCCACATAGGTTCAGAGTTCCAGTATTGTAACCAAGTATTGTGGCCTATTTTCCGTAGTTCAAGTGAGCAGAATACTGAGGCCTTTCACGTGAAATAGGTAGCTACCCTGTATTTGAAGAGTTGGCCACTTGCTAGTGGTCAGAATAGTAAGGAGCCCACTTCTGTGCCCTGGCAGAGATACAGTGCCAGCTACTTAAAGAAGAGTAGAATTTAGAGACAAAAGGTAATCTGGTCCCATATTTTTCAAGTTTACATAGCCTAAATTACTCTTGGAACAATGAGGGCCACTTGACCAAACCTTAGTCCCTGCTCCTGTTTCCATGTTCATACTACTTGATTTTGACATTTTATGGGTAAATAGGGGCCAAAGTCAACTGTAAATAGAAACTGCATTTTGAGGAGACCCTGGAAAAGAAATATGTGACCCAAAGTCCTATGTGGCATTCTGCCTCTAGAGTATTAAAGTGATAGCTTCCCTACCACTCAGGCTGTTTTATAAAATGTAACTGGTTTAACTTGCTACTAACAAGCCTGTAGTTGAACAACTTCCTCCTGTATTAGGGGCTAAGCTGTTTACTTCCTCTCTATAGCTGCTGATAGAGATGAAAGCTTTGTCCACAATTTACTTATCTTTTGCCTGTATTGTAAAGAAAATTTTGGAAAATCACATTTCAGTACTTAATAAGACATCTCCAGGAACTAGTGAGCCTCTCTGCAACATTAATGGAACATTTAGGGGGATAAAAAGTATATAAGGCAGACTCCCAAGGAGTTTATACATGTTTATGATCCCAATTGTGGTAATCAGATCTAAAATTCTTCACTATATACATTCATCCAATGAGTATCAGCACCTATCATGTGCAAAGCACTATGAAGAATCTTTGCCTTTAAGAAGCTACATAGCTAGTTAGGGGGAAAAGGCCACGTATACAGTGAATGTAGTCTTTTTTTTTTTTTTTTTTTTTTTTTTTTTTGAGACAGGGTCTCAGACTGTCACCCAGGCTGGAGTGCAGCGGCACAATCATGGCTTATTGCAGCCCCAAACTCCCAGATTCAGGTGATCCTCCCAACCTCAGCCTCCTGAGTAGGTACGACTACAGGCATAAGCCACCATCTTTGTATTTTTTGTAAAGACTGTTTTGCCATGTGGCTTAGGCCGGTTTTGAACTCCAGGGCTCCAGTAGTCCACCCACCTCAGCCTCCCAAAGTGTTAGGATTACAAGCATCAGCCACCGTGACTGGCTAAATATTGTCTTTTATTAGATATTCAAGTATCATAAAAGCAGAAAATATTTTTGAAGAAAAAAATTTCCTGGTAAATCTAGTGGTTTTCAAATCTTCCCCACCTCTTCAAACTAAATATAGAACCCCCCCCCCAATTTATAAATAAAATAAAAAGTAGAAGTTGGGGCTGGCCTGGTGGCTCAGGCCTGTAATCCCAGCACTTTGGGAGGCCAGGGCGGGTGGATCACTTGAGATCAAGAGTTCAAGACCAGCCTGGCCAACGTGGCGAAACCCCATCTCTACTAAAAATACAAAAATTAGCCAGGCGTGATGGTGCATGCCTATAATCCCAGCTACTCAGGAGGCTGATGCAGGAGAATCGCTTGAACCCGGGAGGCGGAGGTTGCAGTGAGCCGAGATCGTGCCATTGCATTCCAGCCGGGGCGATGAGAGAAACTCCGTCACATAAAAAAATAGAAGTTTGGGTATATGTATGGGAGGGATGTGTACACCATTCTCTGGGCCCACTTCACCCAGCGCCACCTACTTCAGTTCATTTTCTTCAGTTGGGTTCCCTGTGTAATTCAAGTTTCCCCATAACAGAAAAGCCAAAAGAGCTGACTTTTCACACACAAGAGTGGAGAATAAGAATACAGTACTATAGGCTGGGCGTGGTGGCTCATGCCTATAATCCCAGCACTTTGGGAGGCCGAGGCGGATGGATCACGAGGTCTAGATAGAGACCAGCCTGGCCAACATGGTGAAAACCTGTCTCTACTAAAAATACAAAAATTAGCTGGGCATGGTGGTGCACGCTTGTAGTCTCAGCTATTCGGGAAGCTGAGGCAGGAGAATTGCTTGAACCCGAGAGACGGAGGTTGCAGTGAGCCAAGATTGCACCACTGCACTCCAGCCTGGCTACACAGCGAGACTCCATCTCAAAAAAAAATAATAATAATACAGTAGTATAAACATGGACAAGTGCAAAAAGCTACATAACAAATTTTAAACCCTAAGCTAAATATTTACACTCAGTGGGAAAGATGAACAAGCCAGTAACCCTAATGGCTGAAGCACTTACCTCTTAAATTTGTACTTAAGGGCTTAAGAAAATGTCCTCTACACACCTGGTCATTAGTATCTTTTAGATCAGCATTTCTCAAACTTTAAGATACACATTGGGAATTTTTTTTTTTTTGAGACAGTCTTGCTGTGTCGCCAGGGTGCAGTGCAGTGGCACGATCTGGGCTCACTGCAAGCTCCGCCTCCCAGGTCAAGCAATTCTTCTGCCTCAGCCTCCCAAGTAGCTGGGACTACAGGCGTGCACCACCACGCCCAGTTGTATTTTCAGTAGAGACGGGGTTTCACCATGTTGGCCAGGATGGCCTTGATCTCTTGACCTCGTGATACACCCACCTCAGCCTCCCAAAGTGCTGGGATTACAGGCATGAGCCACTGCACCCGGCCCACATTGGGAATTTTTTTTTTTTTAAACAGTGTCACTCTGTTGCCCAGACTGGAGTGCAGTGGCACAATCTCAGCTCACTACAACCTCTGCCTCCCAGATTCAAGTGATTCTCCTGCCTCAGCCTCCTAAGTAGCTGGGATTACACGCATGCGTCACCACACACACCTAATTTTTGTTATTTTTTGTAGAGATGGGTTTTCCCCATGTTGGCCAGCCTGGTCTCAAACTCCCAGCCTCAAGTGATCCGCCCACCTTGGCCTCCCAAAGTGTGGGATTACAGGCATGAGCCACCACACCTGACCCACATTGGGAAATCTTGTTAATATCAGATTACAATTAAGTGGGAATAGTGGTGAGGCTGAGACTATTTCTAATAAGTTCCCTGGTGATACTGAGGCTGCTGTTCCTCAAATCATACTTGGGAGTAGCAATGTTCTAGAGATGATCTAGTGGGTTTTTTTGAGACAGAGTTACTCTATCGCCCAGGCTGGAATGCAGTGGAAATCTCGGCTCACTGCAACCTCTGCCTCCCAGGTTCAAGTGATTCTCCTGCCTCAGCCTCCCAACTAGCTGGGATTACACGCACCCACCACCATGCCCGGCTAATTTTTGTATTTTTAGTAGATACAGGGTTTCGCCATGTTGGCCATGCTTGTCTTGAACTCCTGACTTCACGTGGTCCACCTGCCTTGGCCTCCCAAAGTGCTGGGATAACAGGCATAAACCACCACGCCTGGCAAGATTTGATTATGACTTATCAGATCTAAACAGAGTTCCTGAACTAGTCAAGTAGCAATCTAATTCTACATTAGAACAAAACGCAAGAGATAGGCCAATGGTTAGAACTGAGGGTATAATAGGGTTTACCTGTATGAAATTCACTGTTTATTAAGTCACTTTTATGTACAGAAAGACCTGCCCTAGTTACCATATCACTTTTAGGGTTTCAAGGCTTCATCTCACATTCTTCAGCTGAAAACAGGTAAATCTGGTGAAGGTATTATCTGAACTGCCCGTCACAGAGCTAGAGAGAAGTTTTTCTTTTGTTTTTTTTTTTTTTGAGACAGTCTCTCACTCTCACCCTGGCTGGAGTGCATTGGTGTGATCTCAACTCACTGCAACCTCCACCTTCCAGGTTCAAGCAATTCTCCTGCCTCAGTCTCCCGAGTACCTGGGATTACAGGCGCCTGCCACCAAGCCCAGCTAATTTTTTTTAGTAGAGACGGGGTTTTGCCACCTTGCCCAGGCTGGTCTCGAACTCCTGAGCTCCTGCAATCCACTCACCTCAGCCTCCCTAAATGCTGGGATTATAGGCATGAGGAACCGCACCCAGCCTAAAGAGAAGTTTTTCTTTTTTTTTTTTTTTTGAGACGGAGTCTCGCTCTGTCACCCAGGCTGGAGTGCAGTGGCGCGCTCTCGGCTCACTGCAAGCTCCGCCTCCCGGGTTCACACCATTCTCCTGCCTCAGCCTCCCGAGTAGCTGGGACTACAGGCGCCTGCCACCGCACCCGGCTAATTTTTTTTTGTATTTTTTAGTAGAGACGGGGTTTCACCGTGGTCTCGATCTCCTGACCTTGTGATCCGCCCGCCTCGGCCTCCCAAAGTGCTGGGATTGCAGGCGTGAGCCACTGCGCCCGGCCAAGAGAAGTTTTTCTTAAAATCCTTTTTTTGGGGGGGCCAGGATCGGTGGCTAACATCTGTAATCCCAGCAACTTTGGGAGGTCGAGGCAGGCGGATCATGAGGTCAAGCAATCGAGACCATCCTGGCCAACATGGTGAAACCTCATCTCTATTAAAAATACAAAAATTAGCTGAGTGTGGTAGCACGTGCCTGTAGTCCCAGCTACTTGGGAGGCTGAGGCAGGAGAATTGCTTGAACCCAGGAGACGGAGGTTGCGGTGAGCTGAGAACGCACCACTGCATTCTAGCCTGACGACAGAGGGAGACTCCGTCTCAAAAATAAAAAATAAAAATAAAAATAATCCCTTTTTTTTTTTTAACTATGCAAGTCTCATTACATTTAAAACCCTTTTTTAAACTTGGTCCCTTTTCTGTGCCAACTTTATGTTTGTTTTTGTTCTTGTTTTTGTTTGAGATGGAGTCTCGCTCTGTTGCCCAGGCTGGAGTGCGGTGGCGCGATCTCAGCTCACTCCAACCTCTGCCTCCTGGGTTCAAGTGATTCTCCTGCCTTAGCCTCCTGAGTAGCTGGGATTACAGGCGTGCACCACCACGCCTGGATAATTTTTTTTGTAATTTTAGTAGAGATGGGGTTTCACCATATTGGTCTGAAACTCCTGACCTCGTGATCTGCCCGCCTTGGCCTCCCAAAGTGCTGGCATTACAGGTATGAGCCACTGTGCCTGGCCCCTATTTTTTATTTTCTGAGATGAAGTCTCGCTCTGTTGCCCAGGCTGGAGCGCACTAGCATGATCTCAGCTCAATGCAACCTCCGCCTCCAAGGTTAAAGCAATTCTTCTGCCTCAGCCTCTAAGTAGCTGGGATCACAGGTGCCTGGAACGTGCCTGGCTAATTTTTCTATTTTTAGTAGAGATGGTTTTGCCATGTTGGCCAGGCTGGTCTCAAACTCCTGACCTCAGGTGATCTGTCTGCCTCGGCCTCCCAAAGTGTTAGGATTACAGGCGTGAGCCATTGTACCCGGCCGAGTTACATAATTTGAATACATTGTTATTAATCTGCAATAATCTGTAAGGTATTATCTCCATTTTACAGATGAGAATGTGAAGAAAATGACTTGTTCAAGGCCCTCATTGCAATAACCAGAGCTAAGTTTGCAACCACGTCTCTTAGACTCCAAGGCCCACACACTTTTTACTTTATGACACTGCCTCCCTAAATGCTAAAGATTAAAAACTCTGGTAGGATGAATTTTTACATCTCTGTCAGCAGTGGGATTAGAATCCATGCCTGTGAAGAGATGGGACCGTAACTCAGCACCTAAATGGATTATTTTTTGTATTAAAAATTTCATAATTCCCTTTCTCAGGGAAATCTGTAAAGATAAAATATTAAAGATAAAGATCTGTAAAGATAAAAAATATTAAATCCTACAGGCAAGCCTGAGGGCAGCACTAATGTGTTAATGGCTTAAAAAATGATTCCAATGTTTGCATGCCCTCAGGCCTGGGGCGTTTATTAGTGCAGGCCAAAGGGCTCTTGGGATTTCTTTTGCCTTGATGAGATACGGCAGAAACAACCTGGGGGTTTGAAGAGTGGGGCTGCAAAAAGGATTTCTGCAACTCCAATGCAAAATGATAGTCCATGTGTTCTGGCATATCCCATACCGGTACCAGGGAGCCACACTTCTCACAGGGCACTTGGTCCTCAGCAGCTAGAAGACTTGGATTTGGGGTTGCTTTCTGAGTCACCTCCAGCACAGATTTGGAAGCTGAAGAGGCGTGCATGCTTTGGCTGTTGTGGGCCAAATCCATCTCTGCAGGAGTTGCTTTAGAGGATTCTTCTAGCTTCGACACCCCTTCACAAACAGGGACACACCCTGGATACTCTGTTGGTAAAGAGTTTGGTAATGCTTTACAGTTGGACCATGGGTTTTGTTGGGGGGAAGAAACTGAAGAATTATTAAGCTGTTTCTGCTTTAGAAGCAGACTTTTCTGCTTAAAGAAGGGCTCAGTTCCTGTACTTTGACTGGTTTGAAAAGGTAATGAGGGCTTGGATGGTGAATTGCTCATGGGAGCCTGAGTGGGAGCAGTAAGAGATGAAAGCGAAGCTTCTTTAACTTTCTGCCTTTCTGCAGCTTTTTGGAAGAATGATTCCAGAGACGTGGTTGCTTTCTTAGTGGCTGTCACCGCTGGGCCACTTCCCTGGGTCTTAGCTTCTGAGCTGGTAACTGGCACCTTTGGCAGAGAACTTGGGTCACTGCTCAAGAAGCTGGTGATGTCTGTAGAAGATGAAGGGGCAGAGGCAGAAAATTTTGTAGCACAGAGGAAAAGCATTGTGAGAGGAGGAGACCTATACAGAAAGTAAAGAAATAAGATGATTAGCAATTTAGAAGATTAAAATAGTGACCTATTGCTAATTCCATGAATTGTATCTGTTTTATTTCACCATAGGACAGATTTAATCCATAGATGACTAGCATTCTGGTTCTGCCACAGAAATTATTCTTTACTGCAGTGGTTCTCAAACGTTAATGTGTATCAGAGATTAACAGACCTGGGATGACAGAGAATTTAATTTCCTAGGTGATGCTGATGTTATGTCTTGAGAACCACTAATTTAGCAACCACTCACCTCCCGACAGCTAGAGATTATTGTTTTTTATAAGGTACCACTGGAAAGCTGCTGTAATTCAGGGTTGGGGCAAGAAATTTTATTCAGGACAACAAAAAGCTTTAGAATATTTAGACTAGAAAGACTTGAAAAAATCCTCTTAGCCATTATCCTGTTTTTAAACAGGGCACTACCTAACCCTGACTGACTTACCACTCTGGAATTTCTAGAGAATGAAATTCCACAACTGCTTTTCGTTACTAGTCCCAATTTCAGAAACATTTTAAGAAATTCTTGTGATAGCCGGGAGCGGTGGCTCACACCTGTAATCCCAGCACTTTGGGAGGCTAAGGCGGGTGGGTCATGAGGTCAGGAGTATGAGACCAGCCTGACCAACATGGTGAAACCCCATCTCTACTAAAATACAAAAATTAGCTGGGTGTGGTGACACACGCCTGTAACCCAGCTACTTGGGAGGCTGAGGCAGAAGAATTGCTTGAACCCGGGAGGCAGAGGTTGCAGTGAGCGGAGATTGCGCCACTGCACTCCAGCCTGGGTGACAGAGCCAGACTCCCTCTCAAAAAAAAAAAAAAAAAAATCAGAAATTTTTGTCATAAAGTTCCTCATTGTGTCTAATCACTCAAATTTTCACATAAGCTGAATTTCAGAAGATGAAATATGCTTTTATGTACAGATTAGTCCTTCAATGAGGTAAAGGGTAAATGTCATTTTAAAGTTATTATTACACTATTGGCCGGGTGCAGTGGCTCACGCCTGTAATCCCAGCACTTTGGGAGGCCGAGGTGGGTGAAACACCTGAGGTCAGGAATTTGAGACCAGCCTGGCCAACATGGAGAAACCCTGTCTCTACTAAAAGTACAAAATTTAGCCGGGCGTGGTGGCGGGCACCTGTAATCCCAGCTACTCAGGAGGCTGAGGCAGGAGAATCGCTTGAACCCGGGAGGCAGAGGTTGCAGTGAGCCGAGATTGCGTCACTGCACTCCAGCCTAGACAACAAGAGCGAGATTCCGTCTCAAAAAAAAAAAAAAAAAGTATCCCAATATCCTCAGGTTTCATGCTTTGGGACAGTCTTATAATCAGATAATTTTGATGCTTCCCTGTGCATCACGGAGTTTCACACCGTTGGTGAGTAGTATTTGTTATAGTTTGTCAATTTATAACTTTTCAAATAAGGTTTCATGTGTACATTAGTACCACGGTTGTTATTTGGTTTTGTAAAACTTCAATATTTGAAAATAAATATATCAGGAAGTATTAAGTAAATTATTCTCAGAACAAAGACTTTATTTATTTATTTATTTATTTGTTGTTGTTGTTGTTGGAGACGGAATTTCGCTCTTGTTGCCCAGGCTGGAGTGCAATGGCGCAATCTCGGCTCACCGCAACCTCCACCTCCCAGGTTCAAGCAATTCTCCTGCCTCAGCCTCCCAAGTAGCTGGGATTATAGGCATCCACCACCATGCCTGGCTAATTTTTGTATTTTTAGTAGAGACAGGGTTTCACCATGTTGGCTGGGGTGCTCTTGAACTCCTGACCTCAGGTGATCTGCCTGCCTCGGCCTCCGAAAGTGCTGGGATTACAGCCGTGAGCCACCGCGCCCGGCCCTATGAACAAAGACTAGGAGACTCCACCATATTATAGGTCTGTACACATAATTATACTGCCAATATATTTAGATAAGTAATAAGCGATTAACTAAACTTTGATTTTATTTTGTATAATATTCAATATACATCTGTAAGTGAGCAACTGACTTACCTCTCTCTCATAATTATATTTCTATTGTGAATTTGGAATACTTTAAAAAAAGTAAGGGCTTTATTAAATATGCAATTAAAGGATTCCAATCCTGAAAATCATTAATATCTGGACAGAAAATGAAGATGCTCCAAAAAGAGGCTTATATTTCATGACCAACAGAAGTGAAGTTTACTAATGAATATGACATTTGGTATAATACCAGTGGAGCTTGTAACTGAGTTGGGATGTCAGATAGAGAATATCAGTGAACACAGGTCACCTTTATAATCAAGAAATATGCTTTTAAGATAGAACAATCAAGTAGTTTGAAGTTCCCAAATGTATCCTTGAAATTTGAGCTCTGTTCTCCAAGTGCAACTGGTCATTTCCCTGACCAAGCCAATACAGAGTAAGGGTCTAACCTCCTGGGAACTGGAATGTATCAGCTGTCGGCAAAGGATCTGTGCTGAGCTGTCTTGTTTCTGAGGTTGGTACTGTATTTTCTCCCAGAGTAACAGGTACTGGTAGTCTGAGTCAGAGTCTATCCCAGATGGAAGAGCTCAGATTCCTACTACTTGTAGAGCTAAGACAGAGATTCCTACTACTTGTAGAACTGAGACAGACCTCAGGTGATTCACCCACCTTGGCCTCCCAAAGTGCTGGGATTACAGGCGTGAGCCACTGCGCCCGGCCGATACTTTAATAATAACTTTAAAATGACATTTACCCTTTACCTCATTGAAGGACTAATCTGTACATAAAAGCATATTTCATCTTCTGAAATTCAGCTCATGTGAAAATTTGAGTGATTAGACACAATGAGGAACTTTATGATAAAAATTATGTCTTGTAGAGCTAAGACAGAGCTAAGAATCATCATCTATTCTGAGAAGATGAGCTAGAAAAGAACTCACCATTCTGTCTGGATTCCAGAAGTATTACAGTTCTTGATGACAGTAAATGCATCATGGCTCATCTTGTGAGCATCATAGCGGGTAAGGGCACAGCAGCGGCGCAGGCTGCTGAGGCGTTTGTCTCCTTGTACACGAATGCTCACAACCAGCTGGGTGGCTACCCTGTCATTCTGTGGGTGGAAAGGATGGAGACCAGAAATAAAGTTATGAGGAGCATCTGAATTCTAGGTACTGAACTGCAGGAGAGGAAATTAAAAGAACCAGGGTGACAATGGTTTGGAAACAGTAGTTTAAAAGTCAAGAATAAAGGTAAACTGAGTTCTGCAAAGAGTAAAGATAAAATATAAAAAAGAGAAAGAGGCCAGGCATGGTGGCTCACGCCTGTAATCCCAGCACCTTGGGAGGCTGAGACAGGTGGATCACCTGAAGTCAGGAGTTCGAGACTAGCCTGGCAAACATGGCGAAATCCCATCTCTACTGAAAAATACAAAAAAACTAGCCAGTCGTGGTGGCAGGCACCTGTAATCCCAGCTACTCGGGAGGCTGAGACAGGAGAATTGCTTGAACCTGGGAGGCAGAGGTTGCAGTGAGCCAAGATGGTGCCACTGCACTCCAGCCTGGATGACAGAGCAAGACTCTGTCTCAAAAAAAAAAAAAAAAAAAAAAAGAATCTATATATATGCAACAGAATGCATTTTCTGAATAGAAATCTGATTACATGGTTCCACAAAAAAGTGTTAATGCTATTTCTGGGTGTAAAAAGTAACTGAAGAAGACATAATTTGGATTATGGAACATCGGAGTATCCTAGGATGTTTTGACAGATGATGGGAACAGGACAGCACAAATGAAAATGGGACTCCCCTAAATGTTTTTCATGGTGTCTAAGCAGGACAATTATAACAAATATCTACAATACTAGATACTATTTTGTGACTGAAGGAAGGTTTCAGGTAAGTAATTGTCTGAAAGCAAAGTGGAACTAGGCTTCAAGTCATATCTTTTTTTCTGCCCTGGGGCTCTTATGGTAAACAAACATTCGCCACCAATTCCAGAAGTTTCTACCAACACCTTTTTACAGCTTATCTAGAGAAGATACCATATAGTGAGCCTGCCTTGAGAGAGCAAGATCATGACTCACTTTTCAGTGAAGTCTGAAGCATCTGAATGCTGTAATCTCAGCAAACTGAGACATAATGGTCAAGAGGCAGAAATATAAGAAGGTGAAAATTCTACATAAGGGACCCCTATCAAAAGATGCTAGTGAGAAGAAGTATCCCTAAGGCAAACAAGCTAAGAGCAGGAACTACTTTTTGGATAAAAAATACATTTGTATGGATTTATATATCTTGAGGGAATACAAATTAGCAATTATAAAGGAGTCCTTGTTGACCAAAATTATTCAACTATAACTGCATGCCTAGACAGTGCCTAGAGATGCAGGAGAGAACAAAATAAAGTCCAGGTCCTCATGGATCCTATGTTGTAGTAGGAACTATAGATAATAAAAAATAGACATGTAACAGAAATGACCACAGAGATGAGTGCTATGAAGAAAAGCAGAATAAGGCAGAGAGTGATGGAGGCTGCTGCTGTGATAGGGTAACTAGGGAGGACCTCCTGGAGAATGTAATACATGCACAGAGATTTGAATAAATCAAGGAAGCAAATATTAAGAATATATGAACAAAGAGTCTCCAGGGCAAAGAAACGGGAAGTGCTAAAGTAAGAGCTTACTTAGTGTGTTAGATAAAGGGAAGGAGGCCAGTGAAGTGGAGACTAGAATAAGTGAGGGGAAGATAAGAGATGGGGTCAGAGAAGTAGCAAGAAATTAGATTATATTTGGCTTTATAGAATTACTTTTAAAAAATTCCTTAATATGCCTTAAGTGTGAAGGGAAACCACTGGAATGTTTTAAACAGTGAAGTGATAGGATCTGCTATGTCCTGAATTATTTTTGGCATAAAGTCCTTTGAAGCTTAAAAGATAGATTTTCAGGGATCCCCACTGGATACAAAGAGGGAAGAAAAGGCTAGGCACAGTGGCTCATGCCTGTACTCCCAGCACTGTGGGAGGCTAAGGCAGGAGGATTACTTGAGCCCAGGAGGTTGAGGCTACAAGGCTGCAGTGAGCTAAGGTTGTATTACTGTGCTCCAGCACGGATGACAGCCAAGACCCTGTCTCTTAGGAAAAAAAAGTGGAAAGAAAGGCCCCAGGGACTTAGAGAGAGATGAGAAACAAGTGCCACCTAGTGGGCAAAAGCGGAAAAGGGCGATAACGCAACTGGATCAAATCCCTCTTTATGATGCCTACCAAAGGAACAAACATTTACCACCCATTCCAGCTAAAAAGGAGCAACGAGCAGTTTTGGACTATTCTTGACATGTACAGTTGACTTGTAGAACTCCAAGACATTTCAAAAGAAGAGGATGCATCAAACAATACCATTAGGAAAGTGAGAAGAAAACCCACAGAATGGGAGAAAATATTTGCAAATCACGTATCTGACAAGGGACATGTTAAAACTCAATAATAAAGAGACAACCCAATTTAAAAAAGGGGAGAGGATTTTTGTTTTTTCTTTTTTATTTTTGAGGTGGAGCTTTGCTCTTGTTGCTCATGCTGGAGTGCAATGGCGCAATCTCGGCTCACTGCAACCTCCACCTCCAGGTTCAAGCGATTCTCTTGCCTCAGCCTCCTGCGTAGCTGGGATTACAGGTGCCCGCCACCACGCCCAGCTAATTTTTGTATTTTTAGTAGAGACAGGGTTTCGCCATGTTGGCCAGGCTACCCTCGAACTCCTGACCTCAGGTGATCTGCCCACCTCGGCCTCCAAAAATTTGAGCCACCACGCCCGGCCCAGGAACAGGATTTCAACAAACATTTCCCCAAAGATATACAAATGTCCAACAAGCACATGAAAAGATTATCAGAGAATGTAAGCCAAACCATAATGAGATACCATTTCACACCCACTAGAATGGCTAAAATTTAAAAAGTCAGTAACAAGGATGTGGAAAAATTGGAACCCTCTTACATTGATGGTAAGGATGTGAAATGGTGTAGCCACTGTGGAAAACAGTCTGGCGATTCCTCAAAATGCTAAACATAGAGTTAACATATGACCCAGAAATTATACTCCAAGGTATATGCTGGAAAGAAAACAGGTGTCTACACAAAAACTTGTAGATGAATGTTCATATCAACATTATTCATAATAGCCAAAAGTGGAAATATACTCAAATGTCCATTCACTAATAAGTAGATAAGCAAAATATGGTATATATTAATACAATAGAATATTATTCAGCCATAAAAAGGTGTCAGTCCTGGCCGGGCGCAGTGGCTCACGCCTGTAATCCCAGCACTTTTGGATGCTGAGGCAGGAAGATCACAAGGTCATGAGATTGAGACCACCCTGGCCAACATGGTGAAACCCTATCTCTACTAAAAATACAAAAATTAGCTGGGCGTGGTGGCGCGTGCCTATAATCCCAGCTACTCGGGAGGCTAAGGCAGCAGAATCACTTGAACTGGAGAGGCGGATGTTGCAGTGAGCCGAGACTGCACTACTGCACTCTGGCCTGGTGACAGAGCGAGACTCCGTCTCAAAAAACAAAAACAAAACAAACAAAAAATGACTAAGTACTAATACATGCTACAATACGGCTGAACCTGAAAACATATTAAGTGAAAGACTTCAAGCCAGTCACAAAAGACCACATATTTTCACAAAAGACCACATTTATATGAAATGTCCAGAACAGTTAAGCAGTGTAGTGGTTGCCTAGGGCTGGGGAGTAGCTGGGAGAGAAATGGGGAGTGACTGGTAATGGGCACAGGATTTCTTTTGGGGGGTGATAAAAATGCTCTAAAATTGTAGAATAGTTGTAGAACTCTGCAATATACTAAAACCACTGAATTATTTTAAATGGGTGAATTTTGTGGTATGTAAAGTATATGTCAATAAAGCTATTTAAAAAGGAGAGAGAAACTGCCGGGTGCGGTGGCTCATGCCTGTAATCCCAGCACTTTGGGAGGCCAAGATGGGCAGATCGCCTGAGGTCAGGAGTTCGAGATCAGCCCAGCCAACAAGGTAAAACCCCGTCTCTACTAAAAATAAAAAAATTAGCTGGGTATGGTGGCAGGTACCTGTAATCCCGGTTACTCGGGAGGCTGAGACAGGAGAATCGCTTGAATTTGGGAGGTGGAGGTTGCAGTGAGCCAAGATTGCTCCACTGCACTCCAGCCTGGGCGATAGAGCGAAACTCAGTCTCAAAAAAAAAAAGGAGAGAAACTAATCATCAGATGTCTTTAACATTAGAAAGAAAAATGTACAATGCTCAGAATTTTTTTTTTAAGTCAAATATACAGAGATAGAGAATAAAACAGTGGTTACCTGGGATGGGGGAGGGGAGGAGGAAATGGGGAGATGTAAGTAAAAGGATATAAAGTAGCAGACACGTAGGGTGAACAAGTCTATTGAGCTAATGTACAAGTGAGGACTATAGTTAATAAAATTCTATTAGAGATTTTAAGTAGATTTTAACTACTTTTTTTTTTTTTTACAAAAAAGTATGTGAAATGATAGATACGTTAATTTGCTACACTATAGTAACCATTTTACTATATGTATCCCATAGCATCATGTTGTAAACATCAAATATACACAATAAAATGTGCTTAAAACTGCCACTACTGGCTGGGCGTGGTGGCTTATGTCTGTAATCCCAACACTTTGGGAGGCTGAGGTGGGCGGATCACCTGAGGTGAGGCATTCAAGACCAGCCTGGCCAATATGGTAGAACCCCGTCTCTACTGAAAATACAAAACAAAAAATTAGCCGGGTGTGGTGGTATGTGCCTGTAATCCTAGCTACTTGGGAAGGTGAGGCAGGAGAATCACTTGAACCCAGAGGCGGAGGTTGCAGTGAGCCAAGATCATGCCACTGCACTCCAGCCTGGGCAGCAAGAGGGAAAACTCTATGTCTCAAAAAAAAATTAAAAAATTAAAAAATTTAAAAAGATTTCTTAAAATTTCCTTGGCTGGAGTTCAAGACCAGCCTGAGCAACCTAGCAAGACCCTGTCTCTACAAAAAATAAAAAAATTTAGCCAGTTGTAGTGGCATGCACCTGTAGTCCCAGCTACTCAGGAGGCTGAGTTGGGAGGAGAGCTTGAGCCTAAGAGGTAGAGGTTGCAGTGAGCCATGATTGTGCCAGTGTACTCAGCCTGGGAGACAGAGTGAGACCATGTCTCAAAAAAAAAAAAAAAAAAAAAAAAGAAAGAAAACGGATATTTCCTATGCTAATACTTTTTTCTGTCTTTGTTCCTGCTCCATAAGGTAAAGAGCAGCTGATATGTAAATTGCAAAGCCCACCCCAGGAATAAAGAAAGAAAATCTTACATCATTTCGGTCTTTAGTCAGTCTCTCCTCTAGTTCCTGGGCTAATTGCAACAGCCACCATTGTACCTAAAAAAGTATTGAGACTTTAATCTTTCATTTAAACACTCGAAGTCTATTAAGAACTAGATGGTGTTATTTGTTCTTTTTTTTCTCCCAAACAGAATTGTGCACCAAAGACTCCCCATAATCAAAGGATCACCAGATCATAGAAATGTTCCCAGTCCTTCTGTCCTGCCCTAGCTCAAGCCTTTCATTTTCTTTTCCTGCTTGTTTGCCATCAGGTGACTTTCAAGCATGTTCCAGCTCTGAGAAAAAGACAAGACCCAAACTTGAAGCATAATATCCTAGGCTTTCCAAGTCTCCATCTACTAAACAAATGAGAAATTCCATTTTATTTCGATAGACGAAAGAGAAAAAAGTAATAATCATAAACTAGTCAATTTTCAACCCAAGGACAGAACATCTGTTTTCTTCATACTTTATAAAGGTCTCCTCTAACCTATTAAACCTTCCACAGCTACCAAAACCTACCCACTGACCCCTTTAAAAGAGGTAGTGTTCTGTCAAGAATGCCAGCTTACCTGTTCCCGAGTAGCAAGAGCTGTTTTTCCTGGGAAGTTCTTACTACAGCCAATGGTTTTGGGTAGTTGCCTGGGTTTAACTGGATCATGTTCAATCCCTCGGCACATGGCATATAGCCAAGACCTAATAAGACCAGCAAAAAACGTTAAGGTGAAATTAAATGATTATTCTTGTTAAAACAAAACCAAATAACTATATTATATTGCCCTTTTATCTTTTTCATGAAAAAGGAAAACCTTGTCCAAAATTTAGTGTACCGGACCTCTGACGAAACCCCTGCCCTTCTCAGTGAATTCCAGTGCAATATATGGACAATGAGAACACTGGTTTTGTCTTCTAAAGCCAAGTCATCATTTGTATTTTTGGAAAAATGCCAAGCAAGCCACTGATTCATATCCCAAAATGTGTGTGTGCTTGCTAGGGCATTAAACACAAGGATTTTAAGAGAATATAGCATCTCAGCATGCATGAATGATGTAATTAGTATATACTCAGGCATCAAAGTAACAAATCTTATCTATCAACCACCTAGGTACATGGAAAAAACTACTCTAGACTGATGGGCCATAGTGACCCAAGATATTGAAGCAAGAAGAACCAGTGAAATAATCTCAAGAAACAAATGTTAACCTAAAGATAGGTCTGGATTTTACTAGATGGTTTTGTCTATATTTGAATATAGCATCTCCATAAAGGTTATGATTTTAAAAAAAATGAATCACTTACCCATTCTTCTCCCCAAAATGACTCTGGAGCTGGGATTCAGTGAACTGGGTCAGTTCACCCATGTATTCTATCCCTAGGATCTCAATGACAGAGGCCCCTAGCTTTCCTCCAAGACTACGGCTGATAACAAAGGAGACAAAGAATTGATAGGTCACATCATAACTATCTAATTAGCAGCAAACGTAAGACATTCTACTTTGTAAACAGCTCTCCAAAAGGTTCAGGACAAATGAGAGCATATATTCTGGGAATTCAGTTACTCTGGGAGTTAGAATTTGAGAAGAAGATTAAAAATAACATAACCAAAAGGTTAAAGTCCTTGATTAACTATCAAGTAAACTGTATATAAAACGTTCAATTGTACAACGCCTGCTGTCCTGTTTGGGGATTAAAATCCCAAACACAAAATAAATCCCTTCCATGGCTAAAACTTTACTTAAGAATATATAATCTGGCCAGGCACAATGGCTCACACCTATGATCCCACTTTGGGAGGCCAAGGCGGGAAGATTGCTTGAGTCCAGGAGTTTGAGACCAGCCTGGACAACAAAGTAAGACCCTAACTCTACAAAAAAAAATTAAGGCCAGGTGCAGTGGCTCACTCCTGTAGTCCTAGCACTTGGGAGGCAGAAGCGAGTGGATCACCTGAGCCCAGGAGTTTGAGAACAGTCTGAACAACATGGCGAAACCCTGTCTCAACAAAAAAAATACAAAAAAATTAGTCAGGTGTGGTAGTATGTAGCTGTAGTCCCAGCTACTTGGGAGGCTGAGGTGGGAGGATCACTTGAGCCCAGGAGGCAGAGGTTACAGTGAGCCGAGATTGTGCCACTGTACTCCAGCAAATTAACTGGGCATGGTGGCATGTGCCTGTGCTCCCAGCTACTTGGGAGGCTGAGGCAGGAGGATTGCTGGAGCCCAGGAGGTTAAGGCTGCAGTGAGCTCTTAATTGTGCCACTGCACTCCAGCCTGGGAGACAGAGCAAGACTCTGTTTCAAAAAAAAAAAAAAAAAAAAAAAGGAATACATAACCTAAATATAAACAGTCAGCTGGGCACAGTGGTTCATGCCTGTAATCCCAGCACTTTGGGAGGCCAAGGCAGGCAGATCATTGGAGGCCAGGAGTTTGAGACCAGCCTGGCCAAAATAGTAAAACCTCATCTCTCCTAAAAATACAAAAATTAGTCGGGCGTAGTGGCATGCAGCTGTGGTCCCAGCTACTGGGCAGGCTGAGGCAGGAGAATCGCTTGAACCCAGGAGGTGGAGGCTACAGTGAGCCAATATCGCGCCACTGCACTCCAGCCTGGGCAACAGAGCAAGACTTGTCTCAAAAAAAAAAAAGTCAAAATTCTTTAGCCCAGCCTTTGAGGCTCCCTGTAATCTGTCTTTAAACCATCTTTTCAGTCTATTTCCATTATCCTCCTCAATATGGTGCAGCTAAACTACTTTAGGTCCCAGTTCACTGAAAATATCTCATACTTTCCCTTCTTTGTGCTAAAAAGTTCTCCAAATCAGTACTGCTTTGCTGTTTTTGTCTGACTCTCCAAATTTTGCCAAATCTCAAAACAAAATCCCATGCCTTTTTATAAATCCATCTCCAAATACTCCCTTCTTTTGTGAAGTTTGTTCTACTGCACAATTCATTTATCAATTATGCAGTCTTATGACAGCACTTTTACTATTGCTTTTTACCTTGTCCTTTCTACAATATTATAAGTCCTTGTCAAGGCCACACAACTGGTAGGCACAACCTGTTCATTTGACTTGGCTTCTTCTCTAATGCCTACTTTGAGAGCTGAAATTCAGCAGCCCTGAACACCTTGATATGCTATTAGAGGAAAGAAAAGAAGTAAAATTCCTATTTGTTACTTAATAACAGACTTAAATAAAAAAGTCTAGCGGGAAGTTAAACATTTAGCTAAAACTTGGTTTATTTATTTATTTTTTATATATTTTTAAGACGGAGTCTTGCTCTTGTCACCCAGGCTAGAGTGCAAGGGCGCCATTTTGGCTCACTGCAACCTCCGCCTCTTGGGTTCAAGTGATTCTCCTGCCTCAGCCTCCCGAGTAGCTAGGATTACAGGCACCCGCCACCACGCTCAGCTAATTTTTGTATTTTTAGTAGAGACAGGGTTTCACCATGTTGGCCAGGCTGGTCTCGAACTCCTGACTTCAGGTGATCCACCTGCCTCGCCTCCCAAAGTGCTGGGATTACAGGCGTGAGCCACCGCACCCGGCCTATTTATTTATTTTTTATAGAGATGGGGTCTCACTATGTTGCTTAGACTGGTTTTGACCTCCTGGGCTCAAGCGATCCACCCACCCTGGCCTACCAAAAGTGCTGGGACTATAGGTGTGAGCCACCACACCTGGCTCATTTTTTTTTAATTCAGGATTAAGTATCTGCCACAGATAACCCAGAATTGAAGGTTCAATAAAAGTCTCAGCGTGGCTGGACGCAGTGGCTCACGCCTGTAATCCCAACACTTTGGGAGGCTGAGGAGGGCAAATCACCTGAGGTCAAGAGTTTGAGATTTGCCTGGCCAACATGGTGAAACCCTGTCTCTACTAAAATTACAAAAATTAGCCAGGCGTGGTGGTGGGCGCCTGTAATTCCAGCTACTCAGGAGCCTGAGACAGGAGAATTGCTTGAACCTGGGAGGTGGAGGTTGCAGGGAGCTGACACCGTGCCATTGCACTCTAGCGTGGGCAACAAGAGTGAAACTCTGTCTCAAAAAATAAATAAATAAATAAAAATAAAAGTCTCAGCGTGTGTTTCAAAATGTTCTGTGTTGTTTTCCTTCTAACTGCCTGGTATGTATTTCCCCTGGCTCCAGTCCTTAATTAGTAACACAAGAAACTACAACCAGAGAGTTTCTACACATGGATAGAAGTGAAATTTAACATGCTGCCTGAATACTTACATTTTGCGAATGGGCATTTGGCTGAAGAGCTGTGGGACTGACCCATGTGAAACCAGGGTTTGGCGGTTGGGCTTGTTTAGTCCACAGGCCAGTTTTGCCAGGACCTGGAAGCATGCAAAGTATAAAAACCTCATTACTGTCAACCCATCAAAGTTGGTGAATATAAACATACACATAACATACACACACACAGAGCTTAATAGCTGTAACTAATGGTTTCTACATTAAAAACAAAAATAAAACCAGAAACTCAAGACATCTCTAAAACTTGGTATCCCACAACATCCCCAGTGGGAAACATGACGCAATATCATTATCCTCACTGTTCTTCCCACATCTCTCCCATTCTGTTTTCCTCTAGTCATTTTTTCCTTCCCATCTATTCCTACTTCAAGAGGTTTGAAAAGCAGAAACTGCAGGAGAAACTCAAGCAAGATGCATTTCTCAGTATGTCTATACAAAAATGCCGAAACATACTTGTTTTACCCTATCCCATTTACATTTCTTGATTAATAGTTGGTCCATTTTGAGTCCCCAATTTAACACAAATTATCATAATATAGTATCTGTTATAGAGATTGGGCTCAAAACCACCCTCCAATAACAAACACCTTCTTATAAATAGCACTTAAAAAATGAAAAAGCTTAAATCCTTGAGAACTTTTTTTTTTTTTGAGACAGAGTCTTGCTCTGTCACCAGGCTGGAGGGCAGTGGCGTGATCTTGGCTCACTGCAACCGCCCCCGCACCGGGTTCACACAATTCTCCTGCCTCAGCCTTCCAAGTAGCTGGGACTACAGGTGTGCGCCACCATGTCCAGCTAATTTTTGTATTTTTGGTAGATACGGGGTTTCACCATGTTGGCCAGGATGGCCTTGAGATCTGTCGACCCGCCTCAGCCTCCCAAGAGAACTCTTTTTCTTTTTTTTTTTTTGAGACAGAGTTTCACTCTTGTTGCCCAGCCTGGAGTACAATGGCATGATCTCAGCTCACTGCAACCTCCACCTCCTGGGTTCAAGTAATTCTCCTGCCTCAGCCTCCTGAGTAGCTGGGATTACAGGCATGAGCCACCATGCCCAGCTAATTTTGTATTTTTAGTAGAGACGGAGTTTCTCCATATTGGTCAGGCTGGTCTTGAACTCCCAACCTCAGGTGATCCACCAGCCTCGGGATCCCAAAGTGCTGGGATTACAGGTGTGAGCCACCGCACTCGGCCAAGAGAAATCTTTTCTAAGAGTAAAAGCACTTCAATGGTATCATTTTGCAAATTATAAAAATATAATTTTTAATTTTTTAATATAATTTAAAAATTATATTTGTATGTTTTAAAATATAAAATTATTAAATTCATTAGAGAGATTCGTTAAGAACTTCTACTAGGCAACATTTAGTCTGGTTTAAATTACATTGAAGTTATTGTTTCCTTTCCCTTCATCCAACCAGGAAAAAAAAAAACACCAAAAAAATTCAGATGGGTAGTTTGGCAACTTTCCTTGTATTGAAGGGAGGCGGAGAAGGTATCAACCAGGGAAAATCAGCCACTGCCCAATTACTGAGCTTTGGTCAGAAGGGGATGAAAGTCCTGGGCTCTTGCTACACTTTATTCATAATTAATCAGAAAACCAGTTATTCTGCTCCTGGATTGTTGAGAATTGTCTGTGTACCCTAAATTAAAATAGTGGTCTAAATTAATAAAATTGTATTATTCCTTTTATTGCTCTCATAAGAAAACAGGGAATAGGCAAAAGCATAAAATACCCAGGCAATTCCACATAACAAGATAATACAAAAATATTCAGCACGTGGCCGGGCGCGGTGGCTCATGCCTGTAATCCCAGCACTTTGGGAGGCCGAGGTGGGTGAATCACTTGAGGTCAGGAGTTCCAGACCAGCCTGGCCAATATGGTGAAACCCTGTCTCCAGTAAAAATACAAAAATTAGCCAGGCATGGTGGTGTGCACCTGTAATCCCAGCTACTCGGGAGGCTGAGGCAGGAGAATCACCTGAACCCGGGAGGCGGAGGCTGCAGTGAGCTGAGATTGGGCCACTGAACTCCAGCCTGGGCAACAGGGCGAGACTCCATCTCAAAAAAAAAAAAAAAAAAAAAAAATTCAGCAAGTGAAAATAGAAGAAATACATTAATGTATGTAAGTGCAAAGACTAGCCTCCTTTTTCCAACAAACAGTTCAGTCATTAAGGAAATACTGTCATCTCTCAATATCTGCAGGGGATTGGTTCTAAGACCTCCAGTGGATACCAAAACCCCAAGTCCCGTATATAAAATGATCAAGTCCCATAATATAAAATGGTGCAGTATTTGCATATAACCTTTGTATATCCTTCTGTATACTTTAAATCATCTCTAATTTCTTATAACACCTATAACGTACAATGTAAATGCTATATAAATTGTTCTTATAGTGTATGGTTTTTCTTTTCTTTTTCTTTTTTTTTTTTTGAGACGGAGTCTTTGCTCTGTCGCCCAGGCTGGCGTGCAGTGGCACAACTTGGCTCACTGGAACCTCCACCTTCCAGGTTAAAGCAATTCTCCTGCCTCAGCCTCCCGGGTAGCTGGGATTGCAGGTGCACGCCACCATGTCTGGCTAATTTTTTTTTTTTTGTATTTTTAGTAGAGATGGTGTTTTACCATATTGGTCAGGCTGGTCTCGAACTCCTGACCTCAGGTGATCCACCTGCCTCAGCCTCCGAAAGTGCTGGGACTACAGGCGTGAGCCCCCATGCCCGGCCTTCAGCTTGCTTCTTAGGAAAGTACATATTTAATGTCCATTTCCATGTTAAAGAATTACTTATGCTTTGATTTGGGCCTCAACATGAATTTTAAAAGAAATCCATTCAAAGTACATGTGTAACAACTTTTTTTTTTTTTTTTTGGTGACAGTCTCACTGTCGCCCAAGCTGAAGTACAGTAGTATGATTTCGGCTCACGGCAGCTTCAACCTCCTGGACTCAGCTGATCCTCCCATCTCAGCCTCCTGAGTAGCTGGGACTGTAGGTGTACACCACCACGCCTGGCTAATTTTTTGTAGAGACTGGGTTTCAACATGTTTCCCAGGCTGCTCTTCAACTCCTGGGCTCACGCGATCCACTCACATAGGCGTGCGAAACTGCACCCGGCCTATGTGTAATAATTTCAATGTCCCACTGTCCCTACTGTATTTGACTAAGGATATCAATGTTTCTCTTTGAAATCTACTATTAGCCTTCACCTTATTGTGTGAAATTCCAGCTGAACACTGAAAACCAGTCTCCCTCTCTATGGCTGCTCTCATTTCCTCCACAATCACTGCTCCCACGGTGAGCTGCAGGTCTGGAGAGGTGAGGTTATCAATCTGAAGAGAATCGAGCCATTGAAATAAGCCTTGTTTTCGCATCCCCTCTGAAATGAATTAAGAACTCACATTTAGACATTTAAAAAATTATTTATTTAATTGTGCTATCTAATGTAGAAATGCTTAGATTACAGGTATTTAGACATATAAGTTTTCACAAAAAAATGGCAGCCAGCTTAGAAGACCAATTATAAGAGAGCTCAATTTCTCCTTCAGAGTGTTCCCGCAGCTTAGCTTCAGCATAGGCTGAATTTTATAGTGCTAATGTACGACAAATATTTTGTATTAATATCATCTTTCATGAGCAATGATTTTAAAACACATTTTTGGCCAGGCACGGTGGCTCACGCCTGTAATCCCAGCATTTTGGGAGAGCAAGGCGGGTGGATCACCTGAGGTCAGGAGTTCAAGACCAGCCTGTCCAACATGGCAAAACTCCGTCTCTACTAAAAATACAAAACTAGCTGGGCATGGTGGTGCAGGCCTGTAACCACAGCTACTCAGGAGGCTGAGGCAGGAGATTCGCTTGAACCCAGGAGGCGGAGGTTGCAGTGAGCCGAGATTGCGCCACTGCACTCCAGCCTGGGCGACAGAGCAAGACTTCATCTCAAAAATAATAAAAATAAAAAAAAATAATGTAAACACATTTATCTCCCCAGTTCTCTTGAATTTTCTTTCTCCTACTATATTTAATCACTTAAACATCTTCTCCAAGAATATTTTTTTCAATTAGAAAATATTCAGAATTAACTCAAGCTTCAATATAAGCTTTAACATTTACATGTTTTTAGAGGTGGATTCCAGCTGAGTAACTTAAAATCCACTCCGAGGCACTAGATTTATTCCCTTGATAAGCTGTTTTAAGTCAGATGTTGCTTGGGACTTAGGACCTTGAAAATATCTTACTCTGAGTACATACAAATCTTTATCCCCAAATGTACACTCTAATCCCTTAGCTCTACCTCCCTACAGAAGAACTTTTCCTGACTCCCTACAGAAGAACTTTTCTTGAATTTTTAATTATGGTTTCCAACTAAACATAACTAAAATCAAACTTTGTCTTCCTTCTCAAATGTTCTTTCCAACCAACTCCCTATTTCTATTAAGGGCTTAAAATCCACATTAATATTGGCTTATTTTCTCTTTCATTCCTCATTATGCAGCCATTTAGTCAACAAAACCTACTTTAAAATATTTCACATATCCACTGCAACCCACCACCCTATTTTATTCAGGTTTTTTCTTTTTTCTTTTTTTTTTGAGACGAAGTCTCACTCTGTCACCCAGGCTGGAGTGCAGTGGCATGATCTCGCCTCACTGCAAGCTCTGCCTGCCGGGTTCACACCATTCTCCTGCCTCAGCCTCCCGAGTAGCTGGGACTACAGGCGCCTGCCACCACGCCCAGCTAATTTTTTGTATTTTTAGTAGAGATGGGGTTTCACCGTGTCAGCCAGAATGGTCTCGATCTCCTGACCTTGTGATCTGCCCGCTTTGGCCTCCCAAAGTGCTGGGATTACAGGCCTGAGCCACCGCGCCTGGCAAGCTCTTACCCCTTAACTCTGTTCTTCTTTCCTTTGCTTAAACACATCTATACTTTAGGGCTTATGGCAAGTTTATCTATTATGAAGTCCTCTCCTTCAACTATTCTAGCTAGCTTTCTAGTACCACATTAAAGTTCTTTACCTTTTATCTGTAATATGAAGTAGACATAATTGTTTTATTTTTTGAGACAGAGTCACACTCCGTCATCCAGGTTGGAGTGCAGTGGCATGATCTTGGCTCACTAATATATACTAGTATACATTATTTTAAATGATGGATGTTTTAATAGTATTCATTGTTCTTAATATGTGCAAGCCTTGGTGTTTCAGGAAAATAGGTAATTTAAAAAAAAAAAGAAAAATACATGCAAGCCATTGTGCTGAGGAACTTTATTTTATTTATTTAATTATTTATTTTTGAGATAGAATCTCGCTCTGTTGCCCATGCTGGAGTGCAGTGGAGCGATCTCGGCTCACCACAAGCTTCACCTCCTGGGTCCACGCCATTCTCCTGCCTCAGCCTCCCGAGTCCACGTCATTCTCCTGCCTCAGCCTCCCAAGTAGCTGGGACTACAGTCGCCTGCAACCACGCCCGGCTAATTTTTTTGTATTTTTTTTAGTAGGGATGGGGTTTCACCATGTTAGCCAGGATAGTCTTGATCTTCTGACCTCGTGATCCGCCTGCCTTGGCCTCCCAAAGTGCTGGGATTATAGGCATGAGCCACTGCGCCCGGCCAAGGAACTTTATTTTTAAAAACTATCTTTTGGGCCATGTGCGGTGGTTCACGTCTGTAATCTCAGCACTTTGGGAGGCCAAGGCAGGCAGATCACAAGGTCAGGAGTTTGAGACCAGCCTGACCACCATGGTGAAACCCCGTCTCTACTAAAAATACAAATACAAAAATTAGCCAGGCGTGGTGGTGCACACCTGTAATCCCAGCTACTCAGGAGGCTGAGACAGGAGAATCACTTGAACCCGGGAGGCGGAGGTTGCAGTGAGCTGAGTGACACTCCACCTCAAAAAAGAAAAAAAAACTAAAAAAAAAAAACCTGTCTTTTGGCAGGGCATTCTCTGCCTCCTGAGCTCAAGCGATCCTCCTACCTTGGCCTCCCAAGTAGCTAGGACTACAGGCAGATGCCACCACGCCCAGCTAATTTGTATTTTTTGTAGAGACGGGGTTTCACCATGTCACCAAGGATGGTCTCAAACTCCTGGACTCAAGCAATCCCCCCCCATATGCCCCCCACCTCCCCAGCCCCCAGCCTTGGCCTCACAAAGTGATGGGATTACAGGTGTAAACCACCATGTATGGCCATAAGAAGTAGAGCATAATTGTTAAAAGAACATTCTGCAGTCAAGCAGGGTTCAAATATTGGCTTCATAACCTACTGACCATGTGACTTTGGACAAGTTACATAATTCTCTAAGCTTCAATTTCCTTGTCTACAAACTGCACTTCATATAGCTGTTATGAGGATTAAAAGATAGTTTATTATTTTTTATTTTTTTTGAGACGGAGTTGCTCTGTTGCCCAGGCTAGAGTGCAGCTCACTGCAACCTCCACCTCCCAGGTTCAAGCAATTATCCTGCTTCAGCCTCCGGAGTAGCTGGGACTACAGCTGTGAACCTTCAGGCCCAGATAATTTTTGTATTTTTAGTAGAGATGGGGTTTCACCATGTTGGCCAGGCTGGTCTTGAACTCCTGACCTCAAGGGCTCCCAAAGTGCTGGGATTACAGGCGTGAGCCACTGTGCCCGGCCAAAAGGTAGTTTTTAAAAATAAAGTTCCTCAGCACAGTGGCTTGCGCATTTTTTGCTTTTTTTTTAATTATCTGTTTTCCTGAAATACCAAGGCTTGCACATATTAAGAACAATAAATACTATTAAAACATCCATCATTTAAAACAATTTATACTAGTATATATTAGCTTTGGGAAACAAAAATATGAATAATTTACTGTAATTGTATGACTTTCTGGACCTTTTTAAACAGTTAGAGCTAAATTTTCTCTGCTTTAGATTTTTTTCATCATTGCTTTCCCAGATTGGGTAATGTTGCAATCCTGTGGCAATGTAGATTTTTAAATTTAATCCTTTATCTGTATTAACTGAACGGGACCACAGAAGATAAGCAGAATTCCCTTATTTCCCTACAATGCTTTTTACCTTTTCTCTAGTTGATAAGAAAAATCTATAAAATTTTGGTTTTTCTTCAATACCATGAAATGGACTACAGGAAATACTTCAGGTAGTTCTGGTGTTAAATGCCCATGAAAGCTGAGAAAAAACTTTTCTTTCTTTCTTTTTTTTTTTTTTTTTTTTTGAGACGGAGTCTCACTCTGTTGCTAGGCTGGAGTACAGTGGCGCAATCTCAGCTCACTGCAACCTCTGCCTCCTGGGTTCAAGTAATTCTCCTGCCTTACCCTCCCGAAAAGCTAGGATTATAGGCATGCGCCACCACACCCAGCTAATTTTTGTATTTTTAGTAGAGACAGGGTCTCACCATGTTGGCCAGGATGGTCTCAATCTCATGACGTCATGATTCGCTCACCCTGGCCTCTCAAAGTGCTGGGATTACAGGCGTGAGCCACTGTGCCCAGCCAAGAGTTTTTCTTGTTGAATTATCTTGGCACCTTTGTGGAAATGAATTGCCACCACACACACCCCAGCCTGAAAAGTGGGGATCTACTTGTATACTTTCTATTCTATACCATTAATCTACGTATTTTCTCACACCAATACCAAACTTCCCTAGTTACAAATTTATAGTTAAATCTTGAAATCAGGTAGTATGTCTTCCAACTTAGTTCTTTTTCAAAGTTGTTTGGCTACTCCACATTCTTTGCATTTCCATACAAATTTTAGAATCAGTTTGTCAATTTCTGTGGGATTTTGGAAGGGACTGCAATGAATCTATACGTCAATTTGGGGAGAATTGAGCACTAGTAAGATTTAGTCTTTTGATACATGAGGATAGTATAATCTTTCCATTGAATTTTATAATCTTTAATAATAATTATATGATCATTATAAGATAAAGCCAGACACAGTGGCACATGCCGATAGTTCCAGCTACTTGGAAGCCTCAAGTGGGAGGATCACTTGAGCATGAGTTCACAGGTAACATGGGCAACACAGTGAGACCCCATCTCAAAAATAATCATTATAAAACTGTTTTGTAAGGCCAGGTGCAGTGGCTCACGCCTATAATCCTGGCACTTTGGGACGCTGAAGTGGGAAAATTGCTTGAGGCCAGGAACTCATCAAGACCAGCCCGGGCAACATAGTGAGACCATGTCTCTGTGTTTTAAAATAATAAAGAAATGAATTAAGAAAAAACAAAGGGAAAAGAAAAGGCCCTTAGCTAACAAACCAGTTACAAAATGGCAATGATGGGAAAGTTTCACCTTGACAATTTCTGAGAAGTACTTTAAGTAAATCTTACTACTTAAACTTTACACACAAATAACTATTTTAGAAAATACAAGGCCAGGCGTAGTGGCTGACGCCTGTAATCCCAGCACTTTGGGAGACCAAGGCGGGCAGATCACGAGGTCAGGAGATCGAGACCATGCTGGCTAACACGGTGAAACCCCGTCTCTACTAAAAAAAATACAAAAAAATTAGCCGGGCGTGGTGGCGGCCAACAGTAGTCCCAGCTACTCGGGAGGCTGAGGCAGGAGAATGGCGTGAACCCGGGAGGTGGAGATTGCAGTGAGCCGAGATTGCACCACTGCACTCCAGCCTGGGCGACAGAGCGAGAAAGAGACTCCCTCTCCAAAAAAAAAAAAAAAAAAGAAGATACAAAGCTGCAAATGCAGGAGGGCTGAGCATGATTGCTAGCTCTTATAGGAGGCAAGATGGAAAAGTTGATGGAAAGCTCAGTATCAAGGTATTACAAATACCTCGCCTCTTTTCTTAGATTTGAAATATATTGTATCCATGAAAAATGATTTCTGGAAGGTTATATCCACTTAGATCAGCTAATTTCTGTTATCAGGTTTTTGTGGTTGCACACATCAAAGATTCAGGAATATGATATGAAATATTTCCTAGACATTGCACTGTTCTGAACATTACATATAATAAGATGCTGGCACTGCATCTGGGAGCTTAATATTTAAGTTGGACACACTAATGCAACAGACACAAGACATACAGAAATAGACCTCTCTATAAACATGGGCATTTTTAATAAAAAAATGTACATAGGTAAGAAAAGTAAGTGTAGAAGAAAGAGGAACACGTCCATCTGAGTTAACATTCAACTACCAAGGAAGGTATATACCATCTTCAGCCAGAGATAATAGAATGCTTCAACAATGCTCTGCAGCAAAAACCAATATAATGTGTAAGACTAGTTCTAATTCTGAGGTATGTGGATTTCAGAGGGTTTGTGAATCTCCTGAAAACTGCATGCAAAATTGTCTTATGTATAGATACAAATTTTTCGGAGGCCAGCAAGGGTCTATAGCTTTCAACAAATTTTTAAGAGTATGTAATTCTCAAATAAACTTTAAAGAGCCACAAATTCAAGGCATTATAAAACCAATTCCAAATATTTAAAAAAAAAAAAAAAATCAGGCTGGGTGCGGTGGCTCATGCCTGTAATCCCAGCACTTTGGGAGGCCAAGGCAGATGGATAACTTGATGCCAGGAGTTTGAGACCAGCCTGACCAACATGGCGAAACCCCGTCTCTACTAAAAATACAAAACTTAGCCAGCATGGTGGCATATGCCTATAATCCCAGCTACTCAGGAGGTTGAGGCATGAGGATCACTTGAACCCTGGAGGTGGAGGCTGCAGTGTGCCAAGATCTCACAACTGCATTCCAGCCTGGGTGACACCAAAAAAATCAGTGTTGCATATGGAAACTAAAAAAAAAGAAAGTTATGTAATAAGATGTGGTACAGAAAGGTAAGACCAAAGAACACCTTTCTTATTATGATAATTAAATTTCTGACTCTGGTCCCAGAATAATAAAATATCAAATATCAAAAGCTTATGTACCATGATTTTGCTTCCTCTATAAGTGGCACATCTTTATTGTCCATTATATTTTGTCCAAAGAACTAAAGGATCTGCAGCCTCTAGCTTGACATACTTTGCATTATCAGGATCAGAAAATAAAATAATTCCTTAAGTCACAAGCTTCCCTGGGCAGTTTTACTACTACTCTTCTGCACAACACATTAAAGGCATTTTATGCAATTGTTCAGCAGCAAAAGCAAAGTTTACATGTTACATCTTTTTTTTTTTTTTCTTTTTTTTTTTTGAGACAGAGTCTTGCTCTGTCGCCACCCAGGCTGGAGTACAGTGGCGCAATCTCGGCTCACTGCACCCTCCGCCTCCTGGACTCAAGTGATTCTCCTGTCTCAGCCTCCCAAGTAGCTGGGATTACAGGCACCTGCCACTGCGCCCGGCTAATTTTTGTATTTTTAGTAGAGATGGGGTTTCGCCATGTTGGCCAGACTGGTCTTGAACTCCTGACCTCAGGTGATTCACCTGCCTTGGCCTCCCAAAGTGCTGGGATTACAGGTGTGAGCCACCACACCCAGCCAAAACATGAAACATGCAGAATTATTTGCTCTGGGGGGATACAACTGAATTCCACTTTCATAATATTCAATTAAAAAAAAGACCTCATTCTGGCAGAGGTTACAATGAGCCGAGATTGCGCCACTGCACTCCAGCCTGGGTGACAGAGTGGCTCTGTCTCAAAGAAAAACAAAAACCAAAACAAAAAAAAAACCCTCATTCTTATGCAAATTCTTAGACCTGGAATCTAGGACTATCATAATCTAACATTATCACAAAAGCAAGTTTTTTGTTTTTTTTTTTTTAAGATGGAGTCTTGCTCTGTTGCCGAGGCTGGAGTGCAGTGGTACGATCTCAGCTCACTGCATCCTCCTCCTTCCGGGTTTAAGGAATTTTCTGCTTCAGCCTCCCGAATAGCTGGGATTACAGGCACATGCTACCATGCCCAGCTAGTTTTTTTGTATTTTCGGTAAAGACGAAGTTTCACCATCTTGGCCAGGCTGGTCTTGAACTCCTGACCTCATGATCCACCCACCTCGGCCTCCCAAAGTGCTTGGATTACAGGTGTGAGCCACCGCACCCAGCCACAAAAGCAAGTTTTTATTGTCCTAATTCTATTCAAATCTAAGAAAAAAAAATTAACCTTCAAGTACATGTTATTAAAACACTTCATACAGATTATATCACAATTTTTTTTAGATAAAGTAAATAAAAATGAATTCATTAAAAAAACCCATTTATCATTTCCCAACACATCAATAATCAAGTAGAAAATGAAAAAAATATATAAAAGCCTGGGCAACATAGTGAGACCCTGTCTCTACAAAAAATTTAAAAATTAGCCAGGCATGATGGCACATACTTGTAGTTCTAGCTACTCTGGAGGCTGAGGTGGGAGGATTGTTTGAGCCCAGGAGTTCAAGGCTGCAGTGAGCCATAATTACACACCTGTGAATAGCGACTGATAGCCACTGCACTCCAGCCTGGGCAACATAGTGAGACTTCCATCTCAAAAAAAAAAAAAAGACAAGGAACTAATAATTAGGATAGGATATACAAGGAACTCTTGCAAATCAAAAAATAAATAATTTTACCATTTTTCCATGGAAAAATGGGCAAAGATTATAAATAAGTAAATCACAGAAGCAGAAACTCAGCTGGCTTACAAGTGTATGAAGAGATCTTCAATCTCAATTAGTGATCAGAGAAATGTAAATTAAAGCAAAACAAACAAACATTATATTGGCAAATATTTTTAAACATTAGATGATACCAGTTGTTGTTGAGAATATGGGGGAAACAGGAACTTTTATGTACTGCTAGGGGGAATGTAAACTGTTAGAGCAGGACATTAGAAGCAACCAATGAATTTGTCACTAGGGAAAATGGTCTGTAACCATGGTGGATCCATATCATGGATTACGCTGCAAGTAACAGCCATCGAAGCCATCAATTACAAATAAATACAGCCACATGGACACATCTCTAAGGTCATTACTGAAGGAAAATTAAGAAAAAGAATGAAGGCCGGGCACGGTGGCTCACACCTGTAATCCCAGCACTTTGGGAGGCCGAGGCGGGCGGATCACAAGGTCAGGAGATCGAGACCATCTTGGCTAACACGGTGAAACCCTGTCTCTACTAAAAATACAAAAAAATTAGCCGGGCGCGGTGGCGGGCGCCCGTAATCCCAGCTACTCAGGAGGCTGAGGCAGGAGAATGGCGTGAACCCGGGAGGCGGAGCTTGCAGTGAGCCGAGATAGCGCCACTGCAGTCCGGCCTGGGCGAAAGAGTGAGACTCCGTCTCAAAAAAAAAAAAAGAAAAAGAATGAGATCTATAATAGCACAAAATCATCTTGTAATTAAAAAGCACATAGACAAAGCAATACTGAGTAACTTATAAAGATATAGGCCAGGTACAGTGGCTTACACCTGTAATGCCAGCACTTTGGGAGGCCAAGGCAGGTGGATCATTTGAGGTCAGGAGTTCCAGACCTGCCTGGCCAACATGGTGAAACCCCATCTCTACTAAAAATACAAAAATTAGCAGCGTGTAGTGGATACATGCCTGTAATCCCAGCTACTTGGGAGGCTGGGGCAGGAGAACTGCTTGAACCCTGGAGGCGGAGGTTGCAGCGAGCTGAGATCATGCCACTGCACTCCAGCCAGGGCGACAGAGTGACGCTCCATCTCAAAATAAAGAAATGAAATGAAATGAAATGAAAAGGAAAGAAAGAAAAAAGAAAGAAAGAAAGAAAGGGAAAGAAAGAAAAGAAAGGAAGGGAGGAAGGAAGGAAAGAAGGAAGGAAGGAAAGACAGACATCTAAGATATATCAAATGTATCTGTGGGTACAAGAGGGTAGGTGCGGCACAGAGGGAGTGGGAAAATCACTATAAAGGGTAAAAGTAGCAAAATACAATGAGAGGGGCCTTGTGCAGCCCATATGTAATAATGTGCTAAGAAGTGATTAGAAATTTTGAATCACTCAACTCCCTATACCTGAGGCCCCCCTTTAAAAAGCTCACCCTTCTTATATATGAAGAAACCAAGACACTAAGTTATAATAATATAAATTAAGCTACCAATGACAAAGTGCTCAGTCAGCCTTCTATTGATTTTTTTGTTTTTTGAGACGGAGTCTCCCTCTGTAGCCTAGGCTGGAGTGCAGTGGCGAGATCTCGGCTCACCTCAATCTCCACCTCCTGGGTCCTGGTTCAAGCAAATCTCCTGCCTCAGCCTCCCAAGTAGCTGGGATTACAGGCACGCGCCACCATGCCCAGCTAATTTTTGTATTTTTAGTAGAGATGGGGTTTCACCATGCTGGCCAGGTTGGTCTTGAACTCCTGACCTCATGATCCACCCACCTCGGCCTCCCAAAGTGCTGGGATTAGAAGCGTGAATCACCGCGCCAGGTCTCTGCCTTCTATTGATAACACTAACCTGCCCTAGTTATATCTAAAGAGAAATTTACTTTCATACAGATTTCACAGCTTCTCAACAGCCATATACCTGGAAAGATAAGAAAATTTGTATATCCTTCCATGTGAGTCCTTGTGATTCATTCAGGCTGTAGTTTAAGTTTCCTTTCAATTATTCCAAGGAGAATCAGCATGACCAAGCAAAGCAGGTTCCAAAGGCAGGAAGCAGAAGCAGTATGATGCTATGGAAGTACCTTTCTGAACAGTCTCTTCTGCCGTTGTAGGGCCTTGGGGCAACCCTTCAATGTAAGTGCTTGGCAACAAGTCTGCCGAGATAGGCTGACCTTGTAGCTTTTGTAGTCTCTCTTGTACAGCACTGGTCAGATCTACGTAAGCCTCATCAATGCTGGCACGTTCAATCACAGCAAAACGAGACATTATCTCCATCACTTCAACACTGGCTTCCCGGTACCTAAGAAGTATAAGGATCATTCATGCAGGCAATAAACAGAGGCAACCTTGAGATTGTCTGCTCCACTCCCACCCTGCCATAATGAACAATAATACACGTAATCAAGAGACATGTGGCTTAACAGAGACTAGACAATAGTAACTGAAAGGGTCAATCGGCAGGCAGATGGTCAATAATAGAAGCATGGAAAAGGAAGAATCACGGAGGCAAACATTTTTAGCACAATGCCAGAACTACCAAGGCAGAAAGCATTCAGACTATGAACACGTCTATATGACAAGGAACTCTCTAAAAAATAAAGAAATGCCTCAAATTTGTGTATTACTATGATCACCTATTCCTTTTATTTTCATATATCCACCAAGAAATCTTCTGCTTCTAATTTTGTCTTCAAAAAAAGGGTAATTTACATGCAACACTGCACTGATCAGTGAACCAGAGTATATGGTCTTCCCCAGGATAGTATTTCTCACCATAAATTAACAAACTGGCATATGGATTTTATACTTCAGTCAACGGTGAGTTTGGTTAACATGTGAACTGGTCATCACCACATACACACACATGCCTTAACCAACCATTTACGGATATACTAATATTCAAATGATCAAGTTGAAGATAAGCACCTAGAATGTGGTGATGTGTCTGGGCAGGCAGACAACCTTCCTCAGGGTATACATACCAATCTCATCGTATGTCTTCTATTCAAACTTTAATAAGCAGCTCTTCTGGCTCTATACCTAGTTTTCTACGACAATATACAGATATTTTCTTTTTTTTCTTGTTTTTCGAGATGAAGTCTCGCTCTTGTCTCCCAGGCTGGAGTGCAATAGTGGCATCTCGCCTCACTGCAACCTCCACCTCCCGGGTTCAAGCAATTCTCCTGCCTCAGCCTCCCAAGTAGCTGGGATTACAGGCGCCTGCCACCACGCCTGGTGAATTTTTTTGTATTTTTAGTAGAGACAGGGTTTCACCATGTTGGCCAGGCTGATCTCGAATTCCTGACCTCAGGTGATCCACCCACCTCGGCCTCCCCAAGTGCTGGGATTACCGGCGTGAGCCACCACATCCGGCCAATATACAGATATTTGCTTTCCTTTGGCTTGGACCTGCTTTGTAGTGTCCAGTTCTTTGTTCCTATTGACTTTATATTTACCATAAAAATGAAAACATCGGTACCTCTTCACCATGACACCCATAAAAACTAATATAATTATTGTTCTAAAACACTCTCAAATTAGAGAATTAGAGAAATACTTGACTTTTTTTTTTTTTAAATCATTATTTGAACTAGGAAGAGGATAGGCCTCAAAGAAAATAAAGAGCAAGATCGGGCGCAGCAGTTCACACCTGTAATCCCAGCACTTTGGGAGGCAGAGGTGGGTGGATCACCTGAGGTCAGGAGTTCGAGACCAGCCTGACCAACATGGAGAAACCCCATTTCTACTAAAAATATAAAATTAGCCAGCACGGTGGCACATGACTGTAATCCCAGCTACTCGGGAGGCTGAGGCAGGAGAATCACTTGAATCCAAGAGATGGAGGTTGTGGTGAGCCGAGATTGCACCATTGCACCCTAGCCTGGGCAACAAGAGTGAAACTCCGTCCCCCACCCACAAAAAAAAAAAAAAAAAGAAAAGAAAGAGCAATATACTCATACACACAGCCAGAAAAGGATACTTATAATATTGTGAAATATATATTCGGTCTTCATCCCAGTTTCCTGGCATACAACTCCAAAAATCCTTGGAATCACCCAAGTTTTGTCTTTTTGTATGCTAATGTTAACTAATAGCTTCAGGATAGGGCAGGTCACCAAAAAGACCACGGCATAATTAGAGGGTTGGGACTTTTGGCCCCACCCCCTCAACTTCTGGGGAGGGGAGAGGAAGAGAGATACTGCAGGTCAAGTTGATTACCCATAGCCAATGGTTTAATCAGTCATGAGTACATAACGGAGCCTCCCTAAAAACCCAAGAGGACAGGGTCCGGAGAGGTTCCAAATAGCTGTAATAGTAGAGATTCCTGGAGGGTGGCTCACCCAGGGAGGGCATGAAAGCTCCGCACCCCTTCTCACATGCCTTGCTCTATATATCTCTTCATCTTCATCTTCTTTTTGACAGGATCTCACTGTTGCCCAGGCTGCATGCAGTGGTTTGATCATGACTCTCTGGAACCACAATCTCCTGGGCTCAAGCGACCCTCCCACCTCAGCTTCCTGAGTAGCTGGAACTAGAGCTGCACAACACCATGTCTAGCTAAATTTTTTTGTTTTTGTTTTTGTTTTAATTTTGGTAGAGACGAGGTCTTACTATGTTGCCCAGGCTGGTCTCAAACTTCTGAGCTCAAGCAATCCTCCTGTCTCAGCCTCCCAAAGTGCTAGGATTACAGGCGTGAGCCACCATGCCCAACCTATCTGTATCCTTCGTAATATCCCTTATAATAAACATAAGTAAGTGTTCTCCTGAGTTCTGTGAGTCGCTTCAGCAAATTAATCAAATCCAAAGAGGGGGTTGCAGGAACCCCAACTTAAAGCCAGCTGTTCAGACGTTCTAAAGGCCTGGACTTGTGATGGAAAGGAAGGAGGGGGTGTTCTTGTGGTATTGAGCCCTCAACATGTGGAATCTGATGCCATCTCCAGGTAGACAGTGTTGGAATTGAGTGCGAGGACATGCAGCTGGTGTCTGCTGATTGGTGTGTGGGGAAATACTTCCACACCTTTGGTCACAGATGTCTTCTGTGTTGATTGTTCTTGTGGTGTGAGAGGAGAGGAAAACCATAGTTTGAGTTTTTCTAAAACAATACTCTATTTCAGTGCTTCCTCACAGCCTCTTGAGCAAATCACTGCAAGGTATTTTTAAGAGTATTTGGAAAACTTAATCTTCAGTCAAGTCTATCTTCTTTTCTAGCAATAATTCCAATGTGGGTCTGTATGCCACTCTACCTTTAGACTTCTAATTCATAGAATTAGAATTAGAATTCAGAAGTATGTCAGGTCCTAAGTCAAAGCATGATTCCTATACCACAACACATAGTATAGTGTACCTTGAGAACATAGATACTAGAATCTTAAAAAACAGATGTGAATCCTCAGTCTTTCACTTAGCTGTCTGAACTTTTCTCTTTCTTGAGACAGGGTCTCACTCTGTCACCCAGACCGGAGTGCAGTGGTGTGATCTGGGCCCACTGCAACCTCTGCCTCCCAGGCTCAAGCAATCCTCTCAACTCAGCTTCCTGAGTAGCCGGGACTGCAAGTGTGTGCCACCATGCCTGGCTAATTTTTGTATTTTCTGTTAGAGATGGGGTTTCCCCATGTTGCCCAGGCTGGTCCCTATGTTGCCCAGGCTGGTGTCCTGGACTCAAGTGATCTGCCCGCCTCAGCCTCCCTAAATGCTAGGATTACAGGCATGAGCCACCATCCCCAGCCTAACTTAAATTATTTAACTTCTCTGAACTTGATTCCTTATCTGTGAAGGGGGAGTAATATTAGTACCTACCTTATAACAATGTCAGATTTAATAGAGATATTGCCTATAGAGAGCTTAACACTGTGCCTGGCATGTGATAATATGTTTAATACATATTAGCTGTTAGGATTAAAGGCTGGGGTTTGTGCCTACCTCTGACTTAGCTATGCTGATTCATATCCCCCATTCCAAGGTGAAACTTCTAATATTTGCGGAGAGATAGCTTAATCTAAAAACAGAGAAATCTCCCTTGATATTGTTCAATTATAGCAACTAATTCCTGATATTGTACTACAATGTCAGTTTGACTCAGCCTTTCCTGGAAAAATTCTCAGTTTCACAGTCAATTTTTCAAATACTTTAGATTTTTGGATGGAGAACATGGGAATTGGTATTAAGTCTGAATTTAACAACCAATTTTGAACAATTAAGGAACTGAATAGATATCAAAGGCAGCAACTCTTATATGGTATAATGGTTTTGAACTGTCCCCAAAACACAATATTAAAATCTGTTTTTCATTTCACAGAGACAAGATGGCTAACCAAAAAGAATTTTTTCCGGTGTTATTTACATGGAACAAATTCAAAACACCAGTTCCTAGCCTCATGGAGTATTATTTTCGACTCCTTTATGTCTCCTTAAATAATGTTTTTTTCTTACTTGGTGAGGTTAGCTTTCCCACGGGACTCACGAACTTGTGCCAGTAGAAGATCTGGACATAACTTCTTAGCATCATCTGCCCACATACTTCTAGTGACTCCAAATGCACGAGCTTCATAACTCACTGCAATTATTCTAAGGTTAGAAAAAAAAGGAAACAGAAAACATATTATATGATCACAAGCAAAAACAAGTAACATTTAACACAAGTAATCTATAAACATATTAGAAACTTTTTGACCACAGATGCCATCATTCAATCCAAAACAAAGCAGTTCAGAAATCTCAAAAATAGGGCCAGGCACAGCAGCTCATGCTGGCAATTCCTGTACTTTGGGAGGCCAAGGCAGAAGGACTGCTTGAGGCCGGGAGTTCAAGACCTGCTTGGGCAATATAGTGAGCCCTGCCCCCCCAACCAATCCCCATCTCTACCCACCCCCCAAAAAATAAAATCAGCTTGGCATGGTGGGGCGCTCCTGTAGTTCTAACTATTTGGGAGACTGAAGAGGGATGATCACTTGAGCCCAGGTCAAAGCTGCTGTGAGCTGATGGTGCCACTGCGCTCTGGATGGGACAACAGAGAAAGGCCCTGTCACCACCACCACCACCACCACAACAACAAAGGACCTGCCACAGTGCCACTGTGTTACCATTGAATAGTTGTGACAATAACAATGATACATACCCACCACCCTTCCATGATTTGTACTGTACAACTGCACAAGGTTTATTCCTCAAATGAGGATTTTGCCGCTGCTCCACTTGAACAAAAAAACAGTCCATGTCCACGAGAGCAACCACTCGATCCTGTCCAGTAGCCATTTTTCTGTAACACAACATTTTATGGACAGTTAGAAAAACACCTAATCCAAAATGCCAGGGAAAACTGTAATTCCATTCTTTCACTGATGAGTTACCATGAGCATGGGAGCATGGAAACTAACAAGAATGAAATAGGCATTTAAATATACAGGTTGAGTATCCCTTATCTGAAATGGCTGGGATCCAAAGTGCTTGAGATTTTGCATTTTTTTCAAATTTTGCAATATTTGCATTATAATCACCAGTTAAGCATCCGTAATCCAAAAATCCTAAACCTACAATGCTCTAATAAACATTTCCTTTGAATGCTGTGTTGGTGCAAAAAATTTTTTGGATTTTGGAAGATTTCAAATTTCAGATTAGGGATACCCTGAGTGGAAAAAACAGTTTTTAAGATTCTTTCACTCGATCTTGAGAGGAGGTCGCGGCGCCGGAGGCCCTAGAAGGCTCGAAGGCGCCGCGGGCTGGGGTCGGTGGCTTAGGGAGCCCGTCCGGCCATGGTGGCCGCGGGTGGTGGTTGGCGCGGCTGCGCTGCGGCCCGGGGCAGTGCGGAGCCGGGACAGTCGCGGCGCTGACGCCCGCGGGCCCCAGCTGCAGATATGAAGCGGAGCCGCTGCCGCGACCGACCGCAGCCGCCGCCGCCCGACCGCCGGGAGGATGGAGTTCAGCGGGCAGCAGAGCTGTCTCAGTCTTTGCCGCCGCGCCGGCGAGCGCCGCCCGGGAGGCAGCGGCTGGAGGAGCGGACGGGCCCCGCGGGCCCGAGGGCAAGGAGCAGCCGCCTGCCTTGGCCTCCCAAAGTGCCGAGATTGCAGCCTCTGCCCGGCCGCCACCCCGTCTGGGAAGTGAGGAGTGTCTCTGCCTGGCCGCCCATCGTCTGGGATGTGAGGAGCCCCTCTGCCTGGCTGCCCAGTCTGGAAAGTGAGGAGCGTCTCCGCCCGGCCGCCATCCCATCTAGGAAGTGAGGAGCGCCTCTTCCCAGCCGCCATCACATCTAGGAAGTGAGGAGCGTCTCTGCCCGCCCGCCCATCGTCTGAGATGTGGGGAGCGCCTCTGCCCCGCCGCCCCATCTGGGATGTGAGGAGCGCCTCTGCCCTGCCGAGACCCCGTCTGGGAGGTGAGGAGCGTCTCTGCCCGGCTGCCCCGTCTGAGAAGTGAGGAGACCCTCTGCCTGGCAACCACCCCGTCTGAGAAGTGAGGAGCCCCTCCGCCCGGCAGCTGCCCCGTCTGAGAAGTGAGGAGCCTCTCCGCCCGGCAGCCACCCCATCTGGGAAGTGAGGAGCGTCTCCGCCCGGCAGCCACCCCGTCCGGGAGGGAGGTGGGGGGGGGTCAGCCCCCCGCCCGGCCAGCCGCCCCATCCGGGAGGGAGGTGGGGGGGTCAGCCCCCCGCCTGGCCAGCCGTGCCGTCCGGGAGGGAGGTGGGGGGGTCAGCCCTCCGCCCGGCCAGCCGCCCCGTCTGGGAGGTGAGGGGCGCCTCTGCCCGGCCGCCCCTACTGGGAAGTGAGGAGCCCCTCTGCCCGGCCAGCCGCCCAGTCCGGGAGGGAGGTGGGGGGGTCGGCCCCCCGCCCGGCCAGCCGCCCCGTCCGGGAGGGAGGTGGGGGTGTCGGCCCCCCGCCCGGCCAGCCGCCCAGTCCGGGAGGGAGGTGGGGGGGTCAGCCCCCCTGCCCGGCCAGCCGCCCCGTCCGGGAGGTGAGGGGCGCCTCTGCCCGGCCGCCCCTACTGGGAAGTGAGGAGCCCCTCTGCCCGGCCAGCCGCCCCGTCCGGGAGGGAGGTTGGGGGGTCAGCCCCCCGCCCGGCCAGCCGCCCCGTCCGGGAGGTGAGGGGCGCCTCTGCCCGGCCGCCCCTACTGGGAAGTGAGGAGCCCCTCTGCCCGGCCACCACCCCGTCTGGGAGGTGTGCCCAACAGCTCATTGAGAACGGGCCATGATGACAATGGCGGCTTTGTGGAATAGAAAGGCGGGAAAGGTGGGGAAAAGATTGAGAAATCGGATGGTTGCCGTGTCTGTGTAGAAAGAAGTAGACATGGGAGACTTTTCATTTTGTTCTGCACTAAGAAAAATTCCTCTGCCTTGGGATCCTGTTGATCTGTGACCTTACCCCCAACCCTGTGCTCTCTGAAACATGTGCTGTGTCCACTCAGGGTTAAATGGATTAAGGGCGGTGTAAGATGTGCTTTGTTAAACAGATGCTTGAAGGCAGCATGCTCGTTAAGAGTCATCACCAATCCCTGATCTCAAGTAATCAGGGACACAAACACTGCGGAAGGCCGCAGGGTCCTCTGCCTAGGAAAACCAGAGACCTTTGTTCACTTGTTTATCTGCTGACCTTCCCTCCACTATTGTCCCATGACCCTGCCAAATCCCCCTCTGTGAGAAACACCCAAGAATTATCAATAAAAAAATAAATTTAAAAAAAAAAAAAAAAGATTCTTTCACTCAACAACAATCAATAAGGTAGACTTCTGTGACCAAATGTGTGAGGATTTCTCCCCACCAACAAACAAGCAATCAATTCTGCAGCAGACACCAAGTGGGTATCCTCCAATTCGAGTCTGACATTATCTACCTGGAGAAAGCGTCAGATCTCACAGGTTGATGGCTCAGTCCCACAAGACTGCCCCCTACTTCTGATGCCAATCACAAGCCACAGGTTGTTTTACCTGTGCTTCTAACTGACTGGATATAAATTGGGAATCTCATGAGCCCCTCTTTGGGTTCAGTTAATTTGCCAGAGTGGCTCACAGAACTCAGGTAATCAAATTTACTAGTTTATTATAAAGGATATACAGATGAAGAGATACACATGGCAAGGCATGCCCTCCCTGGGAACACCACTCTCCAGGAACTTCCTTTTGCTCCTATCCAGCAGCTCTTCGAACCCTCTCCTCTTGGGCCTTTTATGGAAACTTCATTGGATAGGCATGACTGACATCCGTGTAGAAATGTGACTGGACAAAAAAGATATGATCTAATACTAATAGACTGGGGAAACCCAGCAAGGCCTGTCCAGATTCTTCCTGGCCTCTCTGGGTAGCATTCCTTTCTCCAGGGTATGGGGTAGGAACTCTTCTGAAATGAAAGTCTTATGACCCATAATCAGAAAGGCAGGGGAAGATTAGAGTCCTGCTTTGGGCAGGTGAAAGGAGGGCAGAAGGCCAGAGAGAGATTCTGTTTTCTGAGGCTTGCTTCAAGAGCTCCAACATTATAACGAAAGCTAGGGGAGTTATGAGCTAGGAACCGTGGACAAAAACTAACATACATATATCACAATATCACAGATACTCAACCTGTACTGCTGGCATAAGGATAAATTAGTACAATTTTATGAAGGCAATAGGTATTAAAAGCTTTAAAAATACTTATCCTTAAAAGAACTAACCACAAAATACAAACATAGCCAATTGGCACATAAAAATAGGCTCACCATCATTAGTCATGGGGAAATGGAAATTAAAATGCACATCACCAGGGGAAGAGAACCAATACGGAATCAGTTGACAGACAAATCTCAAGTATAAATTCAGAGAAAAGAGAAGGAGAAAATAATATATAACATCATAGCATTCATGAAAAATGTCAACCTTTTACTCTGAAATACTTTTAGACTTACAGAAAATCGCAAAAATGGTAGAGTTCTCCTACTCCCAGTTTCCTGATGTTAACATCTTACTTAACACAATTACCAAAATTTAAAAATGAACATTGGCATATTATTAACTACATACTTTACTGCCCCCCAATCTGTGGCATTTCCTCGGTTGTTCCTTGTTTTTCATGACCATGACACTTTTTTTTTTTTGAGACAAAGTCTCGCTCTTGTCCCCCCGCCAGGCTGCTTTAAATACTACTGATATTTGACTTCCACAACTATATATACTAACTTAATTGGTATGGGTATGACCTGGGCATGAGTTTTTTGTTGTTGTTGTTGTTTTTGAGTTAGAGTTTCGTTCTCGTTGCGCAGGCTGGAGTGCAATGGCACAGTCTCGGCTCACTGCAACCTACGCCTCCCGGGTTCAAGCGATTCTCCTGCCTCAGCCTCCTGAGTAGCTGGGATTACAGGCGCACGCCACCACGCCCGGCTAATTTTTGTATTTCGAGTAGAGACTGGGTTTCACCATGTTGGCCAGGCTAGTCTCTAACTCCTGACCTTAGGCGATCCACCCACCTCGGCCTCCCAAAGTGCTGGGATTACAGGCGTGAGCCATCGCGCTCGGCCTAGCATGGGGATTTTTTTTTTTCCTAGACAGAGTCTCCGTCTGTCACCCAGGCTGAAGTGCAGTGGTGAGATCTCAGCTCACTGCAACCTCCATCTCCCGGTTTCAAGTGATTCCTCTGCCTCATCCCCATTAGCTGGGACTACAGGCGCGTGCCACCCCGCCCGGCTAATTTTTTGTATTTTTAGTAGAGACGGGGTTTCACCGTGTTAGCCAGGATGGTCTCGATCTCCTGACCTCGTGATCCGCCCGCCTCGGCCTCCCAAAGTGCTGGGATTACAGGCGTGTGCCACCGCGCCAGGCCGGGGATTTTTAAAAGCTCTCCAGGTAATTCCAATATGCAGCAGTTTGGGAGCCAAGACCTAAATAAGACAATCGAAACACCAGCAATCCATGATTTAAATACGAGAAACACAGGTTATACAGTTGAGTGAGCACCCAACTGTATTCTAAAAAAAGTTTTTCAAAAACTAACATTCACCTTGAAAAAAAAAACGTCTTACAACTGCAAAGCAGGAAGGTGAGTGGAAAGAAAAATAATTAAAATCAGAGCAGTCAAAGCATTAATTCCTTATAAATTCCAATCGACCACGCCTAAAACAGGCAGAATGTGATACTTTAAACATTTACAAGTTAAAACTATAACATGCCAGAAGTCCCTCTACTTTGAAGTGGCTTTTCAGTAGTACTGGAACAGACTGAGCCAACAAATAGTATTGTAACACAAAAAAACACAGGCTAAGCACCATATTAGATCCAAATACCAGAAGTGGAGCAAGAATAGGAAGCAGTGATTTATGTTCAGCACACAATTTACTAAGCACACAATCACAAAAACAGACATGCAGACTTTAACAGATAATAAAGCTGTTGAGGTTTTCCGTTTATGTATTTACTGGAGAAAGCAAGAGCTTTATTTATTTATTTTTGAGACGGAGTTTCGCTCTGTCGCCCAGGCTGGAGTGCAAAGGCGCGATCTCGGCTCACTGAACCTCCGCCTCCCGGGTTCAAGCGATTCTCCCACCTCAGCCTCCCGAGTAGCTGGGATTACAGGCGCGCACCGCCACGCCTGTATAAAAATACTAAAAATGCAAACATAATTTTTGTATGTTTAGTAGAAACGGGGTTTCACCATGTTGGTGAGGCTGGTCTCGAACTCCTGACCTCAGGTGATCCGCCCGCCTCCGCCTCCCAAAGTGCTGGGATTACAGGCGTGAGCCACCGCGCCCGGCCAAGAGCTTTATAAAGATGGAAAATGAAGAAGACTTTCTGCCCAAGCCATGCTTTTGGATAAGGATTACACTACTTTGAAACCTTATACATAGCACTTGGCCAATTATCAAAACTGCACAAACCTTCACTGATTGCAATTATTCCCTTTAAACATCTCGAGTTACCCCAATCCGCACAAAACAAGTTTAGTGCCCACCAGGTAATAATACATCCAGGAAAGTAATTCCAAGAGAGAGGTTTAACAACTACAGGGAAAAACATACTTTTTTCTACAAGAAAAATCTTAGAAGACAGTACCAGGGCCTTATCCCTGTTAGCATGATTTATATTTCACGCAACCTTGGCCCAGTCACTGCTACATTATAAAACCAATAGCCAAGGCAACATAGAAAGTCTGAACACAGTGACAGCGAACGGTTCTAAATTTTCTTACCAAGGTAACAAACACCTGGCAAAACTGCCAGCAGCGGTTGCCGAAAATGCTGGGTTCGGTGCCTACTGGAAGGAAAATGGAAGGGCTCCTGAATATCTTTTCGCCTTTCTAGGAGCGGTCCAGTGAGTTTCGAGCGAGATTTATTCCCTGTGACGACGGAGAAACCGAGAAGGGATCGTAAAGGATCCTGCCCGGGCAACCGTCCCCAGCAGGGATCAGACGAGAGCGGCGCGCCCAGCAATGCAGCCGCCAGACTGAGGTCTGACAGCGCGCCCGCTGCGAAGGGCCGTTGACGCGGCTGCGCACCGCGGCCCTTCCGCCTCCCGCCCCGCCCACCTAGGCTCAACCTGCACACGGGAGCCGCCACTTCCGCGGGCGCGTGCGCAGTGGCGGGCCGGGCGCGTGCGCAGCGCCGGCTTCTTCCCAGCGCGAGTTGCTGCTAACGCTCCTCCTCCAGCTTCCCACCCCCGCCGCCCGCCGCGGCCCGGTACCAACGGGTGGTCTCGCCGAGGGAGCTGTCGTGCCTCGTGGTCCCGGGACTGCAGTGGTGTGCGCTCTCGGCGCGTGGCGCTAGGCATGGCGATGGATCAAGTAAACGCGCTGTGCGAGCAGCTGGTGAAAGCGGTGACGGTCATGATGGACCCCAACTCCACCCAGCGCTACCGGCTGGAAGCCCTCAAGGTAGCTGGGGTCCTGGCGTCCTGGGCCGGTCCCGACACCCTCTCCCAGCCCCAGCAGCTCCGGCGCCGCCTGTAACTGGGGTAGTCTCCCGCCCACGCGGCCCCTGGACCTCCTTTCCCAACTCCCCGGGACCTTCCCCTCGCGGCCCTCCGCGCCTCTCCCAAATCGCCGCCTTCTCTACTCGCCGCTCCTGTCCTTTGCCTGGGACACTCCGGTCCCTATGCTGCTTCTCATCTCGCCGCAGCTTCCCACAGCCCTCTCCTCCCCCTTTCCTCGCTTCTGTGCACTCTTGTCCGCAACATGACCCTCGCCCATTTTCATTCCCCAAGCCCGACATCCCCTCGCCTTCCCGAGGCGCACGTGTAGATCCCGCCCCCAACACCAGCTTCGTTCTTTATGGTCTCTCCTGCACTAAACGTTTTCCTGCTGGCCCACTCCCCTGGCCCTGACCGAGCTCCAGCCCCTCTGGTACCCTTATGCTTATATGCTTTAACATCTCGCTAACTTTCGTTTGTGTCTTGGACATTTTCCGGGGAAATTCTCGCACCCCTACTTCTCCCATGTTTTTGAGTGTAATATTTTTAGGCTATTTTGCGCAAAGATAACTTCTACCACTTACTTTGCATTTTAACAAGGGCACTTTGGTTTCCTGAAAGTAGTTTGCGTGAGACCCGAATGCTCTGCTCTTGGGACTGACTTATGTTGCAGTTTGGGGGTGTTAATACAATTCAAGCTTACTTGCCCATAAAACAACGTGTGTGGGCTGTGAGAAATGGCCATTTAGGAGAAAATACTTGTGCTGTACATTTTTAAAGTGATGTTAACTTCAAAAAAGAGAGTGACCACCACTTGGAGGAAATGTTACAATATGTAGATGTCTGCCACAGGGTTTGGAATCAGAAACAATTGGGTTCCATTAGTTTGGTTTTTATTATTAATATTTAAAATAGACACAAAAGTGGAGAGAATACGACAGTGATTCTGCATGTTCCTGTCACCTAAATTCAGCAATCAAAGATTTTACCGCATTTACTTTTTCCACCGCCTATCCTCTCTCCCTGCCTCGAAGGTTTTTAAAAGAAACCCTAGAAATTGTTATTTCACCCCTATGTACGTCAGGGGGATGTCTCTAACAAATAATTTCTTATTCCTTTGTGTCCATTTTTTTCCAACACTAGTAGGGCTACTGTTGGCCGTAGCATGGAAAAAATCTGGAACCATCACGCTGGAAGGAATGTTTATCAGTTCTTTATTCATAATATATATATAATATATACACATAAAATAGAGTGAACACCACTTGGAGGAAATGTTATATATGTGTAACTTTTATATATTTTATATTTTTATTTTTATATTAAATATATATTTTTAAAGCAACTGTGCTTGGAGATCCACATAATATTGATCTAGGTTTTGCAACTTTAAACATATAGCTTAGGTTGGAGTTTCTTTTTGAGTAGGGTCTCACTCTGGTTGTCCAGGCTGGCGTGCAGTGGTGAGATCTCGGCTCACTTCAGCCTTGATTTCTCGAGCTCAAGTGATTCTCCTACCACTTCAGCCTCCTGAGTAGCTGGGATTACAGGCACCTGCCACCATGCCCGGCTAATTTAAAAAAATATTTTTAGTGGGCCGGGCACAGTGGCTCACGCCTGTAATCCCAGCACTTTGGGAGGCCAAGGCAGGTGGGTCACCTGAGGTCAGGAGTTCAAGACCAGCCTGGTCAACATGATGAAACCTTGTTTCTACTAAAAATACAAAAATTAGCTGGGTGTGGTGGCGTGCACTTGTAGTCCCAGCTACATGGGCTCAGGAGGCTGAGGCAGGAGAACTGCTTGAACCTGGGAAGCAGAGGTTGCAGTGAGCCGAGATCATGCCATTGCATTCCAGCCTGGGCGACAGAGTGAGACTCCGTCTCAAAAAAAAAAAAAAAAAATATATATATATATATATATTTAATAGAGATGGGGTTTCGCCATGTTGCCTAGGCTAGTCTCAGACTCCTAGACTCAAGTAGTCCACCCATCTCAGCCTCCCAGAGTGCTGGGACAGGTGTGAGCCACCGCACCCGGCCCTGGTTGGAGTTTCTTAAGATGAAATTCTTTTAGTCCCTATTCTCTCAGCCCTCGAAAGGAAACACTAACTTTTCTTCTTTCAGTTTTGTGAGGAGTTTAAAGAAAAGTGTCCTATCTGTGTCCCCTGTGGCTTGAGGTTGGCTGAGAAAACACAAGTTGCCATCGTCAGACATTTTGGCCTTCAGATCCTGGAACACGTTGTCAAGTAAGGAGCTCTTGGACATTACCACTGAAGTCTGAGAGAACAGATCTTTATATCTTATATAACCTATAGAGATGCTGTTTAGGTGAGTAGAGAAGAGCAATCTCCAAGAAGAGAGGAATGATCCCCTAGATGTTATCAGAACCTCACAGGAGCTCTCATTCAAGATTTAACCTTTCTTTTCTTCAGTTTCTTCATCCATGTAAAGTGTGTGGTACATATTACCCATTCAACAAATATTACCTGCCATTTAGCCAATACTTACTGAGCTCTGACTATATGTCATTAGCCCTCGAAGCCTTTTTAGAGTAATGCAATGTATAGGTCAATGAATCTCTGATTAGGCACTGTGGCTTTCTTTTTTCTCTCTGTCTTTCTGAGTTTGTGTGCCTTCTCTGGGTGGTACATCCAAAGCAGGATTGTATGAGAATAACTGAAAACCCATCCTAACTTGATTGTCCTACCCTCAACACCTATCAGAAGAGGTAGCCTTTAAGACTTAGCCATAGTTTTTCCAGAATTGTTTTGTAAGCCAGCACAGAAAATGACTGATGTCAAAACTGCATTTTCTGAAAAGCAAGTACATTGTTGCAGTTGACCTAGATGTATATTCACTTTTGGCCCATCAATAAAATCATGAGGCAAAGCTGACGTGTGGTACAAATCTTGTGCGGATTCCAGTTAATGGACCACTGCATATATAAAACCTTTTCCCAAGAATTTTTGTGTTAGTATTTTGGTTAAATGTAGATCATTTTTGCCCATTCATTGACAGGTACAAAATCAAAAGTATAATTTCTTAATGAAATCTCCAGTGTAATCAAATGTAGAAATCCATGCTATTCTCTTGTAAAGACAAGACTTCTAAAGTGGTTCTATTGACTTTATGCATTTTGGTGGTCAGGTTTCGGTGGAACGGCATGTCTCGATTGGAGAAGGTGTATCTGAAGAACAGTGTCATGGAGCTGATTGCAAATGTAAGGAATGGGTGGTTGGGAGACATGTTTCCAAGGTAGTTTAGGCAAAGCGTGACTTCTTCAATAGGGAGTTTGTGTAAAAATTCACTGCTTCTAAATAGGTCAGACAGCACAAGAAATCATAATTTAGGCCAGGCACAGTGACTCACACCTGTAATTCTAGCGCTTTGGGAAGCCAAGGTAAGAGGATCACCTGCATCTAAGAATTCGAGAGCAGCTTGGGCAATGCAGTGAGACCCCATCTCTACCAAAAATGCAAAAATTAGCTGAGCGTGGTGGCGCATGCCTGTGGCCCAGCTACTCAGGAGGCTGAGGTGGGAGGATTTTCTGAGCCCAGGAGGTCCAGGCTGCAGTGAGCTGTGATGGTGCCATGGCACTCCAGCCTGTGCAACAGAGCAAGACCCTATCTCAAAAACAAAACAAAACAAAAGCAGAAAGCATAATTCAGCATATGTCTCTTACTAGGTTTAATTAATCATGCTTATGTATTGACTTCTATTTTTTAAATTATAAAGACAGGGCAGAGGGGATTAAATATTTTCAACAAATCAATAAGATTCTTAGATCTAAATTAGATTGAAACACTATTTTCTTTTATTCCAAACAACTACTATGTGATACTAATGATGAAAAACATGCAGAATTTTAAGTATGCAGAATGAATTTGTTTCAAGTATTAGAATATGACTTTTTTTTTTTTTTGAGACAGAGTCTCTGTTGCTCCGGCTGGATTGCATTAGCATGATCATAGCTCACTGCAGCCTCGAACTCCTGGGCTCAAGTGATCTTCTCGCCTTAGCCTCCCAAGTAGCTGGGATTATAGGCATGTGGTACCATGCCCAGCTAATTTTGTTTTTGGTTTTTAGAGAGACAGGGTCTCACTGTGTTTCCCAGGCTAGTCTGGTCTCAAACCCCTGGCCTCAAGCAATCCTCCCACCTTGGCTTTCCAAAATGCTGAGATTACAGGTGTGATGACTGGATGACTGTCTCTTTAAACACAAAACAGAATATGACTTTAAACATGTTCAAAATTGTAGCCTTTTTTCTTTCTTGGTTTTTTTTAAATAACAGACATGAGAGATGGGATCTTCTAATACTTCTGCGTCTTCTAGTGTTAGAACTATTGGTAAAATATTCATTTGCCCCTTCATACCCTTCCATTTTACCAGCTACTCACTATACTCCTTATTTCTATACTCTTCCTCCCTGGCCTTCTGCAAACTGAAACAATCAATATGAGAATCTTTTCATTTTGTAAAGAATAATGATGTCATCCTAGCTCTCGATATGACAGCCTTTTAGGTGATGCAACCCTCACTTAAGCTTTAAGCGGAAGAGTGATTAGCAAGAATGCAGGACAAGTGACTCAGGCTGAAGAACAGGTTCATTTGTTCTGTTTGGTTTAAAAGTAGGCCTGCTGATAAATTTTTTACAACTCTACAGCCCAGCTTTTTTCTGGAAGTCTGGAATCCAGTCTTGCATATCTCTTAATATCTCTTGTTCTTTTTCAGGGAACATTGAACATTTTGGAAGAGGAGAACCATATTAAAGATGCTCTGTCTCGAATTGTAGTGGAAATGATCAAGCGAGAGTGGCCACAGCATTGGCCTGACATGCTAATAGAATTGGACACTCTTTCCAAACAAGGGGTATGAAACACAGCTATATCAGTTTGGTATACTTTTCCTTGGAACAAACTTCAGGGTTTGTTGTTTGATTTTGTTTGTGGGTTTTTTTTTTTGGCAACAGAAAATAGCCTTTGGATATACATAAAATGAAAAGATATTTTAGTTTTTAACTAGCTTATTTCTATTGGTGTAGGAAACACAGACAGAATTGGTGATGTTTATCCTTTTGCGACTGGCAGAGGATGTAGTGACTTTTCAGACACTTCCCCCTCAAAGAAGAAGGGACATCCAGCAAACATTAACCCAGAACATGGAAAGGATCTTCAGTTTTCTGCTTAACACACTTCAAGAAAATGTAAACAAGTATCAGCAAGTGGTAAGGGATACCCCTACCTATAACATTTCTATTTTCCAATATGAGTGTTTTTGATTAATCTTACAGTAAGGAACTAGGGTGTCTAGGTCAGCAAAATGAAATCCTATTTTATAAGCAAAAAAATAAAAAACTAGGAAATGACAGAAAAACTGGAGCTCATTTTCTTTCTTTTTTTTTTTTTTTTTTTTTTGAGACGGAGGCTCGCTCTGTCACCTAGGCTGGAGTGCAGTGGTGTGATCCCGGCTCACTGCAACCTCTGCCTCCCAGGTTCAAGCGATTCTCCTGCCTCAACCTCCCAAGTAGCTGGGACTACAGGCGCCCGCCACCAGGCCCGGCTGATTTTTTGTATTTCTAGTAGAGACGGGGTTTCACTATGTTAGCCAGGAAGGTCTTGATCTCCTGACCTCATGATCCGCCCGCCTCCCAAAGTGCTGGGATTATAGGTGTGAGCCACGGCACCTGGCCTTTTTTAAAAAAAAAAAAAAAAAAAAAAAAAAAGATAGGGATCTCGGCTTACTGCAGCCTCCACCTCCTGGGATTACAGGCATGTGCCACCACACCTGGCTAATTTTTGTATTTTTAGTAGAGATGGAGTTTCGCTGTGTTAGCAAGGCTAGTCTCAAACTCCTGACCTCAGGTGGTCTACCCACCTTGCTCTCCCAAAGTGCTGAGATTATAGGTGTGAGCCACCGAGCCCAGCCCTAGGTGTTATTCTTAATTTTATTTTCAGAAGTTCTTTAGGAAAATACTAATTTTTTTTTTTTTTTTGGAGAGGGAGTCTCACTCTGTCACCCATGCTGGAGTGCAGTGGCACAATCTCGGCTCACTGCAACCTCCGCCTCCTGGGTTCAAGCGATTCTCCTGCCTCAGCCTCCCGGGTAGCTGAGATTACCGGTGCCTGCCACCATGCCCGTCTAATTTTTGTATTTTAGTAGAGATGGTGTTTCACCATGTTGGTCAGGCTGGTCTTGAACTCCTGACCTCAAATAATCCGCCTGCCTTGGTCTTCCAAAGTGCTGGGATGGTAGGCGTGAGCCACCGCGCCTGGCCTAATTTTGTATGCTTGTAAGTTAACATTATGTGCCTTTGTATGGATTTGAAATATAAGGATAAAAATCAACCATATTTGTATATTCACTGAATAGCCACTATTCTGATGTATTTAACATCATATATATATGTATTTTTTTTTGTTGTTTTTTTTTTTTTGAGACGGAGTTTCACTTTTGTTGCCCAGGCTGGAGTGCAGTAGTGCAATCTTGGTTCACTGCAACCTCTGCCTCCCGGGTTCGAGTGATTCTTCTGCCTCAGCTTCCCAAGTAGCTGGGATTACAGGCATGCGCCAGCACACCGGCTAATTTTTGTAATTTTAGTAGAGATGGGGTTTCACCATGTTGGCCAGACTGGTCTCAAACTCCTGACCTCAGGTGATCCACCTGCCTTGGCCTCCCAGACTGCTGGGATTACAGGCGTGAGCCACCACGCCTGGCCAACATCCAGTATTTTTGAGTACATGGTTTTCATATACTTAGGCTATACATACATGTTCATGAATTGTATTCATTTAATTATGCTTCTGACTTTACTTGTTCTCCCTAGGGGAATATCAGTTATGCGTGCTTAGTAAAGTTGTGTTATTTTCCAAGATGAAAAATTGCATATATTTAAGAATCATTATTCAAGGGCATTGATTTGTGGGGGGTAGAAAGTTATTATGTGGCCTTTTGCTCATTAAAAACACTGGATCTTTATACTTCCTTTCAGAAGACAGATACTTCTCAGGAGTCAAAGGTAAGAGCTCTTTATAAAGTTTGAAGGAGACCTTTGAACCTTTCAGGTGAGGGGATACGTGCCCCTAGTGGATGGTGACCTCAGCCTTGCTTGTGTTGTATTGTTTTGGAGACAGGTCTTACTGTTGCCCAGGCTGGAGTGCAGTTGTGTGGTCTCAGCTCACTGCAGCCATGACCTCCCCAGCTCAAGTGATCCTCTCACCTCAACTTCATGAGTAGCTGGGAATATAGGTGCGCACCACCATGCCCAGCTAATACTTTCTATAGAAACAGGGTCTCAGTGTGTTGCCTAGGCCGGTGTCAAACCCCTGGCTTCAAGTGATCCTCCAGCCTCGACCTCCTGAAGTGACTGTGGGCCACTGCATCTGTCGTTTGTTTTTTTTGTTTGTTTTTGTTTTTGTTTTTGAGACGGAGTCTCGCTCACTTGCCCAGGCTGGAGTGCAGTGGCGCGATCTCGGCTCACTGCAAGCTCTGCCTCCTGGGTTCACGCCATTCTCCTGCCTGGCCTCCCGAGTAGCTGGGACTACAGGTGCCCGCCACCACACCCAGCTAATTTTTTGTATTTTTAGTAGAGACGGGGTTTCACCATGTTAGCCAGGATAGTCTCAATCTCCTGACCTCATCATCCGCCCTCCTCAGCTTCCCAAAGTGCTGGGATTACAGGTGTGAGCCACCATGCCCAGCCTGTCCTTTGTTCTGTTTTTGATCACTGAGCTATGGTTGAAGGGAAGTAAAAAAAAAAAACAAAAACAGACTTACTTTTTTTTTTTTTTTTTGACACAGGGTCTTACTTTGTCACCCAGGCTAGAGTACAGTGACGCAAACGTGGCTCACTGCAGCTTCAGCCTCCAGGCTTCAAGTGAGCCTTACCTCAACCTCATGAGTAGCTGGGACTATAGATGCACACCATCATGCCTGGCTAATTTTTGTATTTTTTTGGTTAGGGTATTTTTTTTATTTTATTTTATTTTTTGTTTTTTTGGTAGACACTAGTTTTGCCATGTTGCCCAGGCTGTTGTTTTAACTCCTGGGCTCAGTTGATTCACCCACCTTGGCCTCCCAAAGTGCTGGTATTGCAGGTGTGTGCCACTGCACCCAGCCTTGGGAAGTAAAATGATAAGATTTGGGGTTTTGTGAAAAAGATAAAATGGCCACACATGCCAGTATGGTCTTGTTGTTGGATGTTGAGAATGTCATTGTTTGAGAAGTGATTGTGTTCCCTACCTGTGACTGTTACATGAGTATATTCTTAAAAAATAATTTTCTTAGAATTAGAAAATGGGAGTTCAGTTATAACCACTGATTCCTTACCTGTTACCGAGGACTTCATGGTCCAAAGTTACTTCTTTTCTGGTAGGCGCAAGCAAACTGTCGAGTAGGAGTTGCAGCACTGAATACTCTAGCAGGCTATATTGACTGGGTGTCTATGAGTCACATCACTGCTGAAAACTGTAAACTCCTGGAGATACTGTGTTTGCTGTTGAATGAACAGGAACTTCAGTTGGGAGCCGCTGAGTGTCTTCTCATTGCAGTCAGCAGAAAAGTAAGTTACCACTTCAAACTGACTTATCCTCAGTCTCTGAAGTAGGCTGTGTATGTGTTTAATTGCATGTTGTGGCAGAAAGTCATTTAAAGGTTTGGGTTTTTTTCCTTGGGGCCAACTTACTGCCTGCTTCCAACCCCCTTGGACAGGAGTTTGCCAATATTCAAGGGATCCTTTGGCAGAATGTGGAGATTTATCAGGCTGCATGGTTCTTGAAATAGCCATGATACTTGGCAATTTACAGTTAACAGATAAAAGTAAATGTTTAAGTTTAAAGCTCACTTAATGAATGTCAAGGAATCTTGGATGGTGGCTACAGTAGGTTTATATCTGTCTTTTTTTTTTTTTTTTTTTTTTAATTGAAACAGTCTTGCTCTGTCACCCAGGCTGGAGTGCAGTGGCGTGATGTTGGCTCACTGCAACGTCCGCCTTCCGGGTTCAAGCGATTCTCCTGCCTCAGCTTCCCGAGTAGCTAGGACTATAGGCACACGCCACCATGCCCGACTGATTTTTGTATTTTTTAGTAGAGATGAGGTTTTGCCATGTTAGCCAGGCTCTTCTCGAACTCCTGAGCTCAAGTGATCTGCCCTCCTCAGCCTCCTAAAGTGCTGGGATTACAGGCGTGAGCCACTGCGCCAAGCCTATGTCTGTCTTGGCTAACCAATGGAACTGTGACTCTTTTCTCCATAGGAATATTATCTACAAATGTAATTTACTTTGCTGTCATATCAGCATTATTGCCCAACACATTTATTTATTTATTTATTTATTTTTTGAGATGGAGTCTCGTTCTGTTGTCTAGGCTGGAGTGCAGTGGCGCAATCTCAGCTCAGTGCAACCTCTGCCTCCCGGGTTCAAGCAATTCTCCTGCCTCAGCCTCCTGAGTATCTGGGATTACAGGCGTGTGCCACCACACCCAGCTAATTTTTGTATTTTTTAGTAGAGATGGGGTTTCACTATGTTGGCCAGGCTGGTCTCGAACTTTTGACCTCAAGTGATCCACCTGCTTTGACCTCCCAAAGTGCTAGGATTACAGGTGTGAGCCACGGCACCTGGCCTAATTTTTGTATTTTTAGTAGAGACAGGGTTTCACCATGTTGACCAGGCTGGTCTCGAACTCCTGATCTCAGTTGTTCCGCCTGCCTCGTCCTCCCAAAGTGCTGGGATTACAGGCATGAGCCACCGCACTCGGCCTGCCGAACACATTTAAAAATGTAAGTTTATGCTTTTTCACTAAACTGATAGTTTTGAGAAAAAATATGTAGTTTATCCAGATTTGGTTTTAAAGAGTTGGGCTTCTTTCTAGTGTTTCACTAAACCCTGGGGTATATAAGAAATTATGAAGTCAATATATTTGATTATATACTTACAGAAGATGTCGGTACTTTGAAGTATAGTTTATATGACTATGTTTCCCTAAAATTGGGTCTAGGGCAAGTTGGAAGACCGGAAGCCCTTGATGGTCTTATTTGGAGATGTTGCCATGCATTATATACTCTCCGCCGCACAGTGAGTATCTTTACTTTTCAGTGTGTTTTCTAATTTCTTTGTCATTTTTCTATCTTATTTGGATTTATCTGAAGTTCTTTTTTTTTTTTTTATTTTGAGATGGATCTCGCTCTGTCACCCAGGCTGGAGTGCAGTGGCGCGATCTTGGCTCACCACAACCTCCGTCTCCTGGGATCAAGCGATTCTCCTGCCTCAGCCTCCCGAGTAGCTGGGATTACAGGCGCACCACCATGCCTGGCTAATTTTTCTATTTTTAGTAGAGACAGGGTTTTGCCGTGCTGACCGCTCTGGTCTCAAACTCTTGACCTCAGGTGGTCTACCTGCCTCAGCCTCCCAAAGTGCTGGGATTACAGGAGTGAGCCCCTGTGCCCACCTGAAGTTCTTACTTAAATGCTAGCTGTCAATCGACAGTGTTTTTGGATAAGAAAATGAGGCATTGGCCAGATGTGGTGGCTCACACCTGTAATTCCAGCACTTTGGGAGTCCAAGGCAAGTGGATCACTTGAGGCCAGGAGTTTGAGACCAGCCTGGCCAACACGGTGAAACCCCATCTCTACTAAAATACAAAAATTAGCCAGACCTGGTGGCGCACGCCTGTAATCCCAGCTACTCAGGAGGCTGAGGCAGGAGAGTATCTTGAACCTGGGAGGCAGAGGTTGCTGTGAGCTGAGATCACACCACTCTACTCCAGACTGGGCAACAAAGTGAGACTCTGTCTCAAAAAAAAAAAAAAAAGAGAGAAAATGAGGCAGTCATGGCTGAATGTGCTAGCTAACATTTGTAACCTCAGCACCTGGGGAGGCCAAGGCGGGAGGATTGATTGAGTCAGGAGTTTGAGACCAACCTGAGCAACATGGCAAGAGTCCATCTCTACAAAAAAATACAGAAATTAGTCGGGTGTGGTGGTATGTGTACTTGTAGTCCCAGCTACTCAGAAGGCTGAGGTGGGAGGGTCACTAGAGCTGGGAAGTCCAGGCAATCGTGAACCATGATCATGCCACTACACTCCAGCCTGGGCAACAGACTGAGACCTTGTCTCAAAAAAATAGTTTTTAAAAGTTTATAAAGTTAAAAAGTTACAGTAAGCTAAAGTTAATTCATTATTGAAGAAAGGAAGTTTTTTTTTTTTTGAGATGGAGTTTCGCTCTTATTGCCCAGGCTGGGGTGCAATGATGCGATCTCAGCTCACTGCAACCTCTGCCTCCCGGGTTCAAGCGATTCTCCTGCCTCACCCTCCCAGGAAGCTGGGATTACAGGCATGCACCACCATGGCCAGCTAATTTTGTATTTTTAGTAGAAACAGGGTTTCTCCCTGTTGGTCAGGCTGGTCTTGAATTCCTGATCTCAGGTGATCCACCCACCTCAGCCTCCCAAAGTACTGGGATTATAGGCATGAGCCACCGTGCCCGGCTGGAAAATTTTTTAAATAAATTTAGCGGGCCAGGTACGCTGGGTCATGCTTGTGATCACAGCACTTTAGGAGGCCAAGGCAGATGGACCACCTGAGGTCAGGAGTTCAAGACCAGCCTGGCCAACATGGTGAAACCCCATCTCTACTAAAAGTACAAAAATTAGCCGGGCGTGGTGGTGCATGTGTGTATTCTTAGCTACTTGGGAGGCTGAGGCAGGAGATCGCTTGAACCTGGGAGGCGAAAGTTGCAGTGAGCCAGGATTGTGCCCCTGCACTCCAGCTTAGGCAACAGAGTGAGACTCCATCTCTAAATAAATAAATAAGTTTAGTTTAGCCTAAGGGTACAGAATTTATAAAGTCTACAGTAGGGTCCAGTAATGTCCTAGGCTTCCACATTCACTCACCACTCACTCTGGACCCACCCAGTACAGTTTTCTGTCCTGCAGTCATTCATGGTAAGTGCCTTCTACAGGTATACCATCTTTTATCATTTATACCATATTTTTACTGTACCTTTTCTGTATTTAGATACACAAATACTTACCATTGTGTTACAGTTGCCTGCAGTATTGGCTACGGTAACATGCTATAGAGGTTTGTAGCCTAGGAGCAATAGGCTATGCTATATAGCCTAGATGTGTAATAGGCTATTCCTGTTGTGTAAGTTTGTGTAAGTACACTCTATCATGTTCAAATGGTGATAAAATCACTTAACGATGCATTTCTCAGTACACATCCCCAGTCGTTAAGTGATGCATGACTGTAAGGGCTTCCATGTACTTTCTTCCAGTTGCTCTAGAAAATACTAAAGCAAGGCCGGGCCCAATGGCTCATGCCTGTAATCCCCATATTTTGGGAGGCCAAGCCGTGAAGATTGCTTGGACCCAGAAGTTCAAGACCAGTCTGGGCAACATGGCAAGACCTCATCCCTACAAAAAATCAAAATGAAAATAAATTAGCTGCGTATGGTGGCATGCGCTTTATAGTCCCAGCTACTTGGGAGGCTGCAGTGAGAGGATCCCTTGAAGCCCATTAGTTTGAGGCTTCAGTGAGCCATATTTGAGCCACTGTACTCCAGCCTAGGTGTGACAGCGAGATCGTGTCTCAAAAAAAAAGAAAAAATATTAAAGCATTTCTTGATAACATGTTTCTTACCAGGAAGTCAGGCAGAACTATATATTATAAGTAGTTGAATCTGTTGCAACACCATCTTTTTGATACTCTTTACTTTTGGTCCCAAGGAGAAATGAAAAGGTATGAGGCACATGTGTTTTACTTAAAATCTCTTACTACCCATTCTAATACACATTTTTCATGGCTTCCTTCCCTGTAGAGACTGCAGCACTGTTTTAAGGGATCCTGTTAATTAAATGAATAACGTTTTTTGGGTAGTTACTATTTTTAGGTCCAATTCTTAGTTCCATAGACATCATGACACTCATACTAAGTGGTGTCCCGTTTCTGTTTGTGCTGTGGGTGCCATACCACAACCATGGTTCATAAAGCGGTGATTCCAACCCAGGTAGTCAAACTCCAGAGATTGCATTGGACACCATAATACCATCCTGTCCTTCAATGTTCCTAAAGCCTAGGCCTCGTTTACCCCAAGGTCCTTGCCTTTTATGTGATACTGTCCTCCTCCAGAAGACAGCTAATATAGTTGCTTTTCACACTCATAGTTATTAATTGCTGTTTGTGTGAATAGTCCTATATCATTTTAGGTCAGGTTTTGCCACCAAATAAGTTAAAAAGATTTTAAAAAATTTTTAATTTAGCAAAGCTATTGGAATTCTGCTGAATTACAGACCTAACTAAATGACTTGGAGAAATGAGACACAAAGTGATGTTTTTATTACAGCCTTTTTAATTTTGTTGGTGATATAAGGAATTCTCATCTTACAGGACTGCTGATGGAGGAGGTTTGGTAGAAAAACACTACGTCTTTCTGAAGAGGCTCTGTCAGGTGTTGTGTGCGCTGGGCAATCAGCTGTGTGCATTGCTGGTGAGCTAGTGTTTGCTTTCTGGAGAGCTTCAAGCCCATTTGGGAAGAGCATTTAGAAACTTATGTTTCAATGAGGGGTTGCAAATGTCATTGATTTTAGCCTGATGGGGCAGTGCCATACAAGTTATTGCATGATTCTATAGATTAAATTATCTTAATAGAATAGTGTTTGAGTGATCTAAATTTCTTTTAACAATAAAATAGTTATACCAACGTCAGATATCCACGTCTATTATTCCATAAAGTCAACGTTGGTTTCTTGTGAATTTTGGTACTTACAGAACCTCAATCTGCTGAGTGCTTTATGCTTTTACATTCTGTTAGCCCACGAAACATGGACTTGAATAAAGAACTCTTTTCCCAATCTAAGGGATGTATTATTGGAGCACAAAAGAAAACTTGAGTCTGATTGACCTGGAAAACCTGCCATTAGAGAAATATTTAATACTCAGTCTTATAAGTTGGAAGATAGGACATTGGAACAGACATTTGCAATTGATGTTATATCTTTTTGTGGTGGTTTAAATGGTTAGAGAGGATAGTTTCAGAGATAAGCAACCATTGAGGGGGCCAGGTGCAATGGCTCATGCCTGTAATCCCAGCATTTTGGGAGGGTGAGGTGGGCAGATCACCTGAGGTCAAGAGTTTGAGACTAGCCTGGCCAACATGGTGAAACCCTGTCTCTACTAAAAATACAAAAATTAGCCAGGCGTGGTGGTGCATGCCTGTTATCCCAGCTACTCGAGAGGCTGAGGCAGGAGAATTGCTTGAACCCTGGAGGTAGAGGTTGCAGTGAGCCGAGATCGTGCCACTGCTCTCCAGCCTGAGCAACAGAGTGAGACTCCATCTAAAAGAAAAAAAAAAGAAAAGAAACTATTGAAGGGATTAGGTAATAGGTTGGGACACAGAGATGTGAATAGGTAAGGTCTGAGGAAGTAATACAGATTTTTTTTCTTTCTGTAATTTCTGAAATGAGTGTTTTTTATTTTACTGTTTGACCACAGAATGGGTTTTAATGATGATGATTGAGTAGGCAAAGTAATGATGATGATTGAGTAGGCAAAGTAACCTATATTTTAGCCCTTGAAGTGATGCCTTTCTTTAGCCAAAAGGAAATACAAAGTCCTTTTGAAACAACATTTTTTGAGGGTTTAATTTATCTGTTTTTATTACTTCCCTGCTTTTTCCTCTCCTGCTTTTCTCGATCAACACCGTTAATATAGTGGTCTTCTCCTACAGGGTGCAGATTCTGATGTAGAAACACCATCAAACTTTGGAAAATACCTGGAATCTTTTCTTGCTTTCACAACCCATCCAAGTCAGGTAAACTTTATACAGGTAACTTCTCAAAAGTTTAGTTAGGTGAACCAATGTCAAGCACTGTGTCCTGAAATATTATTGTAGATCATGTATAAAATGTGACTCTTCAGGCCTTGGGGAATGACCGTAGTGTCATTTCATTAAGAGAATTATTGGCTCTTCTTCCTGAGCCAAACAGTGCACTTGTCTAGGTCAGCAGCTTTTCCCTTTAGGTAATATTCTGATTGTACTCAGTCACATGTGAGGTGTGTCCCAGGTGGTTTAGTACTAAAGTTATAAAGATTTTTGAAACAAAAGTCTGATTAATTGTATTATAAAATTAATTTCACTCTGTTCAAAATTGTCCTTCTAATATCACTCTGAGATTCCAGTATCCTTTTTTGCAAAGAAGAGAAAGTAGTAAAATTCAGCTCACATTCCAGGTAATTTCCTTGATCCACAGCCTGTCTTACTAACATGTGGTCCATAGTGGGTGGTCATTACTGATAAATTGCAGTAGAGACAGCTTCAAAGTATTGTACAGATTTATTTCTATGAAAAAATGTAGTTGATAACTGCTAAGTAATAATCTGGGTTATATAGAATCCAAATCCTTTGACGTTTTCTTTTTTTTTTCTCTTTAGTTTCTACGCTCTTCAACTCAGATGACTTGGGGAGCCCTCTTCAGGCATGAAATCCTGTCCCGTGATCCTTTGCTATTAGCAATAATACCAAAATATCTTCGTGCTTCCATGACTAACTTGGTCAAGGTATATAATGGGAATCTAAACATGTGGAATGTAGGTGAATACACATAATAAGACTTTGAGGCTGGGTGCGGTGGCTCACGCCTATAATCCCAGCTCTATGGAAGGCTGAGGCGGGAGGATCGCTTGAGCCCAGGAGTTGGAGACCAGCCTGTGCGACATGGCAAAACCTCGTCTCTACTAAAAATACAAAAAAATTAGCAGGGCATGTTGGTATGCACCTGTAGACCCAGCTACTGGGGAGGCTTAAGGTGGGAGGATCACCTGAGCTTGGGAAGTTGAAGCTGCATTGAGCTGAGATCGCAGCACTGCACTCCAGCCTAGGCAATGAGAGTGAGACCCTGTCTCGGGGGAAACATAAAAAAGACTGATTGGCATTATTAACAGCCCTTCTTCATCACTAAGATTCCTTTACTGGACATATTTTCTTATTCCTTAGGAAGAAATCAGTCCTTACTGGTTATTATAACTGCTCTTCCATATGAGAGTACTTAATATATCATAAGTATTGGGCTAGGTGCTAGGGCAAGAGCAGTGACCATACAATGTAATAATTGCTATTCAGGGGTTAAAAGCAGAATGCTTTGGAAGTACATAGGAGGGTTGAGTCAGGAAGATTCCAAGAGGAGGCAATATCTAAGCATTGCTTCTGGAGGCCAAGTGAGAGTTACAAAGGGAAATGAGGGGAGTGAGAGTGGAAGCAAAGATTGCTCACTACCTCAGTAGAGAGTTGCTCATGAATTCCCTGCTAAGAGCTCTTGCAGTTGACAGATTGTTAATCTCAATTTGTAACATCAGAGAATGGTGCACATTCAAGGGTCCCCTTATTTTCTTAAGGAATTTGCCTAGCACATAGCACACACTGGTGTTCTGTGTTTTTTTTTGAGACGGAGTCTCACCCTGTCACCGAGGCTGGAGTGCAGTGGCACGATCTTGGCTCACTGCAACCTCTGCCTCCTGGGTTCAAGCAATTCTCCTGCCTCAGCCTCCCAAGTAGCTGGGACTACAGGTGCCCACCACCACACTTGGCTAATTTTTTGTATTTTAGTAGAGACAGGGTTTTACTGTTTTTCCCAGGCTGGTCTCAAACTCCTGAGCTCAGGCAATCCACCCGCCTCGGCCTCCCAAAGTGCTGGGATTACAGGCGTGAGCCACCGCACCCGGCCACACTGTGTTCTTATTTTCTGCCATGGTCTTCAATTCTTTTCTGAATGAAACATACAAAGTTCTACAAGTTTATTCTCAGTGTTCAGTATTTGAGGCAAGTAGCTCTCAGTTCTTTCTTCCTTACTACATACTGAATTGTCATTTTTTCTGGGGACCTTAAAAGAATTCAAGAATTTAATTCTCCCTGAGGAACTTGGAGGATGGTATCAACTAAAAGTATTCTCTTTTCTACCACTGAGGAATACTGGAACTGGGAGCAAACTGTGGACCTGTGATAGAACTGAAGTGGATATTTACCATACAATATCTCATGCAAACGCTTAACTCTTAAATAAATTAAAAGTGCTTGAACTCCTGAAGCTTAAAAACTCTTTCAGTGGGTCCACTTTCATCCCCTACCCCAATTACCTTTCTTTTTCCAGATGGGCTTTCCTTCTAAAACAGACAGCCCTAGCTGTGAATATTCTCGGTTTGATTTTGATAGCGATGAGGACTTCAATGCTTTCTTCAACTGTAAGTGATGTTGGCCTTGGATTTCTCTCAACAGTCTCAGAATGGCATCTAGTATTATGAATCATGGTGCATGGTGTTTGGGGTTTTTACGAAAGATCCCCAAATCTGGATAGCAGCCTACTTATTAGGCCCTAGTTTCCCATTGCAGAAGAGTGCTGGGGCTGTATTCCAGGCATAATATTTTGTTTTACACCACAAACCCCCACAGCACTTAGACATTGATGTTTAGGGATGGTAACCATACTTAAGACGCTCTTGACTTTTTTTCATACTTAGGATTAAATACCATCTTACCTTATGGTTATTTCTTTCCCCCAAAAAGTGGAAAAATCCATTTTATTCTAATATTCTAGTTCTGTTCTGTGTTTTCTGTGCCTTATTTCCTTTTTGTTTGTTTTTTTTTTTGAGATGGAGTTTCACTCTTGTTGCCCAGGCTGGAGTGCAATGGCGCGATCTCGGCTCACCACAACCTCTGCCTTCTGGGTTCAAGCGATTCTCCTGCCTCAGCTTCCCAAGTAGCTGGGATTACAGGCATGCACCACCATGCCCAGCTAATTTTGCATTTTTGGTAGAGATGGGGTTTCTCCATGTTGGTCAGGCTGGTCTCGAACTCCCGACCTCAGGTCATCTGCCCGCCTCAGTCTCCCAAAGTGCTGGGATTTACAGGTGCGAACCACCGCGCCCAGCCTCCTTTTTTTTTTTTTTTTTTTTTTTTTTACAGCTTTATTGAGACAAAATTCATTTACCATACAGTTCACCCACATACAGTATATAATTTAATGGTTTTTAGTATTTTTACAGAGTTGTGCAGCCATCACCACAATCAATTTTAGATTATATTTTCATCACCCCAAAAATAAATCCTATATCCACTAGGAGTCATCCCCCAATTCCCTCATCTCTCCCAGTCCTAGGCAACCAGTAATCTACTTTCTGTCTCTGTTTTGCCTATTCTGAACGTTTCATATAAATTGAATCATACATGGTCTATTGTGACTGCCTTCTTTCACTTGCATAATGTTTTTAAATTCATCCAAGTTACAACATTTATCAGTACTTGATTTCTTTTTTTTTTGAGATGGAGTCTCGCTCTGTCGCCCAGGCTGGAGTGCAGTGGCACAATCTCGGCTCACTGCAACCTCTGCCTCCCGGATTCAAGCGATTCTCCTGCCTCAGCCTCCTGAATAGCTGGGACTACACACACGTGCCATCATACCCAGCCAATTTTTTGTGTTTTTAGTAGAGACAGGGTTTCACTGTGTTAGCCAGGATGGTCTCAATCTCCTGACCTCGTGATCCACCCGCCTCGGCTTCCCAAAGTACTAGGATTACAGGCGTAAGCCACCACACCCAGCCTTTTTTTTTTTTTTTTTGAGATGGAGTCTTGCTCTGTCGCCCAGGCTGGAGTGCAATGACACACTCTCGGCTCACTGCAACCTCTGCCTCTGAGGTTCAAGCGATTTTTCTGCCTCACCCTCCCAAGTAACTGGGATTATAGGCATGCACCACCATGCCCAGCTAATTGTTTTATTTTTAGTAGAGACTGGGTTTCATCATGTTGGCCAGGCTGGTCTCGAACTCCCGACCTCAGCTGATTCACCTGCCTTGGCGTCCCAAAGTGCTGGATTATAGGCGTGAGCCACCACACCCGGCCTTCATTTCTTTTTATTGCTAATATTTCATTGTATGGATATACCACATTTACTCATTTATTCATCTGTTGATGGACATTTGAGTTATTTCCATTTTTTGGCTATTACAAATAATGCTGCTATGAACATTTATATACAAGGTTTTGTTTAGATATAAGTTTTTGTTTATCTTAGATATATAACTAGGAGTAGAATTGCTGGATAATATGGCAATTGCAAGTTTAATATTTTCAGGAACTGCCAGACTATTTTCCACAGCAGCTGCACCATTTTTTATTACCACCAACCTGATTTACTTTTTAAAAATTTTTTTTTTTTTTTTTTTGAGACATGGTCTCACTCTGTTGTCCAGGCAAGAGTGGTGCTGCGATCATGGCTCACTACAATCTTCACCTCCCTGGGCTCAGCTGATCCTCCTACCTCACTCTCCCAAGTTACTGGGACTATAGGAGCATGCCACCACACCTGGCTACTTTTTGTATTTTTTGGTAGAGACTGGGTCTCACTGTATTGCCCAAACTGGTTTTGAACTCTTGGGCACAAGCAGTCTGCCCACCTTGGCCTCCTAAAGTGCTAGGATTTCAGGCGTGAGCTACTGTGCCCAATCCTGATTTCCTTTTAATTCAAACAGAAATGGGAGACTAAGTTTAGTTTGCCACTTACAGGATCTAGCTGGTAATACAGTTTCCAGAGATCATTTATTTTCAAAAACTTCTGGATTCGTTAATAAAGTTTTATTGAGTGATTATTACATGCAAAGCACAAGTCTGCAAAACAGTTCCTTTGAATGCTTTTCCCCTAGGGTGGTAAATTAATAAACATTAAGTACTTATTTTATACCAGTTATTGATTCCTGTCCTTCCCTTGGCATTTTCTCTTGGCAGCCTCCCGAGCACAACAAGGAGAGGTGATGAGGTTGGCATGTCGTTTGGATCCCAAAACTAGCTTCCAGATGGCTGGGGAGTGGCTAAAGTATCAACTATCAACTTTTCTTGATGCTGGTTCTGTGAATTGTAAGTTTTTTTCATTACTGAATGTTAGTGAAATGTTAGGACAGTATCAAAACTATATATAGGAAATGAGCCTGAGCTATACACACATCAGAACGATATACTTATACTATTCAAAAATAGCTTTGCTCATCCTGGAGAGGGAGCGTTTTCATTGGCTGACACAAAGAAAGCAGATGACACATTTTAAATTTGTTTTAAATTAGGGTAAAACCATGTCCTTATCAGTTTTGCCATCATTTTCCATTTCTAACAGAATCAACCAATTATTTATTGTTGATTTTATTTGCTTCACTTCAGGCACCAGCTTAACAAATTTCATGCGTAGACCTAACTTTAAAACTTTTCAGCCAAAGTCTTGCATAGCACTATTCCTGAAATCAGAAAGGATCTCCTGTTAGACATAACAGGAATAATACAGGGACTTCTCATATCACTCAGCCACTCCAAAGCTTTTGTGAAATTATACTTTACATAAATTCAGAATAATCCCCCTCTACCGAATGCCTCAGCCAGTTAACTTCTCTGTACTCCAAATGTTTTGTCTCTCATCTTAATGCATGCTATATGTGTGTGACAGTATTAATAAAGCAAAAAGGCTGGATGCAGTGACTCACGCTTGTAATCCCAGCACTTTGGGAGCCCAAGGCGGGCAGATCACCTGAGGTCGAGAGTTTGACACCAGCCTGACCACCTTGGAGAAACCCTGTCTCTACTAAAAACACAAAAAATTAGCTGCCGTGGTGGCGCATGCCTGTGATCCCAGCTACTTGGGAGGCTGAGGTAGGAGAATCGCTTGAACCCAGGAGGTGTAGGTTGCGGTTAGCCGAGATGGCGCCATTGTACTCCAGCCTGGGCAACGAGAGCAAAACTCCATCTCAAAAAAAAAAAAAAAAAAAAGTGAATTAACTAGTGCACGTCACTGCTTTAGAAAAGCACCATACTACTGGCTGACATTTGAGGGACTTAACATTCAGCTTTATTTACAATTGACTCTAAATTCTCTGATATTTGGTAACTTGAAAGGTTGAGGAAGCCCAAATGTGTTGCACTAAGATGAAACTAGTAAATAGGACTACGCTGTATGTAAGCAAGAAAAGCAATTGGTAAATCTTAGGCCAGGCAGGGTGGCTCACGCCTGTAATCCTAGCACTTCAGGAGGCCGAGGCTGGGGATCACCTGAGGTCAGGAGTTCAAGACCAGCCTGGCCAACATGGCAAAACCCTGTCTCTACTAAAAACAAAAAATTAGCCAGGCGTGGTGGTGGGCCCCTTTAATCCTAGCTACTCAGGAGGCTGAGGCAGGAGAATCACTTGAACCCAGGAGGTGGAGGTTTCAGTGAGCCAAGATCGTGCCACTGCACTCCAGCCTGGGCAAAGAGCGGGACTCCATCTCAAAAAAGAAAAAAAAAAAAAAGAAAAGAAAAGCGGCTGGGCACAGTGGCTCACGCCTGTAATCCCAGCAGTTTGGGAGGCTGAGGTGGGTGGATCACAAGGTCAGGAGTTTAAGACCAGCCTGGCCAAGATGGTGAAACCTCGTCTCTACTAAAAAAAAAAAATACAAAAATTAGCCGGGCATGGTGGCAGGTGGCTGTAATCCCAGCTACTTGGGAGGCTGAGGCGGAGAATTGCTTCAACCTGGGAGGCTAATGTTGCAGTGAGCCGAGATCTCGCCACTGCCCTCCAGCCTGGGTGACAGAGGAGACTCCATCTCAAACAAACAAAAAAAGAAAAGCAGTTGGTAAATCTTTTTGCTTGTGCCTTGCTATTTGAGTGCTGTGCTGTGGTAATAGTTGTAAACTTGAAGGATGGCACCCTTCTCTAGACATAGCCCTTAAGGCTGTCATGAGGCTATTGGATGTGAAGCAGTATTTTGTATATTACATTGTTTCCTTATTGGGAAGATTCTTTATGGTCTCAATTTTAATTATTTAGATTCTCATGGAAAAGATTATAAAGGGGGAGGAGGGGAGAAACTAATTCATGTTTATCAAGTGCCTACTAATGGGCCAGGCAATGTTTTTGATGTTCACCTGCGTATTCTCATTCATTACTCAAAATGGTTTTACTACAAGGCTCATAGAGGTGAATTCAGACCGCTCATTGTTAGAGGAGGAGGAGGCATGGTAGGAACCTTCACCTACCTCATTGCTTTCAGCACACATCATCTTTTCTTTGCCCCAGCTGAGAGGGGTTAGATTACCCTGCTCCTTCAATCATGAAATTCTCAGGTGTTCTCTAAGGCTCCATTGTCTCTCTGTGTCTTCTGCGATCTTTCAATGCTGATAATTGTGTGTGTGTGTGTGTGTGTGTATGTGTGTGTGTGTGTTTTAAAGCTTGTTCTGCAGTTGGAACTGGAGAAGGAAGCCTCTGTTCCGTCTTCTCACCTTCATTCGTGCAGTGGGAAGCCATGACTCTTTTTTTGGAAAGTGTTATCACCCAGATGTTTCGAACACTAAATAGAGAAGTAAGTAATTATTTCCCATGCTGACTGCATGATTATTTTGACCTTTTTCTTTTCTTTTCTCTTTCTATTTTGGGACGCTATATCTCTCTGTTGCTCAGGCTGAAATGCAGTGGCACAATCATAGCTCTCTGTAACCTCCAACTCCTGGGCTCAAGCAATCCTCCTACCTCAGGCTCCTGAGGATCTAGAACTACAGTTACTTGCCACCACACCTGGCTAATTTATAATAAAAATGGAGTCTGTGTTGCCCAGGCTGATCTCAAACTCCTGGCCTCAAGCGACCCTCCTGCCTTGGCCTCCCAAAGTGCTGAGATTGCGGGCATGACCCACTATGCCTGGCCAGTAAACTGGTAGTAGAATAGGAAAATCTATGGATGTACATCTTACAGAAGAGGAAACAGATTTAGAGAGGCTAAATAGCATACTCAAGTTCAAACAGCTAATAAATGGCAAAATGGGGACCAAAACTCAGGTCTTTCTAACTCTAAGCACTACCACATTTAGTATACATTTTAAGTACCACACTGCTTTAGAATACTGTACGCCACCAGTATAGTGGCCACCTGTAGGTCTGAAAAGGAGGGTATGCACAGAGAGCCTCAACTGTATCAGTAAAATCATATTTCTTAAAGTAGGCAGATGAGGATTTACTAAATTATAGAGAAATAGACAAAAGATATAATCCAATAATGTATAGAGGAGAACCTAAAGTAGCTGATAAGCCGGGCGCAGTAGCTCATGCCTGTAATCGCAGCACTTTGGGAGGCCAAGGCTGGCTGATCACTTGAGTTCAGGAGTTCCAGACCACCCTGGCCAACATGGTGAAACCTTGTCTCTACTAAAAACACAAAAATTAACTGGGCATGCTGGTGCATGTCTGTAATCCCAGCTACTTGGGAGGCTGAGGTACAGGAATCGCTTGAACCCAGGAGGCAGAGGCTGCAGTGAGCCAAAATCACGCCAGTGCACTCCAGCCTGTGTGACAGAGTGGGATTCTGTCTTAAAAAAAAAGAAAAGGGTGGGGCGCAGTGGCTCAGGCCTGTAATCCTAGCACGTGGAGGCTAAGGTGGGTGGATCACCTGAGGTCAGGAGCTCAGGACCAGCCTGGTCAACATGGCGAAACCCTGTCTCTACTAAAAATACAAAAATTAGCCGGGCATGGTCATGGGTGCCTGTAATCCCAGCTACTCAGGAGGCTGAGGCAGGAGAATCACTTGAACCCAGGAGGTGGAGGTTGCAGTGAGCTGAGATCGTGCCATTGCACTGGGCAACCAAGAGTGATATATAAATAAAGTAGCTGATAAATATGAAAAACATTCAGCCTCTTGATCAGTTGAAGAAATACAAAATTTAAGAGGTTTTAGGGAATAATACACTGCTGAGAAGATGGTAAGAAGGGCACGCACAGCTGAGTACGGTGGTTCACACTTGTAATCCCAACACTTTGGGAGGCCAAGATGGGAGGAATGCTTGAACCCAGGAGTTTGAGACCAGCCTGGACAATATAGTGAGACCTCATCTCTACTAAAAATTTAAAAAATTAGCCAGGCATGGTGGTGCGTGCCAGTAGTCCCACCTACTTGGGAGGCTGAGGCCGTAGGATCACTTGAAACCAGGAGTTTGAGACCAGCCTGGTCGACATAACAACACTTCTACAACATCTCTACAAAAATTTTAGAAAGTATCCAGGCATGGTGGTGCCCGCCTGTAGTCCTAGCTACTCAGGAGGCTAAGGCAGGAGGATCCCTTGAGCTCAAGAGTTTGAGGTTACAGTGAGTGATGATTGTGCCACTGTGCACTCCAGCCTAGGTGACAGAATGAGACCCTGTCTCTTTAAAAGATGAAAATAAAATGTAGCCAAAATGGTTATTTCTAAGTGGAGGCAGCCATTGTCAACCTGTTTTATGTCTTTGTTACAGGAAATTCCTGTTAATGATGGAATAGAGCTATTGCAGATGGTTCTGAACTTTGATACCAAGGATCCCCTCATCCTGTCCTGCGTCCTTACTAATGTCTCTGCACTCTTTCCATTTGTCACCTACAGACCAGAGTTCCTGCCCCAGGTCTTCTCTAAGGTATAAAGCCCATCTCCTTTGTAAATTTTATTTTGACATTTCTAAGTTAATTTTTATTTATTTTATTTTTTTGGAGACAGGATCTTGCTACATTGCCCAGGCTGGACTCAAATTACTAGTCTCAAGGGATCCTCACACCTCACCCTTCTGAGTAGCTGAGACTACAAGCATGCACAACCATGCCTGGCCTAGGCTAATTATTTTTGTAACTATTTTTAAAATTATGTGAGGCAAACTAATAAACACAGCTATTTATTCATTTATTAAATATCTACTCAGTACTTACTGTGGATCAGGTACCATGCTAGTGCCTCACTCTTTAGGAACACTCTGGGAAGAAAGGCACAAAAACAGTTAATGTTACCTATATGGCATTGCAATGAAGACTTGTATAAAGGAGAGTATTAGAGTGTGCTGTCGGGCAGGGAGGGGATTTATGAGAGGAAGGAACACTTTCCAGGTTTCCAGTTCAGTTGACTAGGTGGGTGATAGAGCCACTCCCTGAGTCAGAATACCAGATCACAAAGGAGAACGGGACTAAAGAAGAGAAAGCATGAGTATTTTGGAATACTGTGTTTGAAGAATATGTAGAACATCTTTATGGAGACATCTCACAATAAATTGGCTATTTGAGGTTGAAGATCTAGACTCTAGAAAGTAATGAGATAAAATTAAAGCATCATCATCATAGTAGTCCCACGACTAAAAGTGAAGTCTTACTGAAGTGATTATGTATGTAGAGTTAGGAGACATGTGAGTCAAGCGAGGAACCTAGTGAATCACCATCATTGGAGGAGTGGAGAAAAAAATGAGAAGCCCCCACAGAAGGAAAAAGAGCCAGAGAAATGAAGAAAATGTTGTGTCACAAGACCAGTAGGACTTCAGAAAAGTGGGCTCATTTGTTGCAAATTATTTGAGTTGGAGAATGCCCAGTGAGTTTCTTGACTACACTCTTGTCTGAGTTTAATTCCATAATAGTGGCCAAGTAAGCAGCCATATTTCATTGGAATGAGGAGTAAATGGGAAATAATGAAATGGAATAGAAGGGATAGACCATACAACTTTTGATAAAAGAAGAGAGAGGCGTTTCCATAGCCAAGTGCTTGGGTGATGGCATGAATTGTTCTGGGATCCTATTGTAAAATGTTTTGATGGTAAAATTGTGACTCCGATGACTCTTGTAGAGGTTATCTGAGAAAATGGACAGTATGAATAAGCTCATGCCCGTAGTCCCAGCTACTCAGAAGGCTAAAGCAGGAGAATCAGTTGAGCCCAGGAATTCAAGTCTAGTCTGGGCAACATAGCAAGATCTCATCTCTAAAACAAATAAACATGAGTGACCTTTTTTCCTCCTCTCCCTTAGCTATTTTCATCTGTCACTTTTGAAACTGTTGAAGAAAGTAAGGTAAGACCATTAATTAAACCAATAGATTCTAACTTCTTGAGTACAAATGTATGAATACCTGATACTCAGTTTATATTTTTATATAAATGGGAGGGGGTAGTAAGGGTGGTAGATTATCATATATGTTGTTTTGCCACTATAGGGCATACAAGAAACATGGATTCTTGGTGGCTATAAATGTTACTCCATTATACTCTTAGGGTTGTGAAAAATCATTGTGAATTTGCCCCTGACTGAGATATTCACATGAGTCTATGCAGCACCTGTATATTATATTAAAAGCAGCTCCGAGTTTGTTGAATGTCTCTTTTCAGGCCCCCAGAACCCGGGCAGTGAGGAATGTGAGGAGGCATGCTTGTTCCTCCATCATCAAGATGTGTCGTGACTACCCCCAGCTTGTGCTGGTAAGCTGCTGGACCCTGGCTGAAGTAGCCAAGTTTGGTTACATTTGTGTGTAAATCCAGCTTTCAGTGTACCTCACATAAAGAAAAAACTAGAAACTATAGCTTTGCATCATATAAGCATCCTTGGCCGGGCATGGTGGCTCACACCTGTAATCCCAACACTTTGGGAGACTGAGGTGGGTAGATCACCTGAGGCCAGGGGTTCGGGACCAGCCTGGACAACATGGTGAAGTCCGGTCTCTACTAAAAGTACAAAAAAATTAGCTGGGCATGGTGGTGCATGCCTGTAATCCCAGCTAGTCAGGAGGCTGAGGCAGGAGAATCACTTGAACTCAGGAGGCGGAGGTTGCAGTGAGCCAAGATCACGCCATTGCTCCAGCCTGGGCAACGAGCGAAACTCCATCTCAAAAATAAATAAATAAACATTCTTGAATTGGTGTTTTCTTAGTATACTTAGTAGTATAGTTAGAAATGTGATGGCAAATGTAATCTCTCTTCAAAATACAAATAGTTCTCTGCCATATAGATTACTAAGTTTACCCCTATAATTCTACAACTCTTTACTATGTGATGATCTTAATTACTACTGCCAAATGATGTGCCTGATCTTGAGAAAAGCAGATGCAAATCACAACCCTTTTTGGGGCATGGGGTTATAAGAAATTTAACATTACTCCAGATTACAAATTATCCAGAAATTTCTTCTCTGAATGCACAGCAGTTATCTCCATATATATATAGATATACATATATATCTATATATATATATAAAACAAGCTGATCTTTTCACAGTTGTAGTATGGGAAAGTGCAGTTATCCAAATACTCAAGACAAGAGCTATCTTCCGCCTAAATTGCCTTGCTTATTTAGGCAAAATAAAGACATATAACAGAATTACCAAATAATAACCTTATAGGCCTGACTTTCCTGGGACTGCTTTGGTTTTCTTCTTTCTTCCTTGAGTAAGCCACCTCTCCTTGAAAATCAGACCTTTACCACCTCTGGCTTTTTTTCTTTTTGATCTGTAGCCCAATTTTGACATGCTTTATAACCATGTGAAGCAACTCCTCTCCAATGAGCTACTCCTGACACAAATGGAGAAGTGTGCCCTCATGGAAGCCCTGGTTCTCATTAGCAACCAATTTAAGAACTACGAGCGTCAGAAGGTGTTCCTAGAGGAGCTGATGGCACCAGTGGCCAGCATCTGGCTTTCTCAAGACATGCACAGGTAAAGGAGATCCCTTGCCCTGACTCTTACTATACTCAAGCACCCATTTTGGTTTAAGAGCTAGGCCCAGGGTGGGGTAGGGGTTAAGGATATTGAAGTGTGATGGCATTATCCATGATATCTGAAGTTCTCTAAAAGCAGTCTTTTGTAATTTAATCTCTGGTTCAATTAGATTGTGGGTGGGGAGGGCACAGAGTGAGACTCCTGTGGTGTCTGCATTGCAGCACCAGCACATTTAGAAAAATGAGAACAGCTAGGAAGGGCCATACAACCACACAGACACTTATCTGTGCTCACACAGTAGAGAAATTATTTTCTTTATATTTTGAAGATTATATTCTTGTTTAATTCTTAAATTGTTACTAATAATATTTGGGAGTGGGAAGGGAAATTTAAACCTTCAAATGACAACTGACAATTAGTATGATTATACTCCTCTCACTATAAAAACTGCTCTTAAGGGCCAAATAATGATAGCCTGTTAACTCCTGTGGAAGAAACTGTCCTTGTTTAAAGTCATGATGTAACTTGTTTTTCCCCCTCCAACCTTCAGAGTGCTGTCAGATGTTGATGCTTTCATTGCGTATGTGGGTACAGATCAGAAGAGCTGTGACCCAGGCCTGGAGGATCCGTGTGGCTTAAACCGTGCACGAGTAAGACTTTCCTGGGAATGGGAAGTGGCATTGGCCATGGGTAGGAGTAGGGTGTTGTCTTTTGTCAAGTTTCTCATAGATTTGTTTTTTCTATACTGGTGAGAAACGTGGGAGTCTCCACTTCCCTAAGCTTCTCCTTTCTTTTCTTCTTTAGTCTTGAATTCTTGAGTTAGTTCCCACAGCAGAGCAGATGGTCTTTTCTATGAAGTCATTATTTTGGCTTTAAGGATCTCTAAATAGCTCTGAAGACTGAAGGTGTAATGAGGAAGTAGGTCAGAACTTGGTCAGCAGGGTGAGTCCTCCCTGCCATTGCTCTCTGGCATGTAAAGTCTTAAGTGATGGCTTAACTTGCAAACCTGAGATTTTTCAGTGCTTTGCTATTTAAATAAGCATTGTTCCTGGCTCCATTATGGCACAAGTCCCATTAATTAACCTGGCAAGTAGTAGGTTGATTCAGAGTACCGTGAGGGGGGATTAGGACACTAGCTGTCAAGGCCCAATAAGGGTCAACTCAAAGAAGATGAAGTGATGGCATTTTAAACACTTTGTTTTGGATCGTATCTAAGCCACCTTCTCATCAGGGTCCTGTGGGTGGGTCACTGCAGCTCCTAGAAAGACAGCTTACTGCAAGGGAAGTTTCCAGAGCCTACCACTGGCCCTGAAAATGGCAGTGAGAGGATCCCTCTTGGACTTCACCTTAAAGGAAGGGATGGGGGATTGCCGGGGAGCAGAGGATTATTTCATTCTCTCTGGCCTCTGTGTCACTTTTGCCAGAACCTTGAATATATCTAACAGTATTTGGTCTTTTTTTTTTTTTCCTTTTAATATTTATCTGTCATTCTTATTTTTCTATAGATGAGCTTTTGTGTATACAGCATTCTGGGTGTGGTGAAACGAACTTGCTGGCCCACTGACCTAGAAGAGGCCAAAGCTGGGGGATTTGTGGTGGGTTATACATCCAGTGGAAATCCAATCTTCCGTAACCCCTGCACAGAGCAGATTCTGAAACTTCTTGACAATTTGCTTGCGCTTATAAGGTGAGTCAGAATAATGGCTTTTCTCTGTTGTTTTCTACTTTACCTTAAAAATTTCAAAAGTTTAGTCTGTTTACATGTCTTCATATCTTAGTGGTATTAATGAGGGATTGATTTAAGTCTTATTTCTTTCTAGAGGGTGTCTCAGTTTTAAAAAAAATAACATCAGCTCTCACTTGCATAAATCTTAATTTCCATGTGAACCCAAGGGGATAATCCCAAAAGGGCTTTTCCCATTTTGAGCCTCCTCTTTGTTGTTCTTCCATTTCTTTATACTTCATCCCTATTTTTACTTGTAAGTTTTATTTGGTCTAAATTTTTTAGTAAAGGAATTGCTCATTGGGAGCAGGGCAGTTGCCTTCTATAATGATGCTTGTCTAGGTGGTATTCATATGAGCTAATCTGAATTTATCAATACTGAGTCTGAGCTCAGATGAACCAAACAACCGCTGGCTGAACATGCTAAACAAAGGAATTATAAATTTTTCATCTGAGTTTGCTAGATCCTTGGTTCTCAAAGCTGAGTCCTAAGACCAGTAGCATTAGCATCACCTGAGAGCTTATTTCAAAGGCAGAATCAAGGCCCCACCCCAGACATACTAAATCAGAATCTGCATTTTAACTAGATGCCCAGTGGTTTATATACACATTAAACATTCAGAATCACTGTTTTAGATCACATGAGTTAATATATTCAAGTGGAAGTAGGCCAGTATAGGCTTATCAGTTACTAGATATAGATATTTGATGACTCAGGGATGGTCTCTAAATGAAAAGATAGGTTTTTTTATATAATTCAGTTATTGGCCAAAGAGTGCTTTTTGTATCTCACAGGATTGGTTTTTTTTTTGTTTGTTTGTTTTTTTGAGACAGAGTCTCACTTTGTCACCCAGGCTGGGAGTGCAGTGGTGCAATCTTGGCTCACTGCAACCTCCGCCTCCCAGGCTTAAGCGATTCTTCTGCCTCAGCCACCCAAGTAGCTGGGACTACAGGTGTGCACCACCACTCCTGGCTAATTTTTGTATTTTTAGTAGAGACAGGGCTTCGCCATGTTAGCCAGGCTGGTCTCGAACTCCTGGCCGCAAGTGATCAGTCCACCTCGGCCTCCCAAAGTGCTGGGACTCCAGGAGTGAGCCACCACACCTGGCCTCTCACAGGATGTTTAAATTACATTGTTAGAGCTCTGTTTCAGTACTTTTTGGCCCCTTCTCCAAGGAGTAAAAGCAGTCTCAACGGGGCAAACCAAATTATTCATGTCGCAGTGAAACTCTCCTGGGAATAGACACCCAAGACCTGAAGCCTGAGAACCAAAGATTTTAAGTTAATGTTGACAAATTGGAGGGCTGGAGTGTCTGATAAAGTTGTCATTGTGGACATGTCTGTGGAAATAGACAATATTTTGGCGGGGTGTGGTGGCTCACACCTGTAATCCCAGCACTTTGGGAGGCCAAGGTGGGTCAATCACTTGAGGTCAGGAGTTTCAGACCAGCCTGGCCAACATGATGAAACCCTGTCTCTACTAAAAATACAAAAATTAGCTGGGCATGGTGGCACATGCCTGTAATCCCAGCTACTCGAGAGGCTGAGGCAGGAGAATCGCTTGAACCCGGGAGGCGGAGATTGCAGTGAGCTAAGATCACGCCACTGCACTCCAGCCTGGGCGACAGAGTGAGACTTCCATCTCAAAATAAATAAATAAATAAATAATATTTTCTTTTGATTTCTAAAGGAGGAAAGAGATCTCTGAAAAGAAGTAGGACTTGTACTGAGAGGGTTAAACATTTAGTCAAGAAGAGGCTTATTTCTATCGTGATGTTTTTATTAATAGAGATGGGGTTTTGCCATGTTGCCCAGGCTGGTCTCGGACAGCTGAGCCTGCTTCAGTCTCCCAAAGTGCTAGCATTACAAGTGTGAACCACCACACCCAGCCCCATAGTGATGTTTTTTAAAACCACAAGGTTCTTCTGCAGCTAGAGAAACGTGAAAGTGATGGAAATCATAGGGCAAGAAGCTAATCACCTAGACCTTTTTAGGCCTGTGGCCAGAATCTATGTGGCCAACCCAGACGTGGAAACAGGGTTCATTTCTGGTTGACTCTAGAGGCCACAAGACAACAGTATGATTATCTTTTTTTATATAATTTTCTTTTTTTAAAAAAGTATAATCTCTTTTCAATTTCTAGTCACCTTCCTATCAATCAGTAGAGGAAGATTCTCATGTGTTCACTATGTCTTTCTCCAGTTTTTTCCTCTATAAATTTACTACTCCTATTTTCTATAGAAAGACAATGGAAAGTGTATAATTGCTGTCGGTAGATAAGTAGGTCTTGAATTTATTTTGCAAACAAGACCTGTTCTGTCTATCCTTTCATTTAGGAGGCTAACAGCAGACTCAGCTTGACTTTAAGGACTCTATTTTCTTAGTCTTCAGATGGTTATCATTTTGATACTTTTCTAAGAGTTCAGTGCTTTTAGAGAATTCCAAAAATCAATCAAAAGGCATTTTGAAAAATGCCTAGCATGTAATGATAGAGTAGATTGCTTGAATAGTGTGTAGCTGGAGCTATTAAGAGTTTTGCTTTTTTAGTAAATTTTATTGGCTGGGCGCGGTAGCTCATGCCTATAATCCCAGCACTGTGAGAGGCCAAGGCGCATGGATCACTTAAGGTCAACAGTTCGAGACTAGCCCAATAAACATGGTGAAACCCCACCTCTACTAAAAATACAAAAATTAGCCAGGCATGGTGGCGGGCGCCTGTAATCCCAGCTACTCGGGAGGCTGAGGCAGGAGAATTGCTTGAACCTGGGAGGTGGAGGTTGCAGTGAGCCAAGATCACAGGGAAGAGTCTTCCCTGTCCCTGGGCAACAGGGAAGACTCCGTCTCAAAAAAGAAAAAAAAAATTAAATAAATTTTATCTTGAAGTGTAACATTTATGTAGAAAAGGGCTTAACTTGTGAGTGTGTGTAGATGAATTTTCACAAAGTGGACACATTCATGTAATCAGCACTCAGATCAAGAAGCAACTTTACCTAATACCTCTTTTCAGTAATTACCTGCCCCTCAAAGATAACTACTATTCTGATTTGTATTTATTTATTTATTTACTTACTTACTTACTTTTGAGGCACGATCTTATCCTGTCGCCCAGGTTGGGGTGCAGTGTTGCGATCACGGCTCACTGCAGCCTCGACCTCATGGGCTCAAGCAGTCCTCCCACCTCAGCCTCCTGAGTAGCTAGGACTACAGCCATGAGCAGCCATGCCCAGCTAATTTTTAACTTTTTGGTAGAGATAGGTTCTCTCTATGTTGCTGAGGCTAGTCTTGAACTCATGGGCTCAAGAGATCCTCCCAAAGTGCTGGGATAACAGATGTGAGCCACCTCACCCAGCCCACTATTCTGACTTTTAACATTTTGTCCAGGTTTTTGAACTTTGTGAAAATGAAATCAGAAGTATGCACCTTTTGGTGTCTGCCTTCCTTTCGCTCAATATTTTGTTTCTGAGGTTCATCCATGTTACTGCATGAATGTACTTGTGTTTTTTTTGTTCTCCTTGCTTGTATGATACTTCATTGTGTGAATATGCTGTAACTATTCAGCCTTGATGGACCTTTGGGTGATATTTTAATATTACATATCATGCTGCTGTTGACATTCTTATGTCAAATACGTTTTGTGAACATATATATATAATTTCTGTTGGATACACACATAGGAGTAGAATTCCTAGCTTATAAGAAATGTGTATTTTCTGTTTTTATAGATGCAACCTGCTTTTTAAAGTGGTTATACTAATTTATATTCCCACCAGTTATATGCTGGAGTTGGGAGTTTTAAATTACTATTTTTTGGCTGGGCACAGTGGCTCACGCCTGTAATCCAAGCACTTTGGGAGGCCGAAGCAGGTGAATCACTTGAGGTCATGAGTTTGAGACCAGCCTGGCCAACATGGTGAAACCCCGTCTCTACTCAAAATACCACCACCACCAACAAAAAAAATTAGCTGGGCATGGTGGCAGGTGCCTGTAATCCCAGCTACTCAGGAGGCTGAGGTAGGAGAATCGCTTGAACTTGGGAGGCGGAGGTTGCAGTGAGCTGAGATCATGTTACCGTACTCCAGCCTGGGCAACAGGGTAAGACTCCATCTCAAAAAAAAAATTGAAAAATAAATAAATTACTATTTTTTTAGTAGAGAAAAGTTTGCTTTAAGAATGTAGCAAGGTATTCATAGCACCTCCTGCGTCAAATAATCTGATAATAGAAGGTGTTGAAGCTGTGCTGTCCAGCATGGAAGCCACTTGCCACATGAAACTATTGAGCACTTGAAGTATTACTAGTCAAGTGTTACAGTACTTTCAGAATTGGTCTGGTAGGCTTTCCAGTTTTCTCTGGAAAGCTCCTTAGAGAAAAAAAATAAAAATTAAAAAATAAAAATGACTAGCCTGAATTGAGATGAACTGTAAGTATAAAATACACACTAGATTTCTAAAATCGGCCGGGTGCGGTGGCTCATGCATGTAATCCTAGCACTTTGGGAGGCTAAGGCCTTAGGCAGATCACTTGAGGTCAAGAGTTCAAGACCAGTGTGGCCAACATGGTGAAACCCCATCTCTACTAAAAATACAGAAATTAGCCAGGCGTGGTGGTGTGCATGCTTGTAACCCCAGCTACTCAAAAGGTTGATGCAAGAGAATCACTCGAACCCAGGAGATGGAGGTTACAGTGAGCTAAGATCGTGCCACTGCACTCCAGCCTGGGAGAAAGAATGAGACTCTATCTCAAAAAAGAAAAAAAGAAGTATTGGATTACTACAGTACTTACAAAATGAAGTACTGATAATTACTACACTGTGGATCAACCTTCAAAACATTATGCTAAGTGAAAGAAGCCAGACACAAAAGGCCATATGTTGTATGATTTCATTTTTATGAAATATCTAGAGACAGAAAGTACATTGGCGATTGCCTCAGGTTGGAGAGGAGAAGAAAGTGTAGATCAACTGCTACTGCTTAATGGGCCTGGCAGTTATTTTGGGGGCCATGGAAACGTTTTGGAACCAGGTAGAGGTTACTTATGCAACCCTTTGAAAGTATTAAATACCACTGAATTGTGAACTTTAAAATGGTTAGGTTTTGGTGGGGATGTTTTTTGTTAGTTTTTTAAAGTTTTGTGGGTACACAGTACATACATATATTTATGGGGTACATAAGATGTTTTGACACAGGCATGCAATGCATAATAATAATCACATCAATTAAAATGGGGTATCCATCCCCTCAAGCATTTATCCTTTGTGTTACAAACAATCCAGTTATAGTCAACTGCAGTTATGCTTTTTAAATGTACAATCAAAATTATTATTGACTATAGTCACCCTATTGTGCTAGGAAATACTAGATCTTATTCATTCTTTGTGGGTTTTTTGTACCCATTAACAATCCCTACCTTACCCCTAACCCACCACTACCCTCCCCAGCCCCTCTGCTAACCATCCTTACACTCTGTATGTCCATGAGTCGAATTGTTTAAATTTTTAGATTCCACAAAGAGTGAGAACATGTGATGTGTCTTTCTGTGCCTGGCTTATTTCATTTAGCATAATGACCTCCAGTGCTATCCATATTGTTGCAAATGACAAGATCTCTTTTTTTTTTTATGGCTGAATAGTACTCCTAAAGTGGTTAGTTTTATGTTATGTGAATTATGCCTCAATTTTTTAAAATCTTAATAAAAATAAAGCTGGTTCTTTGAAAATACTAGTGATAACATCAGTAAATTCAAAAGCTTAAGAAAAATGGGGCTGGGCATGTTGGCTCATGCCTGTAATCTCAGCACTTTGGGAGGCCACAGCAGGAACATTGCTGGAGACCAGCCTGGGCAACGTAGCAAGACCCCATATCGATTTTTTAATTTATTTTTTTTGAAACGGAGTGTCACTCTTGTTGCCCAGGCTGGCATGCAAAGGCATGATCTCGGCTCACTTCAACCTCTACCTCCCAGGTTCAAGCGCTTCTCCTGTCTCAGCCTCCTGAGTAGCTGGGATTACAGGTGTGTGCCACCATGCCTGGCTAATTTTGTTTATTTATTTATTTATTTTGAGACGGAGTCTTGCTCTGTCGTCCAGGCTGGAGTGCAGTGGCGCCATCTCGGCTCACTGCAAGCTCTGCCTCCCAGGTTCACGGCATTCTCCTGCTTCAGCCTCCCAAGTAGCTGGGACTACAGGTGCCCGCCACCTCGCCTGGCTAATTTTTTGTAATTTTAGTAGAGACAGGGTTTCACCGTATTAGCCAGGATGATCTTGATCTCCTGACCTCGTGATCCGCCCGGCCTGGCTAATTTTGTATCTTCAGTAGAGACAGGGTTTCACCATGTTTGCCAGCCTGGTCTTGAACTCCTGACCTCAGGTGATCCCCCCTCCTTGGCCTCTCAAAGTACTGGGGTTACAGGCGTGCGCCACCATGCCCAGCTAATTTTGTATCTTCAGTAGAGACAGGGTTTCATCATGTTGGCCAGGCTGGTTCTCAAACTCCTGATCTCAGGTGATCCGCCCATCTTGGCCTCCCAAAGTATTGGGATTATAGGCGTGAGCCACTGTGCCCAGCCCCGTCTTCTATTTTTAAAAATAAAATATTTAAAAATGGATAATTTCCAGGGAAAATGTAACTTATTCTAACTCAACAAGATAGAAAACCTAAAGAGATATAACTTCATATTAATTATATTGGTAGTAGTTAAATTAGACCAAAAAACTCCAGGCCTAAATGATTTTACATGGGAGTTCTCCCAGACCTTCAAGGAACAGATAATTTATCTCTTAGACAAACTATTCCCAAGAATAGAAAAATGTAGCTTCTTCTCCGAGAAAACACCAAATGGCGGATGACGCCGGTGCAGTGGGGGGGCCTGGAGGCCCTGGTGGCCCTGGGATGGGGAACCGCGGTGGCTTCCGCAGAGGTTTCGCCAGTGGCATCCGGGGCCGGGGTCGCAGCCGTGGACCGGGCCGGGGCTGAGGCCGCGGAGCTCGCGGAGGCAAGGCCAAAGATAAGGAGTGGATGCCCGTCACCAAGCTGGGCCGCTTGGTCAAGGACATGAAGATCAAGTCCCTGGAGGAGATCTATCTCTTCTCCCTGCCCATTAAGGAATCAGAGATCATTGACTTTTTCCTGGGGGCCTCTCTCAAGGATGAGGTTTTGAAGATTATGCCAGTGCAGAAGCAGACCCGTGCTGGCCAGCGCACCAGGTTCAAGGCGTTTGTTGCTATCGGGGACTACAGTGGCCACGTCGGTCTGGGTGTTAAGTGCTCCAAGGAGGTGGCCACCGCCACCCGTGGGGCCATCATCCTGGCCAAGCTCTCCATTGTCCCCGTGCACAGAGGCTACTAGGGGAACAAGATCGGCAAGCCCCACACCGTCCCCTGCAAGGTGACAGGCCGCCGTGGCTCTGTGCTGGTGCGCCTCATCCCTGCACCCAGGGGCACTGGCATTGTCTCCGCACCTGTGCCCAAGAAGCTGCTCATGATGGCTGGTATCGATGACTGCTACACCTCAGCCCAGGGCTGCACTGCCACCCTGGGCAACTTCGCCAAGGCCACCTTTGATGCCATTTCTAAGACCTACAGCTACCTGACCCCCGACCTCTGGAAGGAGACTGTATTTACCAAGTCTCCCTATCAGGAATTCACTGACCACCTCGTCAAGACCCACACCAGAGTCTCTGTGCAGCAGACCCAGGCTCCAGCTGTGGCTACAACATAGGGTTTTTATACAAGAAAAATAAAGTGAATTAAGCGTGGGAAAAAAAAAAAGAAAAATGTAGTGCTCCATAACTCATTTTATGAGGCTTATTTATTTTGATACCAAAACCAGACATTAACAGTACCAAAGAGGAAAATTATAGGCCTAAATCACTTGTAAACATAGAGACGAAAATCCCAAATCAAAAGCAATATGGAGCTAGTAATAAGTCTTTTAATATAACCACATTTCCATTGTTATATCTCAAAATACTACCAGTAATTCAATATCCAGTATACAATCAGTATTCAAATATCACCGAATGTTTTCCTTTTTTCTGTTTATCCACACAAGGTTTATATATATTTAAGATATCTCTTAGTCACTAAATTAGGCTTAGCGTGGTGCCTCACGCTTGTGATCTCAGCAGTTTGGGAGGCCGAGGCAGGCGGATCCTTGAGGCTAAGAGTTTGAGACCAACCTGGCCAACATGACAAAACCCCATCTCTACTAAAAATTTAAAAAAGTAACCAGGTGTGGTGGTGCGCACCTGTAGTCTCAGCTACTTGGGAGGCTGAGGCACGAGAATCACTTGAACCCAGCAGGCGGAGGTTGCATTGAGCTGAGATCACGCCATTGTACTCCAGCCTGAGCGACAGAGCAAATCTCTGTTTCAAAAAAAAAAAAAAAAAAAAAAAAAAAAGATGTCTCTTAGGCTCTAAATTTATAAGTTCCTTGCCTTTTTTTTTTTTTTTTTTTTGAGACCATCTTGTTCTGTCACCCATGCTGGAGTGCACTGGTGCTATCTCAGCTCACTGCACCCTCCGCCTCCCGGGATCAAGCAATTCTCCTGCCTCAGCCTCTCGACTGCCTCAGCCTCTCGAGTAGCTGGGATTACAGGTGTGCGCCACCACGCCTGGCTAATTTTTTGTATTTTTAGTAGATACAGGGTTTTGCCATGTTACCCAGGCTGGTCTCAAACTCCTGAGCTCAACTGATCCACCTGCCTCAGCCTCCCAAAGTGCTGGGATTACAGCCGTGAGCTACCATGCCTGGCCCTCTTTTTCTTTTCAATTTATTTGTTGAAAAATGTGGACTTGTATTTCCAGAGTTTCCCCTGGTGAAATTTTGATGATTGCATCTCTGGAGTATTGTTTGATCTTGTCTACTTTCCTTTATTTTTGTTATTTTGTTACACGTGAATATGTCTAGAGGACATATGGCACTCTGCAGCCTGAGGACCAAATGTAAGTCTCCACATGTTTGTAAGTAAACTTCCGTTGGAACATACCTTGGCCATTCATTTACCTACTGTTTATGGCTGCTATTGCGCTTCAATGCAGAGTTGAGTTGTCGAGGACAGACACCATATTGCCGGCCAAGCTTAAAACATGTATGAATGTGACCTCTGGTCTAGAAAACTGACCTCATACCAGTTCAGTTTTTTAGCAGATAATCCTTTGTAGATGATGATGGGTTCAACACAATAGTAAAGGTTTAGCCTTTAAAAGACTCCCAGGTATGTATTACAGGTTGATCTATGACAGAAGTAATGAAAGTTAGAAAAAGATGGCTGGGAATAGTGGCTCATGCCTATAATTTCAGCACTTTGGGAGGCCAGGGCAGGAGGATCTCTTGGGGCCAGGAGTTTGAGACCAGCCTGGGCAACACAGACACTTTCTCTACAAAAAAAAAAAAAAAAGTTTTAATTATTCACGTGTGGTGGTGCACACTTATAGTCCCAGCTACTCGGGAGCCTGAGGTGGAAGGGCCACTTGAGCCCAGGAGTTTGAGGCTGCAGTGAGCTATGAACACACCACTGCAATCCAGCCTGGGCAGTAGAGTGAGACCCTGTCTCTTTAAAAAACAAAAAACAAAACAAAAATCAATTATTCAATGCTGGGACAGTTGGCTTTCTATGCAGAGTTGAGTTGTCGAGGACAGACACCATATTGTCTGTTTCACCGTGTTAGAAAAAACAATTAGATTCCTACCAGCCACCACACACAGAAAAAATTTTCAGGTGTTTTAAAACCCAAAAAGTAAAGCTGCTTTTTTTTTTTTTTTTTTTTTTTTTTTTTTTTAGATAGAGTCTCACTCTGTCGTCCAGGCTGGAGTGCAGTGGCGCGACCTTGGCTCACTGCAACCTCTGCCTCCCGGGTTCAAGCGATTCTCCTACCTCAGCCTCCTGAGTAGCTGGGATTTACAGGCGTGTGCCACCATGCCTGGCTAATTTCTGTATTCTTAGTAGAGACAGGGTTTCACCATGTTGGCCAGAGACTGGTCTTGAACTCCTGACCTCGTGATCCACCCACCTCGGCTTCCTAAAGTGCTGGGATTACAGGCATAAGCCACCGCATCTGGCCAAAGTAAAACTTCTAGACCATATTTACAGCATGAGGTTAGTGAATGACTTTTTTTTTTTGTCGAGTTGGAGTCTCACTGTGTTGCGCAGGCTGGAGTGCAGTGGCACAATCTCGGCTCACTGCAATTTCCGCCTCCTGGGTTCAAGCGATTCTTATGCCTTGACCTCTCAAGTAGCTGGGATTATAGGCATGCACCACCACACCCGGCTAATTTTTATATTTTTAGTAGAGACAGGGTTTCACCATGTTGGCCAGGCTGGTCTCAAACTCCTGACCTCAGGTGATCCGTCTGCCTTAGCCTCCCAAAGTGCTGGGATTACAGGCATGAGTCACTGTGCCTGGCCAGGGTAGCGAATGACTTTTTTTTTTGAGAGGGAGTCTCGCTCTGTCACCCAGGCTGGAGTGCAGTGGCACGATCTTGGCTCACCTGGATTCAAGTGATTCTCCTGCCTCAGCCTCCGGAGAAGCTGGGATTACAGGCATGCACCGCCATACTCGTCTAATTTTTATATTTTTAGTAGAGACAGGGTTTCACCATGTTGGCCAGGCTGGTCTTGATCTCCTGGCCTCAGGTGATTCTCCGGCCTTGGCCTCCCTAAGTGCTGGGATTACAGGCGTGAGCCACTGCGCCCGGCCTAGAATGACTTTTTTTTTTTTTTTTTTGAGATGGAGTCTCGCTCTGTCACACAGGCTGGAGTGCAGTGGCGCGATTTCAGCTCATTGCAAGCTCCGCCTCCCGGGTTCACGCCATTCTCCCACCTCAGCCTTCCGAGTAGCTGGGACTACAGGCGCCCGCCACCATGTCTGGCTAATTTAGCTTTTGTATTTTTAGTAGAGATGGGGTTTCACCATGTTACCCAGGATGGTCTCGATCTCCTGACCTCGTGATCCACCGCGCCCGGCCTCTAGAATGACTTCTTAAGCAAGAACAAACAGAACAAACTATGGAGGCTTAAACATGGTCTGAAAGATGTTTTCAGTTTGCATCTTAAACCTGTAGCTACCATGCCCGGCACCCACCACCACACCTGGCTAATTTTTATATTTTTAGTAGAGACTGGGTTTTACCATGTTGGCCAGGCTGGTCTTGAACTCCTGACCTCAGATGATCCACCCACCTCGGCCTCCCAAAGTGCTGGGATTACAAGCGTGAGCCACTGGGCCCAGCCATAGAAACACTTCTGTTTTTTGGGGTTTTGTTGTTGTTGTTGTTTTTTGAGACAGAGTCTCGCTCTGTTGCCCAGGCTGGAGTGCAGTGGCGCAGTCTTGGCTCACTGCAAGCTCAGCCTCCCGAGTAGCTGGGACCACAGGCACCCACCACCACGTCCGGCTAATTTTTTGTATTTTTAGTAGAGACAGGGTTTCACTGTGTTAGCCAGGATAGTCTCGATCTCATGACCTCGTGATCCACCCACCTCAGCCTCCCAAAGTGCTGGGATTACAGGCATGAGCCACTGCGCCTGGCCTTTGGGGGGTTTTTTTGAGATGGAGTCTCACTCTGTTGCCCAGGCTGGAGTGCAGTGGTATGATCTCGGCTCACCACAACCTCTGCCTCGCAAGTTCAAGCAATTCTGCCTTAGCCTCCCAAGTAACTGGGATTACACGCATGCACCACCACACCCATCTAATTTTTATATTTTTAGTAGAGACAGGGTTTCCCTATGTTGGCCAGGCTGGTCTTGAACTCCTGACCTCAGGTAATTCGCCAGCCTCGGCCTCCCAAAGTACTGGGATTATAGGCGTGAGCCACCGAGCCCAGCCTAGAATGACTTCTTAAGAACAAAAAGAACAAACTATGGAGGTTTAAACATGGTCTAAAAGATGTTTTCAGTTTGCATCTTAAACGTGTAGCCATCAGTTTGTTCAGTGGGGTCATTTCTGTGAGTAGGTAAGAGTGCTGTGGACAGCGGGTATATCAAGTTCACAGTCCTTGCTCCTTACTCAAAGCCTATAATTGCTCAGGTAGGTCATTTTGGTGGGGGACAGCATGTGTTGGGAATTGTGTTCCTCTATCAGGTCCAAACAGCTGTTGCAAGGTCCATGCTCTTGGAATTAAGACAAAACATTGAAAAATGGGGCAAATTACCACCTCCTCTGTGTTCCTACCTGTAAATCCACAGTGTTGCACACATTTCATTCCGTATCACTGGTGGTCAAAAAACTCCTGGGACCACCTCAGATTTAAAAGAATTTTGCTTTCTAGCTTTGGACTCTGATACTGTCCTGTGTCTTGGGGTTTAGTTCTCATGTTAATTTATCTTAGGTATTGTATACTAAGATAATTATATCTATACAAGTCTGTTCCCTCCTCCAGCGAGCATTCAGATATTTATACCTTCTTTTCTTTCCCCTGCCAGGAGTTGATGGGCAGATCTGTGTGAAACTGTAGTATCACTGGATTACAAGCAAAACCCACTCTTTCCTTCTGCATCAGATGGAAAAGCTCAATAGCATTCTTGTTTCTTTCAGAACCCACAATACATTATATGCACCAGAAATGCTAGCCAAAATGGCAGAGCCTTTCACCAAGGCTCTGGATATGCTTGACGCGGAAAAATCTGCTATATTAGGTAAGAAATGTAACCTTTTTTCTCCTAAGGTTTATCTTATCCCTAATGGATGTCCCCTTTTTTTGTTGTTTTTTAAGAGTCATAGTCTCTGTCACCCAGGCTAGAGTGCACTGGTGCAACCATAGCTCACTGTAGGCTCAAACTCTTGGACTCAAGCAGTCTTCCTGCCTCAGCCTCCCGAGTAGTTGGACCACAGGCAGATCACAACGCCAGACGAACTTTAAAATTTTTTTGTTGAGACAGAGTCTTGCTATGTTGCCCAGGCTGGTCTTGAACTCTTATCATCAAGCAGTCCTCCCACCATGGCCTTTAAAGCACTAGAATCCTAGTGATTACAGGCGTTCTTATGGGTTCCTTGAGCAGCTTCAGCCTATCTTGTGCTTCTTCCATCTTGTCTTGCACTGCCTTGACCATCTATTTGTTCAGAAATGCAGAATGTGGAGTTCCTATAAGCTCTATATGAACAAGTGTATTTACTTCATTATCTTAGCATACAGAGAAAATCGAAGGCAATTTATTTTTTTTCCCCGTTAACCCCTTCTTCAATTTAGCCAGTAGGTTGTGGTGGGTGTTACAGCCATTCAATTATAAATAAATCATGGCCTTTAACCTGAAGGATATTTGTATACTTTCCTGCCTCCTCGTGTGTGTGTGTGTGTGTGTGTGTGTGTGTGTGTGTGTGTGTGTGTGTGTAGATAGGTATCAAAGTTTTTAAAGGAATAGATTTTAAGCCATTTCCCAATTGTTACCTTTTTTGTTTTGTTTTGTTTTCTTGAGAGAGTCTCACTCTGTCACCCAGGCTGGTGTACAGTGGTGCAATCTCAGCTCACTGCAACCTCTGCCTTCCAGGTTCAAGTGATTCTCCCACAGCCTGCTGGGACTACAGGCATGCACCATCACACCCGGCTAATTTTTTGTATTTTTAGTAGAGACAGGGTTTCACCATGTTGGCTAGGCTGGTCTCGAACTCATGACCTCAAGTGCTCTGCCTGCCTTGGCCTCCCAAAGTGCCAGGATTATAGGCATGAGCCACCACGCCTGGCCTTCCAGTTGTGACCTTGTTAGGATACTGCTTTAATTCATTTTCCCATTGAAAATAAGCATGAAAATAACTGTGCAGTCATAATTGTGGTATTTGCTGTGAAGGAAAGTGGCAGGGCTCTGAGTGTTTATCGGGAGACCTAACCCAGTCTCAGAGGGAAGTCAGAAGGCTGACTCCCAATGGGGACTTGAAGGATGAGTACGAACTAGCTAGGTTAGGGGCATGAGGAAATGCTGGGCATTCTGGACAAACAGAATGGCAGGTATAAGATCTGAGGCAAGAGAAAAAGGCCTTGGTATGTCCAGAACATAGAGATGGTTGAATCATGTGGCTGGAGCACAGGGAGCTAGTCTGGGAATGTGGGATGAAGTTAGAGCTAGAGGCATCAGTTGTCTAAACCTTGTTCCCATCTCAGAAGCTTCAGGCTGGCTCACCATCACAGCCCCCATAGTTTGTCTTTGTCATCAGCTATAACCTGTGTCTGAGCCCGGCTGTGGTCAAGCAATCCAATGGCATTCCTCAGCTGTGAAGTTAGCCAAAGGAAGGATGTTAATTTGCCTTTCCAGAACTCATGTCTGTCTGTTTCAGCCTAGATAGTCCTGAATCTTTTCCTTTGACACCATTCCATTTAAGGGTTATGTTGCAGACACCAGTAAAAGTAGAAATTCCAAGAAATGTATAGCTATTAATATAAAAAGTAGGTGTTGCTTACCACACACCCCCATGCCATTATTCAAGTTAAGTCAGGAACTCCTGCTATAGAAATAAGTGGCCAACCAGAAATACTAGAATGGACAAACAGTTCCCACAGATAGCTTCTGACTATAGGACTCGAAATGTAAAACCTCTGATTACACTTAAAAATATAGATATTTTAAGGCAGTTTTTAATACTAAGGTAAGTGGGTTTCATTTTTAGCTGCTACACATCTTAGTGTTTTGTGTAAGATTTTGCTTAAAAAAGGGGTTTCATAACTTAATTGTGGGAGCATCCCCAGAGCTTTATGGAAAAATACTTTTGAGTTGTCACTTTTTTTGGTACAGGTTCCATCTGGGGGAAAAAAAAAAGCAGATAAAAGAGTACCCGGGTCTAAAGTCCTGGGTCCTTAAGTAGCTTTCACCTTCTCCTACCAAAAGAGTGCAGCAAATCACGTAGCCAACTGCTTTGCAGTACAGCACCAGACATGCACACATCTTCACCCCTGAACAACAGCTTCCTGCTGTAGAGTGTTGGCCAATTGAGACTCCTGACAGTGGAGCATCATGTTCTTGACCCGTATTTCCCTGTAGGATTACCTCAACCTCTCTTGGAACTCAATGACTCTCCTGTCTTCAAAACCGTCTTGGAAAGAATGCAGCGTTTCTTCTCTACCCTCTATGAAAACTGGTAAGGAACCAATGCTGCCTCTCCATATTTTCTTCCTCGATATGTATTGTATAGGAATGTCCATGGGTTGGACTTTTCATCTAGTGTACAGGTAAGGCGAGGCAAGAGTTTGATAGGAAACTTATCATTCTAGTGTTAAATAGAAATGAAAGCCTGCTTTCCTGCATTTGCTTTTTTTGTAATTGTCATATGAGCCTCACAATCCCAGCCTGCTTCATGCCCAACTTGTCTGTGTTTCTAGTGTATAAAATGATGAAACCCAAGTCGAAGCTAAAAGTGGTGGGGATTGCTTAGACCCTACACTGCTTGCGGCATACTTCTCATAGGAGTCGGGTGGCTGGATACTGGTTGTGGGTTGGGGAGGTAACTGGCCCTCATGGGCTTTGGCCTCACTAACCACTACACTAATCAGCCAAGCTAATGAGATCGTCCATTGTAAGTCCACATTAAATAGTAATGAAAGCTACTGCTGATCTCGGCCACCAACATCTGTCTTTAAAAAGATGCTGTATCTATAAGTTCTCTTAAGTAAATACAACTGCTCTTCTGGCTGAAAAACCTTATTGTAGGCTAGAAATGAAATTCATGGGACAGGGCTGGCAGTAACAGATGTTGGATTTGTCATTTTCAATGCTCTTTTTTTCCCCTTTACAGTTTTCATATCCTAGGGAAGGCAGGCCCTTCCATGCAGCAAGACTTCTATACTGTGGAGGACCTTGCTACCCAGCTTCTCAGCTCAGCCTTTGTCAACTTGAACAATATTCCTGACTACCGACTCAGACCCATGCTTCATATCCTTTCAAAAGTCTCTACATAACCCAAAAGGTCAGAAAATTAGAGAGAGAAACAAAACAGGTCACAGCAACCAGAGGGAAGAGGCAGAACTGGAAGGAAGAGATGAGATTATGTATCTAAGTGTATCATGTCATTAAAAACACTGGCAGATTGCAGGGAAAACATGAAGGCAGTCCAGATGGCCATAAACTTTTCCTTAGGGGTAAATTTTTACCTTCCCCCTTCTCGGAATTATTACAGATAAAACTTTTTTTTTTTTTTGAGACAGTCTTGCTCACTCTGTTGCACAGGCTGGAGTGCAGTGGTATGATCTCGGCTCACAGCTTCTGCCTCTCAGGTTCAAGCTATTCTTGTGCCTCAGCCTCCTAACTAGCTGTGATTACAGGTGTGCACCATCACGCCCAGCTGATTTTTATTCCTATTTTTTGAGACAGAGTTTTGCTCTATTGCCCAGGCTGGAGTGCAGTGGCATGATCTTGTCTTACTGCAACTTCCACCTCCTGGGTTCAAGTGATTCATGTGCCTCAGCCTCCCAAGTAGCTGGGATTACAGGCGCATGCTACTACGCCCAGCTAATTTTTTTGTATTTTTAGTAGAGACAGGTTTTCGCCATGTTGGCCAGGCTGGTCTCAAACTCCTGACCTCAAGTAATCCGCCTGCCTCAGCCTCCCAAAGTGCTGGGGTTACAGGTGTGAGCCACCATGCCCAGCTGTGAAAGATAAAACTTTTATCCCTTTTCTGTATTTTTAGAAGCACTTTTTTTTTTTTTTTTTTGAGACAGGGTCTCAGTGTTACCCAGGCAGGAATGCAGTGGTGCCATCAAAGCTCAGTGCAGGCTCAAGTGATCCTCCCACCTCAGCTTCCTGAAGAGCCTGGACTGGACCACAGATGCGCACCACCACACCCAGCTAGTTTTTATTATTATTTGTAGAGATGGGTCTGTATTATGTTCCCCAGGGTGGTCTCAAACTCCTGGCTCAAGTAATTCTCCTGCCTCAGCCTCCAAAGTGCTAGAATTACAGGCCTGAGCCACCACACCCAGCCAGAAGCAGCAGTTTTAACACTTCATTCTCATTCAGACCCTTATTAATAGTTGAATCTCTTTCTTTCTTTTCTTTTTTTTTTTTTTTGAGACGGAGTCTTGCTCTGTTGCCCAGGCTGGAGTGCAGTGGCGTGATCTCGGCTCACTGCAAGCTTCGCCTCCCAGGTTCACACCATTCTCTTGCCTTAGCTTCTCGAGTAGCTGGGACTACAGGCGCTCGCCCCCATGCCCGACTAATTTTTTTTTTTTTTTTTTTTTTTTTTAGTAGAGACGGGGTTTCACCATGTTAGCCAGGATGGTCTCGCTCTCTTGACCCCGTGATCCACTCGCCTTGGCCTCCCAAAGTGCTGGGATTACAGGTGTGAGCCACCGCAGCCAGCAAATCTTTCTTACCTGAAATTATAAGGAGAATGGTGAAGGAGAGTTTGTTACAAGGATGTCCTCCTTCCTATTTTTTTATTCCTACTTTTTGGGCCAGTGACCATAATGTGCAGCCTGACGGAAATGCAGCTAAACTAAGAGTATAATGGAATTCAATATCAGTGCCATTTAGGATTTTAGGAAAAGAACTTTAAGATTTTTTCACTGTTAACACAGGATATTTTTGACATCTGGCAAATCCTTTAGGGATTGATTCTGCCCAGGGGTGCAACCCACCACCTGGCAGGTGAGAGATGTGTGCCTATGCACTAAAATTTCTTAACTTGTTGCAGCACGTGTCTTTGTAAAGCCTCTGGTGCTCTTCTGTCCCCCAGAGCACTATGAAGCCCTGGTATCCCCCATCCTCGGACCTCTTTTCACCTACCTCCATATGGTAAGAGATAAGTCAGGAACAGGAAGCAAAGAGTACTATTAAGGCCTCTGGCCATTTCTGAGCTTTGCAAGTCAGGAGCTCCTAGAAGTGTTGTCTACTAGCCCTGCCAGACTGGCTGGGCAGAGCTTCTACCCCAGCTGACTATCCTTGCTGTAGGATCGAGCAGCCCCCAAAGAACTAAACTGATTTAATTGCCACAAGACAGCTTCAGTTGCAGATTCTGCTCCTAACCTCCTGTTAACTGAGGAGAGGTAAAAAGAGGAATGCTTGCTCACAGACCCTTGCCAGGAATGCTGGGTCTGTTATCCTTACTCTAGAATTAAGCAGGGGGACCAGCTGGGTGGAGAACAGGTATGTCTAGAGACCCAGGAATTCTAAAAATGTTGTTAATTCTTTCCAAGCAAAGAGGTGTTTGAGATACCACCTTCATCAGGGATGTGGGATAGGTTACAGAAACCATAGATGTTTTTTTTAACCTTGTGGTGTGGAGTCTACAGAAGTTGTCATTGATGCCTAGAATCATCCTTGGCTAATTTTAATCATGAAGTGGACTTGACTTTAGATATTATGTGTTCCAATCCTTTCCCCAATTCTAGCATTTATTTCCTTTGTGTTTTCCCAGAGGCTTTCTCAGAAATGGCAAGTTATCAACCAAAGGAGCCTGCTGTGGTAAGGGATACCTACCCACTCTTCTTGGTGGATGAACTGGCAGCCAGGTTTGGGGTGGGAAAAGGAAGCGGGCAGGGATTCTGCTGTCCCAGGGTAGAAGAGCAGTAGGTTGTAGTCATTCTCAGCCTAGGTGATACATGGCTTGTCTGGACAGGCTGTTACCAGCAGGCAGACTCTGAGATCCAGCCTTCATAGGGGCTACTGTTACCTTACTCACTTATTTTAATTCTGTAATGTCTATCCAACTGGACAGAGTCACTAGTAATAATGTCCTTCAGTGGATCACTGCTGTCCATTCCCAACTTTTGCATAAAACGAAGACCCAAAGGAGAAGAAAGTGGTCAGAGAGAGTCTGATTAGGGTCGCTGCTTTCCTTGTCCTTCCTTTTCTGCACTCCTGTGGAACTTGGCCCCCTGGTTTTCTGCAGTGGAGAAGATGAGGCTGCAGATGAAAACCCAGAGTCTCAAGAGATGCTGGAGGAGCAACTGGTGAGGATGTTAACCCGAGAAGTCATGGACCTAATCAGTAAGTGGCATGTCGAAACTGGGGCTATAGAGGATTTTCCTGGAAGAAGAGCTGGTCGCTCAGCCAACTCCATGAAGGCCTGACTAATGCAAAGGATTCATGTTTGCGGCGGGCATGGTGGATTGCGAGGTCAAAAGATCAAGACCATCCTGGCCAACATGGTGAAACCCTGTCTCTACTAATAATACAAAAATTAGCTGGGCGTAGTGGCGCGCAGGCCTGTAGTCCCAGCTACTCAGGAGGCTGAGGTAGGAGAATCGCTTGAACCCGGGAGGCGGAGGCTGCAGTGAGCCGAAATCACGCCACTGCACTCCAGCCTGGCAAAAGAGTGAAACTCCGTCTCAAAAAAAAAGTTCATGTTTGTAGCAACACTGACAGATCCAAAAGAAATAACTAGATAGAAGCAAGGCAGTCCTTAAGTCAACCTAAGGATACTTTATGAATTGCAAGCTGAATATGGGGAAACAAAAATAGCAGAAGGAATTTGGATTCATTAGGAATAACTTCCTAGTTTTGTCAAAATAGGGAAATGTTTTAAATTCTTGGACATGGAGGCTGTTAATTTTCTTTTTATTTTTACTGTGTCATTTTGTTTGTTTGAGATTCAAAGTAGACCAGGGATGTATCAAGCATCCTTTCCTAGTCACTCACTCTCAGAGAATTCTGTAATTTTCTCTCAGCTAGTTGAACTTGAAGGACCAAAACAGTTCGGTCATCAGAATGCCTCTATTTCTATTGGTGAAGCTAATTCTTGTGCCTTGGACGGTACCCCCATCTTCCTCCTTCCTCACCTGGCCAGAGACAGGTTGGGATCAGTGGGCCTGAGGTGGCTGTTGTGGTAGTATATACCCACCCTTCACCTAGTAACCCTGCTTTCTTGCTTTAGCGGTTTGCTGTGTTTCAAAGAAGGGTGCTGACCACAGTAGTGCTCCCCCAGCAGATGGAGACGGTAAGTGAGCCTGTGAGACCTTGGAGTTCTGCTCTTAGCCTCCTAAATACTGTTCCTTCTGAACCAGGTCAGTTTCCTTGCAGTCTGGTGAGGAGAAGACACCCTACATGTAGTTATCATCTCTGGACCAGCCCTCTTGCTGTGTGCCTCCATCATACTCCCACCTCCAAGCCTTTGCACTTGCTGTTTCCTCTGTCTCAGATGATTTCCTCCCAACCATATATGTGATCTTTTCTCTTGCTTTATTCCAATGTCACCTCTTCCCAGAGATCGTCCATGACCAACCTATCAAAAATGGCAACCCCAGCTACTCTGTATTCCTCTGCTTTATTCTTCTTCATAGCAGTTGTCACTACCCAACATTATGTTTTTATTTATGTATTCCTTTCTTACCTATCTCCCATGTTAGAATGTAAACTCCCATCAGGGAAGGGACCTATTGTCCTATACCTTTTATCCCCAGTAACTAAATCAGTGTCTGGTGCTCAAATATTTGTCCAACAACAAAGTAACTTCAGTATTTGCAGCATTTTGTGTTTCTGCCTAGAAGCTCCCATTTCCCTCATGTACAGCTTGAGTGCATCTCTAGAAGATCAGCCATGGGCATGGGCATTATGTGGAGGTGGGAGGGCTCCTAGTACTACTTAGCCACCACTTAGCCTAGAACACTCAGCTTTGCTTTGTTTTTTGCGCTTCTGTCAGAACAAGATATTCTTCTCTGTTCTGAAAGGATGGAGCTTAACATTCTACTCTCTGATAACAGATGAAGAAATGATGGCCACAGAGGTCACCCCCTCAGCTATGGCAGAGCTTACAGACCTGGGCAAATGTCTGATGAAGCATGAGGTGGGTAGAAGGAGCAGGTGATACCTTTACTCCTTGCCCAGGTGGGGAGTCACCTTTTACTTTTCTTGCTCTATGGTGCTATCAAGAGTTTTTTGTAATACTCCTTTGTTACATAAGTTCCTGGTTCCAAAGGCCCCAGAAAAAACCGAGGGAAAAGGTGCAATGCCATGGTGTCTCCCATACCAGCATAGGCAGGAGCTCTCAGGAAAACACATAGTAGGCACACTGATGCAGATCCCTGGTGTTTAGCCTCCCCAAGCCAGGCCTGAGCTTTGTCTCCATCCTACACATACAGGTTTTCTCACATTTTGATTTTTTCTTTTTGACTGGCAATACACAAAAATAGAGGAAGTAAACTCCTTTTATTTTTCCTGCTTAGCTATTTAAAACTCCAGCTCCTAAGCCAGGCATGGTGGCACACACCTGTAGTCCCAGCTATTCGGGAGGCTTAGATGGGAGAATAGCTTGAGCCCAGGAGTTCAGGACCAGCCTGGGCAACAAAACAAACCCATCTTTAGAGGGGGGGAGGAAAAAAAAAAAACCCTCCGGCTCCTGATGTGTAATAATCATCAGAGAAAACTGTGCTTCTTTTTCCATTGTAACTCTTCATCTTTTCCTGTTCAGGATGTTTGTACAGCGCTATTAATTACAGCCTTCAATTCCCTGGCCTGGAAAGATACTCTGTCCTGCCAGAGGACAACCTCACAGCTCTGCTGGCCTCTCCTCAAACAAGTATGGTTATTCACCCCTTTTCCCTGCCCCTCATGGAAGGTTTGGGTCATGCAGACTGACTAAATCATTCAGAAGAACTGGGGTGCTGAGGCCTTGAGAGAGGCCCCCTGTGGCCCTAAAGCACAGTTGTCTCCCCAGGTGCTGTCAGGGACACTGCTCGCAGATGCAGTTACGTGGCTTTTCACCAGTGTGCTGAAAGGCTTACAGATGCACGGGCAGCACGACGGGTGCATGGCTTCCCTGGTCCATCTGGCCTTCCAGATATACGAGGCACTGGTGAGTGGGGAAGGCATGGGGGAAGGATGGCTGCAGCTTCATCACTCAGTCTGCTCCTAGTCTCTTGGGCCTTATCCTAAATTCAGGCACCTGCCAAATTGCTGGTGCAATCTCTGAGAAATGGGTGTGGCAGGAAATGGGGAGGGTGGCAATATCCAAACCTACATCCAGTAAGTTTATCCCTGCTGATATCAGCGCCCCAGGTACCTGGAGATAAGAGCTGTAATGGAGCAAATCCCTGAAATACAGAAGGACTCACTGGACCAGTTTGACTGCAAGCTTTTAAACCCCTCCCTGCAGAAAGTGGCTGACAAGCGCCGAAAGGACCAATTCAAACGCCTCATTGCTGGTTGCATTGGGGTAGGTCATGCACCTTCAATAGTGCTCCCAACCCCCTTCTTAAATCATGTGTATGGGCAAACCATAAACCAGCTGTAGTTATTGACCATTATGGTGAGATTTTTTTTTTTTTTTTTTTGAGATGGGGTTTCACTCTTGTTGCCCAGGCTGGAGTGCAGTGGTACGATCTCAGCTCACCACAACCTCCGCCTCCCAGGTTCAAACGATTCTCCTGCCTCAGCCTCCCAAGTAGCTGGGATTACAGGCATGCACCACCACGTCTGGCTACTTTTTGTATTTTTAGTAGAGACGGGGTTTCTCCATGTCGGTCAGGCTGGTCTTGAACTCCTGACCTCAGGTGATCCACCCGCCTTGGCCTCCCAAAAGTGTTGGGATTACAGGCGCGAGCCACTGCGCCGGGCCAAGAGAATCTTTTAACTACTACTGAGGGCCCAGCATTAATTCTTTCTCATTTGTTTTCCACAGAAACCCTTGGGAGAGCAGTTCCGAAAAGAAGTTCACATTAAGAATCTTCCCTCACTTTTCAAAAAAACAAAGCCAATGCTGGAGACGGAGGTGCTGGACAATGATGGGGGTGGCCTGGCCACCATCTTTGAACCCTGAATCAAGCTTTTGGGCATCCTTCCTCGGCCTTTCTTGTCATCTCTTCTTTCCCTTTGTAGCCGATCTCTAGGCCCTTCTTGCACTGCCACCTCACTTTCCACCACTGTCAGCCTGGAAAGAGATCCAGGTCTGGAGCTGGAGAGAACAGGCCCTGTGCAGGACCAGAAGTAATTATACTAAAGTATCAAGAAAGGGAGTTAGGGCTTAAACTATTCTGTCTAGATGTCCCAGATAGTTCCCATTCTACTTGGAGATTTGGCTTTTCCAAGAAAAGCTAGAGCAGAGCAGCCCTTCTCCCACAAGCCCTCCCACCCCCGTGCAGCCACATACCTGTACAGAATGGTAACTAAGGGTGCTGTGCCCAACCCTGCGACTAGCAAGGCTCGCAGCAAGAGCACAGCCCTCAACTACTTGTGCCAGAGTTTCTCTTGGACCACTCCAACTCCCACTGAGCCCTTTTGCTGCTGGGCTGGCAGGAAACTTTCCCCACTCCCTAAGGGGCATGTCTGGGTTAGGTGCTAAGTGCTGAAGAGAACTTGGTCAGTTCTCTCAACTTTGCTTTGGGCAAGAATCTGGTCACCTGATGGGATCCATGGTACAGGCTACTGCTAAACTTGGCACAGTATCAAGTATAGTACCTCCAAGGACCAGGGCTGGGAAGTCTTTAGTGCTAACATCCCCTTTAGAGTTCACACATCTTGCCCTTCCATGAATGACCCCTCAGTCTGGCCTCCCCAGCCTCAAGGTCCACTCAGGCACAAGAGCCACAGTACCCTAGATAGTGTCACATGACACCGTTGTCATCCAAGGATAATACAGACCAACTAGGCTACATCTGTGATGAGCAGCTAGCAAAGCCGCTGGTCTTCTCCTAGGACTAAGTCCAGGTGCCTTCCACAATCTCATGGTCTTTCAGGTCCCTGGTTACTTTTCTCAAAGGCCATTTCCAAAAGAATACATGCCTTCACATCACAACCTGTACTGTGAGTCCATTCTAGAGGTCACTGAAAGGCCCTGTAAAGAGAGGACATGGATACGGGACCTGGCCCTGAGGTTATTACTGGCCGTAAGGCAGAGTTAATCCATACAGAAACCAGTGTGTCCATGTGCTCTGCACAAAAACAGACCTGTTGTCCATCCAGTCCACTGACAAGAGGGTTTCCCCGAGAGCCGAAGTGGACTGAAGCTACAGTTTTTAGCTGGTGCGGGCCACAGGCAGGGTCAGATTGAGAAGAAGCAAAGCTGGGGAAGCAGAAGTTGGGAGTCTTGTGTTGCTCCCTCTTCCTGTGTGGTGCTCTGGGTTTCTGTGGATCGTGAAGGCGATCTCAAGAGTGTTTCCCTCCAAACCTGATAGCTGCCTATTCCTGTCTGGTTGGGGCTGTGGAGGATGTAGTTGTATTTATTGCATTGTAATATTTTTAACATCCTGTGACTTCATGCTAGAAATTTTCTATTGTTTATAGAAACTTTTTGTAGAAACATTAACTCTAAAGCACATCTGCATGTCAGTAAAAATCTCAGTTTCGTACAGAAAGGGACCCATCTGCCTTTTTCAACCTAGTCTTAAAACCAGTGACATACTCCAGGGTTACTTCATGAGCACCCGGGACTAAAACAGGAAGAAATGTGACTGATGATTCTGGTCTTTCAAGCTTTCTGAAATGGTGTGCCAGTTAGAAAAGGATTTCTATTCCTGACATACCCAGACTAGGCAGCCCATACCATTCTCACAGTGTCTTTCGTGTGTGGCTGCTGGGCCTGGCCCACAGGAATTGCTACTGTTCTTTGTTGGAGCTGTCAATAGCAACATGAACTTCCCTGGTAAACCAGGAGATAGGTGAAGTGGCACATTCACTCTAGCTTGAATGTTTTTCTAGGGTTTGGCTGTGCTCCCAGAAACCACCTTAATTTGCCAATTCTCAGGAGGTGTTCTTTCTGTTGTTTTTGAAACAGGGTCTCACTGTTACCCGGGCTGGAGTGCACATCTGATGTTCTTAATTGGTAAATGCTAAACCAGTTCTGAAGTGAGGCCCCCTGTTTTTCGCGGTGGCTCACACCTGTAATCCCAACACTTTGGGAGGCCCCAAGGCAGGCGTATCACTTGAGGTCAGGAGTTTGACACCAGCCTGACCAACATGGTGAAACCCTGTCTCTACTAAAAATACAAAAAATTAGACATATAGCTAGGTGTGGTGGTGCATGCCTGTAGCATCAGCTACTCTTGCCTCAGCCTCCTGAGAATTGCTTGAACCCAGGAGGAAGCTGCAGTGAGCTGAGATTGCACCACTGCACTCCAGCCTGGGCAACACAGTGAGACTGTCTCAAAAAACAAACTCAAAAGTAGTCTCAAAAAGTTTTTTTGTTTGGGTGAGTTTATTTACATCTAAGGCCTTATAAAGGCGTAAAAAGTCTCATTTTATGGCACATTTAACAAAATGTATTGATTAAAGCTGGAATTGTCCCAGAAAACTCAGGATCCCTAGTCACACTGGGCTCTCTGTTCAGCAGTCCTGTAGGGTGGGTCAGTCAGAACCCAAAGCTTCAGCTTGCCTCAGAAGCATCCAAGCTCAGTCCATCTGAACCGCATCTAGTTCATCCAAGAAGCGCCGGCACTTCCCCATCAGTACTTTGATGGCTTCACTCACCAGCACATCTGGTGGCAACACCCCCGTTGACTCAACAGAGACTGGGGACCAAAGAGACACTTTAGTCTAGGCAGGGCTTGCCTGTAAAACTTACTCATAAACTTCACATCTAGACTGGAAGGAAGCTGCAGCACCAAAGAGCACTGCCCACTCATCTCACCACTTCATACTCACAGATATAATGATCTCGAACCCGGGCAAGCCTCACAACCTTCTTTAGCTTCTCATTCCGGAAGATTTCTCTGCTGAAGGTATCCAGCCGGGGGTTGGCAACTCTGGCCACCTTTTTACCTAATGAGAACAAACCATGTTTTTTTATTCCTTTTTCTAATTTGCCACTTGGTAGCAAACCAGGTTATACTTTTAGGAGCCCAGGGTTTTTATTTCTGTCACCTTGAAAGAAAATATAATTTAGGTCCTAACTTGAACAGCATCCCAAATACCATACCTTGGACTTCCTGCACCTCAATAACACCAGGTGAGAAGCACCTGCTCAACTCCTCAGCTGCCTCCCCTTCCACGGGCTCAAGCAGGGTGATGTCTGGCAGGAGCCTGTAACTGGCTGTTGCCACTGGTGAAAACTTGGCATGATCTTTGCCTGGAGAGGAAGAGGGAACGTGCCTATAGGAAACCCTTCTAGGGTTAGGAAGAATACTCCTCCTAAGCTACTAACAGCAAAAGCACAACCCTCTTGGCTTTCTACCTGCCGGGAATGTCTCAGCTGAGTTCCCTAGTCAGCTTGCCCCACTGCAACCGAACTATCCCCCTTCCCAGGAAGGCACACAGGGTTCTCACCAATGCCCTTGACACAGTGCATGAGCAGGTCAATTTCTTGGCCAGGCCGCAGCTGAGCGATGAGGATATCATCATGCACTGGTCGGATAGTGCCCTCTGGAAAGAGATCAGCCTGGTTCCCCAGGGGGATCCATGTCATATGCCTGGTATACACTGGAGGAAAAACATGTCAGAAGATCTCAGTCCCTAAAACTAGCAGCTACCCACAGGTGGGGCCTCTTCCTCACCCTACCACTACTCACCTTTGTGGTTCACGTACAGTTCGTTGGGGTCAGAGGAATCTTTAGCAGCATGGGGGTTCCGAGTGCATCTGACCTGGAGACGAAACTGTAGAGTATCTATCTCTGTGCCTTCTTCATCTCCTGCACAAATGGAGGGAGCTCCTAAGAACTAGTAAACGTCTGAGTGCCAGCACTATGCTGAATGCTTTACGTGTTTCCCATTTAATTATGGCAAACTTGGGAGACAAGGCAAGTGTTCTCACAGATGAAAGACACTGATGTACAAAGATAAGTAACTTACCCAACATCACAGTCAACCAGGATTTGAACCCAGATAGTCCACTTCTCCCAAAATTTCATTTTCTCACCTTGGTTCCGATACTCAAAAAGACGGGGATCAGCATGAATGGGAATGAGCCCCAGACGGTGAGCAAGAATCTCATCCTGAACAATGGATGTATTATTGTACACCAGGACCTTCTCCACAGCCATAGTTGGCACCTGCCCAAGGAAAAATAACCACTTATCTGCAAAAACCCAACAGACCCCCTACCTATCCCCGTAACCCCAACCTCCAGAGGTAGGGAGCTATCTCTCTTCCTAGAATGTTTAATGAGAAATTTACAAAGAATGAGAAGGTAAAATGCTCAGCAAAATTCCAGGAAAATTAAGGAGGGAAGGACAGCTTGAGACACTTAATTCTCCAAGTGAGGTGTCAGTGCAGTTCCCAAAGCAACTCCAGCCTTGTCACCATGCCTGCCAATACCTCAGCTAGCAGAATTCGTCGAAAAGCATTGGCAATGGCTGCGTCAATTCCCACCATGTCAAACTCCAGTGAGTTTTCATCCATGTGTACTACATCCACACGGAAATTCTAGAGGGACAGGAAAAAACATTTAAGTGAAATCTGCTCTCTGTGTAATATCTCTTCATACCTCCCCCTTAGATAATTCCCTCAAGTATTATCCTCTCATCCAAAAACCTCCCTTTGCCCAAATGTCTCTTATTAAATATTCTATCTCGCCCAGTGTTTTAAGTTTCATGAAAAGTCTCCATTTTTGTCGTCCATTCATTAAAACCCTATGCAATATGGCTTCCAACCAAACCATCCACAGAAGCTATTCTACTGAAGAACAGAAACTACCATAGTGCTTAGTTTTGTTGACACTACTCAGTCCTCTTACTAGACTTCTGTTATGCTTGGCATTGATTAAAAAACCCCCTCCTGGCCCGGCACAGTCACTCACACCTGTAATCCCAGCACTCTGGGAGGCTGAGACGGGCAGATCACAAGGTCAGGAGTTTGAGACCAGCCTGGCCAGCATGGTGAAACCCCGTCTCTACCAAAAATACAAAAAATTAGCTGGGCATAGTGGCGCATGACTGTAGTCCCAGCTACTCGGGAGGCTGAGGCAGAACTGCTTGAACCCGGGAGGCGGAGGTTGCAGTGAGCCAAGATCGCGCCACTGCACTCCAGCCTGGGACATAAGAGTGCCTCATGAAAAGCAAAGAAAAAAATCTCCTCCTTTTTTGAACTATTCCCCTGGTTTCTGAGCTCTGAGCTCCACTCTTCTTCCTTCTCTGATGATCGACTTCCACCCATCTCTAAATTTGCCAGGTTCTTGTCTCTCTCCCAGGTCACCTTAACTGTACTAACAGTTTTAGCAACTATCTGTTCTGACAACTCCCAAAATGTTATCTCACTTCTGATCTCATTTCAAGCATGCAGTCTTCTAGCCTGCTAGATTTCTCCACATGCAGAAAACAATGCATCATCATTCCCGTTCCCCAGACCCATTTCTCCTCTCAGTAAATGATACCACAATGCATCAAAGCAGTTCCCAAGCCAAAAAGTCATTTTATGCTACCCCCACAGCCTTTACCAAAGCAATCATAAATTTACCTTCTATTCTACCTTTGCTCTATTTCTACCATCAGTCTTAGTTCATGTCTTCAACCTCAGCTTCCCTTACAACAGATCTGCCTGCTCCATATGATCCTCCTCAAACTCATTCCCTCCCAGCCACCAAGGTTGCAAATCTCATCATGTCTGCTTAAGAACTATTCAATCTCCCTATCATCAACAGTGCCCAAGACACACTTCAACCTTGCCTACCACTCATGCCAGAACTACTTGGACATGCCCGGAGCACACTTCACACAAGCCATAATTTTTTTTCAAGCATTAACCTTTTTCATTGTTCATACTTTATTCCTTGTATCAACAGGTTAAAAAAGTAAAATTTTCCCAAGCACTGATTTACAGATCATGTTTATAAGCTGCACGCAAAGGTCAGTTGCCTAAACGGTAACATTCAGTAATCTATTTAAATGCAATTTTAACCCTTATTTTAAGCTAAGTGAAACAATACAAAAGACTAAATACACACAAAACCTGTATATCCTGAACTTCACTGACTTGAAACAAACCCTTCATAATTTAACTCCTGTTCTTTTTTACTTACCATTCAAGGCTCAATTGAGATGTACCCTCCTCTTGAAATGTTAAGTACCTCTCCGCCCCTCTTCCTGGTCTCAGCGTAATGCTCCCCACCCCAACCCTGCCGTCTTCATCGCTATCAACCACCTTCACCATATTACACTAGATTCACTGTTTATACACACCATTCCTCAACAAGACTGAACATCTTTGCAGAACTGGGTAGAAACCGTGTCTAATTTGGCCTGTAAACGGAGCGTCTAGCACATTGCTCAACAAACTTACAAACGGAGCGACCCCCAAGAGCAGCTTCTGAGACAGACACAGGCTGCTCAGACCACAAGGTCTGGCCTTCATAACCCTCCCCAGACAACTCCGGCCCCACTTACCTTCTCGAAGCGGTCCTGGTCCCAGGCATCATCATAACCGGAATAGTTACCGGGAAAGTCAGTAGTATGGACCTAGAGCAAAGGGACGAATTTGTCCACGAAGGGACAGTGAGCCCACAGCTATCCCCACGCCAATCCCAAGACCCATCCCTGTTCCGCTCTCATTCCTCCCGCCCGAGCTCAAGGCCACAAGGCTTACATTGCGAACCCCAAACTCCCCCAGAACCACGCGGCTCCGCATTTCCTCCACCGCCTGAGAAGCCGCCATCTTCAATCTCTCCACGAGACTAGAGGTTCTATCTCGCGCGTGCGTCCTAGTAGCCCTGCTCCGTCTCCGTGGCAACGCACCGCCTCCTGGAATCTTAAATATCGCGAGATTTTTCCCCGCCCCCGTCCACGTCCCCAGCTTCCGGAAGTTGCTTTTGTCCAAACATCCGGGCTTCTCCTTTTTGTGTTCCGGCCGATCCCACCTCTCCTCGACCCTGGACGTCTACCTTCCGGAGGCCCACATCTTGCCCACTCCGCGCGCGGGGCTAGCGCGGGTTTCAGCGACGGGAGCCCTCAAGGGACATGGCAACTACAGCGGCGCCGGCGGGCGGCGCCCGAAATGGAGCTGGCCCGGAATGGGGAGGGTTCGAAGAAAACATCCAGGTAATGGCCCCAAGGCACCAGCTGCCAGCAGCCGGAGGGCCGGCGATGTCCAGAAGTGTCTTGGGGATTCCCCCTCTGGGCCTGGAAGTCCGCTCCATTTACAAAACTCTCTTCTTTGGGTCTTCGTGCACACTAAAGTCAGTGGGATTAACATTGACCTGAAAGGGCCAGACTACTACTCCAGCCTGAGGATCTCGGGTTTCAGGGCCCGCCCGAGGCATTAGGAAGAAGGTATTCTTGGAACAAGTTAGGAGGTTGGTCGGGGTAAGGCATGGAGTGGGGTTGGGTGGGATTCACTGGCATTCGCTGAAAACATACTATGTGTATAGTTTTGTTTGGGGCTTAGGAAAGAAGGAAATGGGCACTTTTTCAGCCTTTTAGTCTTTGATAGGTAACATAGGAGAAAGACATGAATGGAAGACTAGTAGGTTTCCCAGGCTAGAAAAGATAGCCAAAGCTAGAAACCAGGCGTTCTGAGAGCATATGAGGGGGAATGGAGTGGCATGATCTGTAGTGATTCCAAGCCGTATCCTCAGCAGTGGAAGAACAAAGCCCTAAACCCTGGGATGAGCAGAGGACTTAATGGATGGAACAGAAAAGTCCTGCACTCTAGGAGCCATTGTCTTCACAGGGCGGAGGCTCAGCTGTGATTGACATGGAGAACATGGATGATACCTCAGGCTCTAGCTTCGAGGATATGGGTGAGCTGCATCAGCGCCTGCGCGAGGAAGAAGTAGACGCTGATGCAGCTGATGCAGCTGCTGCTGAAGAGGAGGATGGAGAGTTCCTGGGCATGAAGGGCTTTAAGGGACAGCTGAGCCGGCAGGTGGCAGATCAGGTAAGCAAGATTGAATCCTCTGCAGGTAGAAAAGTAGACCTAGGTATGTCCCGTGTTCTGGAATTGGTGTTGGTGATGTTCGCCCCAGGTTGTCCAGTTAGAACCATGTAGAAATCAAACGGAAAATAGGCAACAGGATCTAGAACCAACAGTACCACAATACCTATGCCCATCTTCCTTACTTCAGATGTGGCAGGCTGGGAAAAGACAAGCCTCCAGGGCCTTCAGCTTGTACGCCAACATCGACATCCTCAGACCCTACTTTGATGTGGAGCCTGCTCAGGTGCGAAGCAGGTGAGGAGCCTTCTCTTGAAGAAGCTTCCCTCCTAACACCTAGACCTTCATGCACACTACAGTCAGATTTCAAGCCCTGGGCTCTGATGGGCTCCCCGTCTTCATGACCCCATCACCTCTCATCACTGCACCTGTCACTGAAACAAGTAATAATAGCACACCATCTTCCTCTTCTTTTCCATCTAACTGACTACTCATCTTCCCTCAAAACCTACCTCAGATGTCACTTCCTCTGTTCCACATTCCTCAATCCCATCCCCAGTTTGTTCTCTCCTGGTGTTCCTATAGAACTCTGTGCTTGCCAGCCGGGCATGGTGGCTCACGCCTGGAATCCCAGCACTTTGGGAGGCCGAGGCGGGCGGATCACAAGGTCAGGAGATCGAGACCATCCTGGCTAACACGGTGAAACCCTGTCTCTACTAAAAATGCAAAAAAAATTAGACAGGCGGGTGCCCGTAGTCCCAGCTACTCGGGAGGCTGAGGCAGGAGAATGGCATGAACCTGGGAGGCGGAGGCGGAGCTTGCAGTGAGCCGAGATCGTGCCACTGCACTTCAGCCTGAGCAACAAAGTGAGACTCCATCTCAAAAAAAAAAAAAAAAGAACTCTGCGCTTGCCTCTAATAGACAGCACTTCACCACTGCTATCCTTTCTTATTCCTGGAATCTTCCTTCCAGAGACCAACAGCATCTCAAAAGCAGGCTCTGTCTTGTTTATCTTTTTATTCCCAGCACCAGAACAGTCTCAGAATCAAAATATCAGGGCATAGTTTTTGAGTGACTTTTCAAGAACTAGATTTAATCCTGGCTTGGTTTTTTTGTTCATCCTTTAATCAATGCTAATCAAATACCCAGGACCACTCAGCAGGTATTTATTAAGCATTTGCTCTGTGCCAGACGCTAAACTAATCGTATCTGGTTCAGTGGTGAAGATAGATGGGAGCCTTGCTCTTGAGTGCAGTTACAGTACAGTACTCATTCTATGATGGGGCACACAGGAGGGATATGTGAGCCAAAGCAGGTTGGTGGGTGGGACAGGACAAGTTTCCCAGAGGAAGTAAAACCTAGCTAAAATCCCAGGTATGATTAGGAGCTAGCCACTTGAGAGAAGAGGGAAGTGACTAAATTTTCATACCACTTCACATATATTTTTCAAGAAAATACTCGAAAGTGCCTGGAGGCACAGATAAGCAGGAAGAGGAGGCGTTTTTACTATTCCCTCAGTAACACCTTTCATTCTAAACTTTCCATCTAGCCGGCTAGACTTTTCCCAGGGCTTCCTCATTATAACCCTGAATTCTGGGTACTCTCTGCTGAGGTCTGCCTGTCTTGTCATGTCTTTGTTTTGTTTTGTTTTGAGATGGAGTCGCACTCTGTCACCCAGGCTGGAGTGCAGTGGCGCGATCTCGGTTCACTGCAACCTCCGCTTCCCGGGTTCAGGCAATTCTCCTGCCTCAGCCTCCTGAGTAGCTGGGACTACAGGCGCCCGCCACCATGCCCAGCTAATTTTTTGTATTTTTCGTAGAGACAGGGTTTCACCATATTGGCCAGGCTGGCCTCAAACTCCTGACCTTGTGATCTGCCTGCCTCGGCCTCCCAAAGTGCTGGGATTACAGGCGTGAGCCACCGCGCCCAGCCTGCCTGTCTTTTCAAGGGGAGGGGGCAGACGGATACATGGTCGGGCCCTCCTTCAAGGCCCAGTAGGGCTGAGTTCTCCATATAGCTGCTGTTTCAGTCAGCTAAGTTTCAGAGGGTTGTCCTTCCTGGAAGTAACTTTAGGGGCAAGGAAATGATTTCCTCATTCCCTATCTGTCTTTACTACCCTGTTCTACCGTGTCATCCAACATGTCTTCTAGGCCAGGCCCCATTCCCTGGAGTTAGAGATGAATAAAATTCAGGCCTTGCCCTCCAGAACCTCATGGCCTTGTGCTGCCTTTGCTTTAATCTCTCCTCTCCTCTCCCAGGCTCCTGGAGTCCATGATCCCTATCAAGATGGTCAACTTCCCCCAGGTGAATAGAGGGTGGCATGTCTGGAGAGCCGGGGGAAGCACCAGGGCAGAGGGTGGGACCACCAGGCAAATCCTGGGAAGCCATAAACAGATGAGCTGTTGTACCCTCCAGCCTGAATGAATTGGTATATTGACAGAAAATTGCAGGTGAACTCTATGGACCTCTCATGCTGGTCTTCACTCTGGTTGCTATCCTACTCCATGGGATGAAGACGTCTGACACTATTATCGTAAGCAGGACAGACAACTTTGGGGGGGTGGCTGCACTAGGTTGAAAGCTGCCTGAGGATACAATGGTGGAGTGAGACAGGAACAGCCCCTGCGGAAGGCCCTAGGTGAGGCTGAGATCAGAGGCCTCCTAGGACTAAATAGAGCCTTCACCCCACAGCGGGAGGGCACCCTGATGGGCACAGCCATTGGCACCTGCTTCGGCTACTGGCTGGGAGTCTCATCCTTCATTTACTTCCTTGCCTACCTGTGCAACGCCCAGATCACCATGCTGCAGATGTTGGCACTGCTGGTAAGGAGCCAGGTGTGGTGGGCAAGAGTGATGTTAAAAAGAGTAGCCAGGCCTTGGTCGGCATCTGTCCTGGGGCCCCAAAGCCTGGAATGGGAGGAGTAGGCCAATGGACCATGTGTTTCCCAGGGTCCCCATGAGGGGCCAGAAAGCAGCCCAACCTGAATGATTTTCCTCTCCACCATCCTCCTTCCCAGGGCTATGGCCTCTTTGGGCATTGCATTGTCCTGTTCATCACCTATAATATCCACCTCCACGCCCTCTTCTACCTCTTCTGGCTGTTGGTGGGTGGACTGTCCACACTGCGCATGGTAAGCTGGGCAAGAGGCTTCCAGGGGTGGGCTGTCCTCCCAGGGAGTTGGGGAAGACAGCCTGGAGCTGTCCATCTCACAAAGAGCCCTAAATGGGAGGGAAGAGCCCAAAGATGGTTCTGCCCTGGGTGGGGGTGTCTTGTCCCCACTCCTCACTTTGGAGCCAGGCCCTTTGAGCTGTATTCTCATGGTCCTAGGTAGCAGTGTTGGTGTCTCGGACCGTGGGCCCCACACAGCGGCTGCTCCTCTGTGGCACCCTGGCTGCCCTACACATGCTCTTCCTGCTCTATCTGCATTTTGCCTACCACAAAGTGGTAGAGGGTAAGTGGCAGGAAGGTCTGGGTGGGGGAGAATGGGAAAGCAGCTGCCTAGAGCAAGAAGCTAGATATGATGGCTGGTGGGCTGGGCCCATCTGATCCTCGCTCACCTTCCATCTTCCTTCCAGGGATCCTGGACACACTGGAGGGCCCCAACATCCCGCCCATCCAGAGGGTCCCCAGAGACATCCCTGCCATGCTCCCTGCTGCTCGGCTTCCCACCACCGTCCTCAACGCCACAGCCAAAGCTGTTGCGGTGACCCTGCAGTCACACTGACCCCACCTGAAATTCTTGGCCAGTCCTCTTTCCCGCAGCTGCAGAGAGGAGGAAGACTATTAAAGGACAGTCCTGATGACATGTTTCGTAGATGGGGTTTGCAGCTGCCACTGAGCTGTAGCTGCGTAAGTACCTCCTTGATGCCTGTCGGCACTTCTGAAAGGCACAAGGCCAAGAACTCCTGGCCAGGACTGCAAGGCTCTGCAGCCAATGCAGAAAATGGGTCAGCTCCTTTGAGAACCCCTCCCCACCTACCCCTTCCTTCCTCTTTATCTCTCCCACATTGTCTTGCTAAATATAGACTTGGTAATTAAAATGTTGATTGAAGTCTGGAACTGCAGCGGCTGATCCAGTGGTCCTCCCTGTCATCCCGCTTCCTATATACTTTCCTACTCAGTCAACAGTGGTAATGTCATATGTTCCCTTCTTCATATCCTCACCCAGGCAAGATAAAGGTGGGACAGGCCAGACTACATAGAAGGCAGTGATTGAATATCACACCTGACCCATGAAGCGGCAGGGAGGCCTCAAGCACAAAAGCCATAAGCCTGATGGAACACTGCAGCCAGCTTGAGTCTGGGCTCAGCTGCTCTCTTGGGAAGCCAAGGAAGCAGTGACAATTGAACAAAACATCCCGACTTAAACCCCGTGTCAAAACAAGGATCTTCTGCACCTGGGCATTGTGTTGATAATTTTCCTGTGGAGCTCTTAATTGAAGCCAAATTTGGCTTTGCCTTGGTGGTACTGGGGCCAGCTCCTTTTAGTTTTTCTGTCTTTCCTCTTAAAACCAACCACCACTCCTAACATAGCACCATCCACCCCCACCACCTCTTTAATATGCTCCACTTAATAAGTTAATTCAGGTGGCTAAGAGTGGGAATAGGGCCTTTGACCTCCCTTCACTATATTGAATATTATATTTTATGTAAAATAATCATCTTAACACTAGTAAATCTGGGTCAGCAGCATCTATCCCTCCTAACAAAGGGACAAACAGAGGTGCCCTTCATTTGTCCTGCGTTACACAAGTGAGTCCCCCACCACCCTGGCCAGAGGACAAAGTTGAGACAGCACCGCCTGCACCGTGCAGTGTGGCTCAGCCGCCTTCACGTCCTCACCAGTGCTCCAGGGCCCTGGCCCTGGCACCTTCTTTGTATTGGCTGCCCCAGTCTCGCGGCACGGACACACCCTCAGATGTCAACAGTGCCCTGCGTACCTGAGAAGGTGTGGCACCAGGACCTTGCATCTATCTGAGGCTCCCCTGCCCTAGGGACCCTATGGGGTACCCTTCTCCCCAGCAGCTCAAGCTGGCTCTGCCCAGCCGTGGCCCCTGGGGCCTCCCTGATGAGGCCGCCATCTTGGCGAGGAGCAAGCGGGGAAGTCCCCATGGGCCGGGATCACCACGCACGCTGCGCCTCGAGTCACGGGGGCGGGAGCGAGGCGCGGCGCGGATGAAAGGGCCCTGGGGCCTTCCAAATAGGAGGGAACAGTGCCCTGGATTCCGGCGGGGGTATGGACCTTAGGAACGGGGAAGGATGGAAGAATGGGCAGAAGCAGCAGTAACCGTGCCCAACGCCATCTCCACGGGGCGTGCCTCCATTCCGCTCCCCGTCAGCCCTACCCACTCAGCCCTGCCGCCTGCCGCCTGCCAGTTGGCTGACCCCACTCCCAAGGGAAGAGCGGCCTATCGCTCCCAGCTCCTTGCCCCGAACCACCCAGTGTACGCGAACCTCGCGGGCCGGCGTGGCCTTGGCCGGGCAGGGGGCGGGGCGAGCGCCGGTGACGCGGCCGTTGCCATGGGAACTCGCCGCCCGCTCGCTCTCTGGAGCTGGAGCCGGAGCTGCCGCCAGCCGCCCGCCTCAGGCTCTCTCTGCCAGCCGTGCGGCCAGGCCCGCGGGGTGGTCGGGGGGAGCCGGGCGGCAGAGAAGGAGGGAGCGGGTACGGCCTCCTAGCCGAGACCGGTAAGCCGAAGCCCTTGAGCCGCTCGCTGCCGCTGCCGCCGCCGCCGCCGCGACCGCGAGGGACAAGGACAAGCGCCGAGCAGCGCCTGCCCAACCCCCGGAACGCGCACCCGCCCCAACGCCCAGACACGGACCGTGCGGGCCGCCCCCGCCCCAGCGCCGCCCCACTTCAGCCCGGCCCGCGCCCTGGACGCCTCCGCACCTCTGGCCGGCTCCGGCTCAGTCCCGGTAGCTCTTCTCCGCCCCCGCCGCAGCCTCCGCCGCAGCCGCAGCCTCCGCCACAGCCGCCGCCTCCACCCCCGGCCCCACTCCGCCCGCGACCCCTGCCGGGGCCCCGACCCCGGCCCTATCCCCGGCCCCGCCCGCGGCCCCACCAACCTCCGTTCCGGCCCCGTACCCGGAGGCCCAGCCGTGGGCACGATGCTGCCCAGCTCCATCCAGATTTCGGGGGAGCCGCTGTCCGGCGCCGAGGTGCGGGACATCTGCCGCGGCCTTCGCGACAACGCCGTGCGCCTGCTCTCACTGCGCGGCTGCCGCCTCTGCGACCGCGACTTTGGCCGCATCTGCCGGGCCCTGGCCGGGGCCACGTCCCTGGCGCAGCTCAACCTTAACCTGGGCGTCGTGTCCAGCCCCAGCCGCATCAAGCAGCTGGCTGAGGCTCTGCGGACCAACCGCTCCATCCAGTCCCTCTTGTGAGTGCGCCCCCTCGCAAGGGGGTCCCGGGCACTGCACCCTTCCATACACTCCCCTGGCACCTCCTGTTCCTCCACACTCCTTCCAGTACCATCCTACCTTCACATGCCTTATGCACATACACCGTGCCTCGGCCCATGCCTTCACAGCACCCTCCAAGCACATGCTTGGACTTTGCACGCGCGACCCTAGCCGTGTTGGGATACCCACCAGTTCCTGACATGAGGTGGGGGCCGTACCTCCCCACCTAATCATCTGCATTTACTTCACTGGGGCAGCTCCTTGGTTCCCAAGGGGGAATATCCCCGTGGGGACGAGAGCCCTGCCCACTGCAGAGTTCCGGTCCACCACCCACCCACCCCTTCTCTGCCCCTCCCTGTGCAATGTCCTGGATCCCTGCCCCAGAAAACAAACCGAATTCTCCCTCTATCTGTATTCCCTGAGAATCTAGAACTTTCCTTCTCCTTTTCCAGGCCTCTCAAGCGCTGTGACTGCCCTCCCCATACCTAGGGCTGACAGAAGTGAAAGTGCCCCTTTCCCATGTAGATAGTGCGGAGGACTGCAGTAACCCTGCTCTCTCACTCTCCTCCAGCCTGCATGGGAGCCCCCTGACAGATGCGGGGCTGGCCTTGCTGAACCCAGCCCTGGCCCTCCACCCTGCCCTCGTGGCTCTGGACCTGGGGGACTGCATGCTGGGTGATGAAGCCATCAACCTCATCTGTGGCCTCCTGCCCCCAGATGGGGCCAAATCTGGTGAGCAGGACCCTGTTGAGGGCTTGGGCTAGTGTGGCAGTGATGAAAATCGAAATGCAGAGGGAAGGGGGTGTGGCCCCAGAGCTCTGATGATGTGGGCGAGAACATCTTTCTACTCCTCTCAGGAAGGGGCAGGACGGGGGGCAGCATGGAGACTCAGGAATCCAGGCTGGGGCAGGCAGAGGAAGCATGGGCCTCCTTAATGGCTCTTGACCTCTATGGTGGGGGTAAGGTGGTGCCCAGCCACTAGGGACACCCCAGAGACACAGGGATTGTGGGGAAGGGCTGGAGGAGGGCTTAACCCTCCCTATTCTGGTTTCTTGCTATGATGCTGCCCAGGCTTGAAGGAGCTAACGCTGAGTGCCAACCCTGGCATCACCCCTAAGGGCTGGAGCCGCCTTGCCATTGCCGTGGCCCACAGCTCCCAGGTCCGCGTCCTCAATCTGGATTACAACCCCCTGGGTGAGGCTCAAGAATACCCCCTTGGGCTGTCACTGCCTCATGCCCTATCCAAGAGCCTGGGACCATCAGTTGACATGGTAACCCGTACACTGGGAGAGGGAAGAGAAACGGGAGCCCCCAGGGGTCAAGGAGATAGCTTTGTGGCGGACCAGGTGACCAACAAATAGATCAAAACATCAGTCACCACCCGTGGGCCTAACTTGCTTCGTGCCTTCACTCACCAATCACAATGATCCCTTCCTGACCACCACCAATTGTCCATGTTTCCTTGGCCAGGGATTAGTATCTAAAGTTGTTAAGGCAATGGGGAAGCTATCTGTAAGGATTAGCAGGCATGTGTATGAATGTGTGCACGTGTGTTGTCTCCCCAGGTGACCATGTGGCAGGAATGCTGGCTGTAGCTGTGGCCTCTAGTCGTACCCTAGAGGTCCTAGACTTGGAGGGCACAGGGCTCACCAACCAGTCAGCTCAGGTGGGAAGTCGTCATGTTTGGGCACGGCCAGGGGATGGGGTGGAGGTTAGTTTATGTGTCTGATGACATACCTAAGGCATGGCAGGTTGAGGTCTGAGGACCTGCCTTAACTGTGTTCATCCTTTTCCATATTCTTCCCCACTTCAGACCCTGCTGGACATGGTAGAAAATTACCCCACAGCTTTGCGGAGCCTGGTGTTGGCTGAGAACAGCATTAGCCCAGAGCTGCAGCAACAGATCTGTGACCTCCTCTCTGAGGGAGAGGAGGAGGAGGAAGTGGCAGGAGGGGCTGGCGACACCCAGGAATGGGAGAGAGGGCGGGAGCCTGCTGCCCACCAGAGAGGCAGCAGCTCCTGGATGTGCCCCAGCGGTAAGAACCCAGAGGGTTGATCAGAGCCAGGTCTGGAAGAGGCTCGGGACAAGGGAGAGTGGGTGTGCAGAACCTAGGCTCTCACCTATCTGTGGTCCCCATTGGAGGAAGGAATGGTGGTCTGAACACTTCTCTGCCCTTCCACAGATCCCAGCTCTCAGATGGTGCTAATGACGTCAGGACTAGGGGACAGTCTGTTGGCTGAGACCGAGATGTGACTCTCCACTGGGCCTCTGCACACCATTTCACTTATCTATGTCCCGAGCACCTTGCCCCAGATATCAGGGTCAGGCCCTGGGACTTGGGAGGGAACTGGGGTCAGGGGCTGCATGGGGGCTCTGGCAGCTCCTGGCAGTGTGGTGGGAAGGAAGCTCTGGAAGCTGTGACTGAGCAACAGCCTTGGGGGGCACTTGAACCCACGGCAATGCCTTTGAACTTGGCAGCTCTGGCTGCAACCCGCTGGCTCGGAAAAGATTTTATGAACTCCACAACCTGTCGTGTGGCTGTAGTCACTTGGGGCCGGCAGTAGGGGAGGAATTGGAACTACCAGTAAGCACCACTAGGGGGCAGTAGCATCGCACAGCCCAAGCTCTAAGCTGCGTGACCTGGTCCAGGATCTCAAAATAGGCCTGGCCAGGCCTAGAACCCAGGCCTCTGAGGCAACACCTTACACTAGCCCCATAAAGATATGGTCCCTGCCTCCGAGGGAAGACTCAGGAACCCTGCTAAGGTTACTTAAGGTGCCCCCTTTCCCGCTCCCTGATGCTCTGTGCCTAGGGAAACCCTAGGCAGAGTGGGGCGAGGGGGAGTCACTAGCCGACTAGGATGAGACTAGGACTGGGAATACTTATGAATGGGGAGAAAAGTGGGAGAGGGGAGGTCATTAAGACAAGTTAGGCCATACCAGTAAAATAGTTTTATTTGATTTTAAAATAGTCATCAATGTGAAAATTTCTCAAAGCTTAAGAGTAACAGTCTAGAGCCAAGGTTGGGAGTGGGGGCCAGGCCTCACACAGAGCCCAGCTTGAGGCCCCTGAGCCCCACCCTCCTTTCCAGAGGGAGGGAGGAGACAGCTGAGGGGGCCCTGAATCAGTCCTCTCCCTCGTCCCCAAGGCCAGCTGTGCCAGGCCCCTGGAGGGCAACAGCTCATGCGGAGGACTGGGGGGGGAAGCAAACAGGTAGGAAACGGAAATGAGGTTAACAATTACACCATCACCCCCAAAAAAAAACAAAATAACAAAACTTGTGACTATGAAAGGATGGAAGATGAATACTGATAAACTCCTCAGCTCCCCAGAAAAGCCCAGTCTGGGCTGGGTTGGGCTGATTGGAGGAAAGGTCTTGAGACCCAACTGCATGTTACCTCTGAAGAATAAATATTCTAAGAAAAAGGGAAAACCATGAGGCAAGCTGCTGCAGTCAGTCAACGCAGCTGACAGGCCTGGCATGGCCCACAACCTGACCCCATCCACACAGGAAACAGCTGTGCGGGTCTGGATAGAGGAGAGGTCAAGGGCTTGGACTGGGGACCCTGAGCTGCCAAGGTGTGGGGACTCCTTGCAGTCCTGGTGCAGCAATGGCAGGAAGGCCAGCAGGGGCCCTAGTTGAGCAGGTTGCCCTGCTCCTGGGCCTGGGTCAGGCTGTCCTTGCGGTGCAGGTGGTGAACCCCCATCCTCTTGGGGCTGCGCTGGGGGCGACTGGAGCTGGGGAGTGGCCAGGCCCTGCCCTCGGTGTGGGAAGTGCCTGGCCCCTCCTCTGTGCCCCTGTTAATGGGCAGCAGGCTCTGGCGCTCTTCCTCAGGACTGATAGGCAGGTTCAGCTCTTCTTCCTCCCTGGGAAAGCCAGAGTCAGGTTCTGTGGGTAGCAAAAGCTCACTCTCTTCGGGTCGGGCAGAAGGTGCCTGGACCACCTCATCTCTGTCAGCGGGGCTATGGGCAAAATGGCGCTGCAGCTCAGGGAGGGCATCGCGTCCAAAGGCTGTGCGCTGGGCCACAGCAGCAGGTGGTGGAGTACGGTCCACAAATGCCCGCTGCCAGCTGACCAGCAGGTCCTCTTCAGAGCTGGCAGAGCTAGCTGGGGCACTGAGTGTTAGGGGTGCTGGGCTGGGCTGGTGGTGGGGTGAGGCCTGGGCTGAGGCAGGGGTGCTGGGCACTGGGCTGGGGCGGGCCCGCTCACTCCCCTCCTCTACCAGGCTCAGGGAAATGGCCTGGCGGGTAGCGTAAGTGCAGTTGGGCAGGGGGCTGTTGCGGGGGATCCGAACCTTATCCTCAGAGAACTCTATTACCCTGCGGCCAGGATACAGTGGGTGTGGTGGAGACGGGGTTGGGTAGGGGTTCAGCTTCTCAAAGGCTGGCAGGGGCAGCTCTTCCTCCGGGGAGCCCCTGGCAGTACCCAGAGAGTGGCACTCCCCATTGGGTTGTGGGGTGGGGCTGCCAGGGGCCGGGGGACTGGCTGGATCACCTGGGACACCCTCACTCATGTCCACATGCACAAAGACATCCTCAGCCAAGGGGCGCCCGGCGCTGCCTGACTGGGCTGAATTGAGCAGTAGAGACTCCGGCTTCTCTAACACTCGGGCAATGACTGAGGTAGGCACCACAGCCCCTGGGGCTAGGCTGGGAGCAGGACCTGGGCTGGCGGCCTCTTGACCACTGTGCAAATGTTTCCGAACCATGTCCTGTAGCTCACAGGGCAGCTGAGGTAAAAGAGCAGGAAAGAGAGACATCAATGATCGCAGCCAAAGATAACTTGACTCATGGCGAAAGTAATGGCTCCCACCTTTAAGTACCTCTGTGTACTCAGCACTCTGCTATCTCCTGTTCTTACAGCATGCCAGTGTGTATACCCTCACTTCACAGACACATAGGCCTGGAGAGGGGAAGACAACTCAAAGCTTTGGTTAACTTGGCCAAGATTTAAACCCGGATCTGCTGCTGCAGCCAGCATGTTCTCAAACTTCTATCTCCCAGCTTCTGCCCAAACCATACTTAAGTTTGGAGAATCTGCATAGACCAGTAGCCTTAGAAATACCTCTACTTCTGGGCCGGGCACAGTGGCTCATGCCTGTAATCCCAGCACTTTGGGAGGCCGAGGCGGGTGGATCACGAGGTCAGGAGATCGAGACCATCCTGGCTAACACGATGAAACCCCATCTCTACTAAAAAGACAAAAAAATTAGCCAGGCGTGGTGGTGGGCGCCTATAATTCCAGCTACTTGGGAGGCTGAAGCAGGAGAATTGCTTGAAGCCGGGAGGCGGAGGTTGCAGTGAGCCGAGATTGTGCCACTGCACTCCAGCCTAGGTGACAGAGCAAGACTCCGTCTCAAAAAAAAAAAAAAAAAGAAATACCTCTACTTCTTCTACTTCTGCAGGCCACATAAACCTTGGGCCTGAAGCTGTGGGGTCTAGAGTTTACCCCTTGGGGTAACATGATCAGATGGGCCTAATCCTCTCTTAGTACTCTTTGGGCAGATAGCTCTGACTACCCTCTCCTTCCTGCCCAGGATCTTCTCTCTCTGTCTCTGTTACAGAAACCAACAGGGCTGGCCCCCCAGAACTAGTGATGGGCCCTGGACAGTACACGGGACACCAACCAGTGGCAGAGTTGACTGGCTTGAGAGGTGACATGGAGGCAAGAGGAGGGCAAAGTGGGAAGAGGAGGACAGAGAGAGGTGCAGAAACTGGAGTTAGAGGAGTCCTACAGTGGCCGGAATGGTCTATGTGGGCAGGGAGGGGGTGAGTTCTACTCACATCGGCAAACTTGTGGTTTCGGAAGTGGGACTTGTTGCACTTGAGGAGCTGTACAGCCAGGTTGCAGTCCAGCCGGTACCGCTCCTACAGACACAGACCTGTTTCAGAGCCCAGCCCAGCCCTCTCCAAGGAAGCAGGGCCGAGCCAGGACAAAGCTAGCCCCAGGTGAGGAAGGCCCGAGTAGTGAAGCGCACATACATTGAGCTCTTCCAGCTTGTTGATGGTGTTCTTGGCATCCAGCAGCTTGTTGGTCAGCTCCACAATCTCCCAGTCCAGCGTCTTCCTATCCATCTCAGCCTTCTTGATCTGAAGCACAGACTTGAGGTTAACCCAGCCCACACTCTAGCCAGCCCTTCCTCTCCCTCCACCTCCTCCCATCCTGGAGACACAAGAGGCCACAGGTGCTAGGGCAGCCAAGGCGGACAGAGCAGAGACAAATGACGGACAGACAGAAGGAGACTGGGCATCTCTCCCGCTCTCTGGACTGGCTGTGGGGTGGGGGCTTTCTTAGCATGACTTCCTGCCACCTGGGCCCAGGACACAGGCAGTATAAGAGCTGTCCATCCCCTGAGGTTCCAGGGGCTCTGGGCACCAGGCAAGGCAGCTGGTACCTCAACGGCAGTAACTGCAAACCAGGGGGCTGAAGCCTCCTATGTGTGCAGCTGTTTCCAGCATCAGGCTAGGAGAGGGAAGAGGAAGCAGGGCGCGGTGGCAGCCAGGGCACCTTGTTGAGCAGGGAGCAAGCTGCAGGCTCAAAAGTAGCCTTCTGATCTCCAGTTCAGGGACTGGATCTGCAGCCTCCCCTCCCCACTCCCACAGCCTGGGCTTGCTGCCACTGGAGCCAAGAAGCTTTGGGTGTTCAGTGGAGACATCAATCAGTACCTCTACCAGAGCCAAGGGCAGAGCAGGCTAGGCTCCCCACCTCTCTCCTGGGAGGGAGGCATTGACAGTTAAACGGGCCTCATACAGGGAAGAGAAAGGAGCGGGTGTACTCAAGGGGCACAGGGTAACAGCCAGGGCCCACAATCCCAGATCTCAGCTGAGGAGAAGGCCAGGGCAAGGGAGAAGACACACAAACTCAGACGCAACTGCAAAAATCCAGCTGTGGCTAAGAGAGGCCTGAGAGGAGAGTGCAGCAGCAACGGTGGCAGCATGAGGGGGAGACGAGGAAAGAAGAGAAACAGTGTGAGCATTAAGACAGTCTTGACTTGCAGAGCACACTGCAGTACCCCCACCACTGCCCCATCCCACCATCTCCCTCAAGCCCCAGGGCAGAGTGGCATTCCCCTGGCAAATCCTGGCCCCCTGCTATGCTATGAGCACAGTGCCCACCAAGCTGCCCTCCCAGACAGATTACCAGTGTGTGCAGCTTGTCCTCCAACTCCTGGTTGGTCCGCTGGGAAGCCGTGTAGCTGTTCTGCAGCCTGAAAAGGGATAATACAAGGCACATCCCTGGGTCAAGATCCTGTTCTTCAGGCTCTGTTCAGCCTCCCCGATAGGGGATCTTGAACATGTCATTCTCCCTCAAGAACTTCAGTTTTCTAATAGGAATTAGATGATCTCTAAGGCATCTTCCAGCTAACCTCCTATGAAAGGAGAGAGAGAGAGAGAGAGAGAGAGAGAGAGAGAGTGTGTGTGTGTGTGTGTGTGTGTGTGTGTCCCCGCATTCCCACACCTGCAGAACTTATCCAGTTTTCTAATAAGAATTAGATGATCTCTAAGGCATCTTCCAGCTAACCTCCTATGAAAGGAGAGAGAGAGAGAGAGAGAGAGAGAGAGTGTGTGTGTGTGTGTGTGTGTGTGTGTGTGTGTGTGGCCCCGCATTCCCACACCTGCAGAACTTATCCAGTTTTTTAATAGGAATTAGATGATCTCTAAGGCATCTTCCAGCTAACCTCCTATGAAAGGAGAGAGACAGAGACACAGAGAGAGAGAGAGACAGAGAGAGTGTGTGTGTGTGTGTGTGTGTGTGTGTGTGTGTGTGTGTGTGTGTGTGTGTCTGGCCCCTCATTCCCACACCTGCGGAACTTATCCTTAAATTTGTCCAGCTCCTCGCGGCTCTGGCCCAGCTCCAGCTCCAGGCAGTCCTGCCCAATTTCCAGCTCACGTTCCAGGGCCTCAGTGCGTCTGGTGGCGGAGGCCAGGCGCCGGCGAAGCTCTTCATTCTCCTCCTGTAAGAGCCTGGCAGGGTGTTGTGGGATCAAGGGCAGAGGGGTATGAGAGATAGAAGGGCATGCCCTGGAGCTCCAGAGTGGGCTCAGGAAGGAAGGGATGACATGAGGACAGGCAAACAGGACAGGGAAACTCCTGGAGTCTTAGTCTGAGTCTAAGGCAGCATATTTCATAGGCCTGCTGGCCCTGGGAACACAGCCTGGGTTGGAGGGTCAGGGGAGGAAGAGGGGATGGTAGGGGACAGTCCAGCCTCCCTTCACTATCGGAGAATAGAAATAAAGAATTGGGGGTAGGGATATGGCTCCCAGCCTGTCTCTGGTTACAGCCCATGTCAGCTGGCCACCAAGCCCCCAGCTCCAGTTTCCCCACTGCACAATCAGGCTTCTCCATTATTCATCTCTTGGAAATCCAGCCCAGCACTGCCCTCCTCTCCAGAGGCCTCATGTGGCTAAAGGGCTGTAAGGGTGGCAGCTGGTACAGGAGCCAGGAGCTGGGGAAGGGCTCCTTAGCAAGAAGAGCAGGGCCCTCAGAGCCATTCGCCTCCTGATTCTACGCTCTCTTGAAGCCCATGGAACAATAAAATCCCATTTTCCAGAAAAAATATCCACAACATCAACACTCCTCCCAGAGTCCCTAAAACAACCCATCCCAACCTTTATTTCTACCTAATCCAAGGGAAAGTCCAACTGTACCAACAGTCTAGCCTGGAGCTAAGAGGGACAGAGTTGAGGCAGGGCAGTATCTCAGGTAGCAGATACTCACTTCATCCTTTCTGCATCAGTCAGGGGTTCCTAGGCAAAAAAGAGAGGCTTGAGGCTCAGCTCTGGACCACTGGACCCCCGGCTGGCTCACCCTCCAAATAGCCACAAGAAGGCTCAGGTGTGAAGCCCAAAGACTCTTATAGCAGAAGAGGGCTGCAGGGCTCTCTACGGATGGAAGCAATTCAGTAATGCTGGGACAAGCCTCGACTACCCTCTCCCATGCCAACCAGAAGATTCAAGAACCTCTTCCAACCTTCACCCTTAATCCAATCCTAAAGCCATTTTCAAATAAGTCCTGGCACCCAAGCTACCTCTCCCCAGGGGCAGACAGCCTCTCAGCTGTTCACTCGGCTCCTGGTGGGTCCTGTATCCACAGAGGTATGGCAGAGACCTTCCAGAAAAGTCAGGCTGAACTATACACACGAGTTCTGAGCTCTGACAAAGCCCTCAGCCTTGAGATGAAGACAAAGGCAGAATCAGGCTCTTGCAGAGGCTCAGGAAGAACAAGTGCATGGGAGAAGAGGACTAATCCTGACTAAGGGGAGGAAGTGCCTTGTCTGTCTTTTAACCTCCTGCCCCATCTTCCCCAAACCCCTATGGCAGTCATGGCTCAAGAGTCAAGTTCAGCCAACCACAAAGCAGAGTAGGCCCCTGCTATCGCGAGAGGGAAACATCAAGGGGCCTATTCTATGTGGAACTGACTGCTTCAGAAGAGCAGCCTCTGGCAGAAAATGGAGGTAGGTGGCTTCCTTTGTCCATTGACTCTGACAACTGGATTTCACCCTATTCTACTGCATACTGATTATACAGCCTTCACCTCACCGAGCCTTAGTTCCCTCATTTATAAAACTGAGGTAATGCTCGCTGGGTAGCACCTAGCATAATAGCTGGCATCTTAATTTAATGTTCCCTGAACTGAAATGAGCAAGTCATGGCTTTTCTACCTTGAATCTGACCAAAGCAGGCTACAGTATGCCTGATGCTCAGCACATGCTGCGTCTCAGGTTCTTTAAATGTGCTCCACGCACTGTGACCAGATGGAGATATGGCTGCAAGGGCAGTAAACCACTGTGGCCCTCGTTTCTGCCTGTGAGTGAAGTTAATGGGGCAGGAGAGCCAATGTTTTGCAGCTGACTATAGGCCCCGAAGAGCAGAGTCCGGACCTAACAGTTCCTGGCAGGGAGTACATATTCAACAAATGTTAGCCAAACAAAGCAAAGCTGGAGGAAGGGCTGGACTTCCTGGGGACAATGAAGAGCAGCTGTGCTGGTGGGAAGTGGCTGTAGCACTGCCTCCTGATATGCCCCAAAGGGGCCACAGGTTGAATGGCTCTACTCCACTACGGAGGACCAGAGTCCCAACCACTAGCAGATTAGGACCCCTCAGTCTACTGGGCTGCCTCTTGCAGGGAGAATATCATATGGGATCATTTCTGCTAAGCTACAAAGACTCAGGGGTTCCCTGACATGTGGACATATACTCACAGACAGTCCCCCTTGAGCCTACATTACCCCCACCTGCACTACTGCGGCTAGGAGACCTCAGGCCTGCAACAGCAAGGCCCACTCTCACCCCAACTCAGGACCAGAAGCTCAGGCAGGAGAAGTCAGCCAGACACCCAGCCTCAGGGGCCTTGCCTCTGCCGGTCAGGCTGTGATACCAGTCTTGCTGACCTCCTGCTCAAGCCGGGATCCAGGAATTTCCAAACGCAGCTCCCGATGCTCTGGTGGTGCCTTACGGTAGGGTTTCTTAGCAGGGGCGGCACTAGTCATTCTGGGAGGTGACGGCTCCTCCGCCTGCTGAGAAGCAAGAAGGAGGCAGGCTCAGAGATGTGGCCAGAAGGACTCTGGACTGAGAAAAAACAAAGATGGTGAAAGGGGACATATGTTGAGGCCACCACATAGGCTGACAGGCCTGGGCCATTACTGGAGTCACTAGAGGGGCAGGACTTAGGTGTGTCAGTCCCCATAGGTCAAAGGAGTGCTGGAGGGTGGGGCATGGGTCCAACGGGGAACAGATGGGTGGGAAAGGCAGGGCCTAGGGCCTGAACACCTAGGTTCTAAGAGTGGGACAGGGAGCTTCAAAGCAGCCCACCACCCTCCTTACCACTCTCCTTTGTGGGCTCTGAAGGCCTCAGAAGGTAAAACTGCTCTCTATGCATTAGTTTTCTCAACTCTAAATTAGCGATAAAACAGCATCAATTTCTTTTTTTCTTTTCTTTTTTGAGACAGGGTCTTGCTCTGTTGCCCAGGCTGGAGTGTAGTGGCGCAATCTTGGCTCACTGCAGCCTCGACCTCCTGGGCTCAAGTAATCCTCCTGCCTCAGCCTTCTGTGTAGCTCGGACCACAAGCATGTGCCACTGCACCTGGCTATTTTTTGTACACAGCGTCTCACTTTGTTGCCCAGGCTCAAACTCTCAAGCTCAAGCAATCCCTCTGTCTTGGCCTTCCAAAGTGCTGGGATTATAGGTGTGAGCTACTGATTCCAGTTAAGAATAGCACCAATTCATAGGGTTGTTGGGAAGATGATGTAAAACACTTAGGAAATGTTGAATAAATGTTAGTTTAAAAAAAATCATAACCAAAAATGTGAGTTTGGGGATACAATCCAGGATCCCCAGTGGGAGTCTCAAGGCCCAAGAGAGCTCTCTGGCCTCAGCCACTGATGACCAAACCCCTGTGGCCTCCACCACTCTTTTCACCAGCCCCCGCCGAGAGAGAACACTTGGCTGCCCCCTCACCTGCCCCTCCCCAGAAGAGAGCCAGGCTGAGGGCACAGGCCTCATCAGGGACATACCGTCTGTTTGTCGGCAGCTCTCTCTGTTCCGCTGTCCGGGAGTTAGCCCTCGGCTCTCCGCATCCCACGGCCCCTCCACTTCCTTTAGCCACAGCTCCTGAAACCAGAGAAGGGAAGAAAGTGGAAACCAGGTGTCAGCCGCCTGTCTGTCAGTGCTACAGGCCTGCTGCCCAGTCTGGGACCTGGAAGGCCCCCCAGGGAGAACCACGGCAGGAAGGCCATGAAACAGAGGGCCTGAGGGGAAAGCGGCTGGAGGCAGATGACTGGAAGCACTGGGTTCCTGCCTTTCTCCATGACAGTACTGTCACAGGCCCAGATGAGATACATGTGTCTGTGTGTTCATGGTCTCAGCACATTGCCCAATTCTGGAATAGGTCCGGTTCCGTCCTGTCCCTACTCCACATCGGTCCTCATCTCCCAAGCCTCTCAGAGTTTGGAAACAACTAAGAGATTTGGGGAACATGGGTTACAAATGAGAACACCAGGAAAAAGCCTCACAGAGATCCAAGAAGATAGAGAAAATGATGGAAAGAGAGCACCTAGCATTTCCAGAAGGAGGCCCAAGGCTATTTGGTGTATAATGATGGTCACCGGCCTTTGCAATGAGGAGGCATAGGGCTAGGAGAAGAAATCTGAAAAGGGAGCAACACAGAGCAGTAGCTCTCAACCAGGCAACTCTGTCCACCCTCCTTCCCCAGGGACGTCTGGCGCCCACTCTCCTTCCCCAGGGACGTCTGGCAAGTGTCTGGAGACATTTTTGGTTGTCGAAACCTGGAGGGAAGGAGTGCCACTGGCACCTAGTGGGTAGAAGCCGGGGATGCTTTGGTCATCCCACAACCATAGGGCAACTCCCACCACAAATGATTCCCAATAGAAAATATCCAGAGTGCCAAGGCTGAGGAACACTCGTGAAGAAAACCCCAGTCGGGGGAGTTGGAGACACCTGGGCTCCAGGCTCAGCACTGACACTGTGGGGCCCTGTGTAATGCCCTTCCTCACTGGATAGCTCAGTTCCTTATCTACACAGAGGTGGCTGGACTGAGTGACCTGTGAGAGCCCCTCCGGCCTCCTGAGGTTCAGAGATGGGTGCACACCCCTCCCTGGCCCCCACCTGTAATTAGCTGGGTTGCAGCACGGGGGCAGCAGCCACCAGTGATCAGGCAGTAACCTCAGGTGGCCTTCTGGGCAGAAAAAACAATCTCTTCCCGCCCCCATCAACCTAAACAGAGCTGGAGGTTGAGGGAAGCCTTGCGGGCTAAAGCATGTGTTCCCACTGTCGGGACATGCCCTGGCCATGACTCCTGTCACATTCCAACAGGGCCCGGGGCAGGGAGAATGGTGAGAGGGTAGGGAGGGTGGGGAAGCAGGAGTGGTCTCCCTCCTCTGTCTGGACAGCCTGGGCCCTGGTTTGGGGTTCGGTGGGGAGCTGAGGTGCGGCAGCACAGGCACGGCCGCCAGCCTCCTCCCCCTGACAGGAGGCAGAACGTGTCCCCACAGGGCACATGCAACATGCTGTGTCGGCTGACTCCCTGCACAGGAATCCGGGTGGGCGGGCCTGAAAGGACGGCACATTCCCGGGGTGTGGGGAGCAAACAAGTTACCCCAACAGGTTCCTTGGGGCTGCCCCTCCAGAGGAGCCCGGGGTGGGTGCTCCTATGGCCTGAGGGAGAGGCCTAGAAAGTCCTAAACCCACCTGGGTATGTGGATTCTGATACTCAGAGGGTAAATGTGTGGGGTGCGTGAGTTGGAAAACAGGGTATGGCCAGAGATGGAAGAGTGAGAGATGCGAGCAGTCAAGAGCTTCTACAAAGTAAAGGGGCAGCTCAGAGAGTTGGTCTCTGCCTTTCCCCTTCTCTACAGAGGGTCCAGGTCCCAGCTCCCTTCCCCCATGTGCTCCCCAGTCATCTCAGGAAGCCCTTTCTCTCTGCAGGCCCCTTTGTGTGCCCCTCCTCTATTCCTCTGTACTCCCTTGTCCCTATTCCTGGCAAGGCCTGTGCTGTCCTCTTGGTACCGAAACACCTGCATGAACGGCAGGCAGGCAGGGAGGACACAAACGCACTTGGGTGTCCAGCAATCCTGTAGGGAAGGCTGCTTCACTCCACACCCTGCAGCCCTGGCTCTAGTTGCCACACATCCTCTAGCTCCTCCTGCCTCACCCTGACCTCAAGCCCCACTCCCTGGCCCTACAGCATGTATTTATCCCCAGGGCTTCCATGGCCAGAGGCGATCTGGCTTGCTAGGCAAGGAGTATCCTGAGAAGGTAGCTGGCAGTGGGACAGGCAGTAAATGCAGACAGACTCTCTGGGGATGGGGGTGGTTGTGATGGGAGGTTATTCTCTCTGCCAGAGCCTATTCTTTCCACGCATGTCAGAGTTACAGGTATGGGAAACCACTCCCAACTAAGGAAGCAGAAGGCAATGCCCACTGGGAAGACAATCCACCAGGGGGCCCATGGTGTTCCTCAACACCAGGCTGCGAGGGAGATGTGTACCAACCACTTCCTGCCCTGTGTCCATAAACACAGGGTGTGCCCAACACCCAGGCCCTAGCTCCAACTTCTGAAATCTGCTGAGTGCCCCAGATCCAGCCCATTAGGGGCCCACAGTTCCAGCAATGAACAGGAATACAACGGGCCTGGCAGCCCACAGTCCTTGACTGGAGGCAAGGAAGGTGTGCAGGGAAAGTCCGGACAGACCCAAGGAGGACAGTGATGCATGGTGCAGTGGATAACAAAGAGAGAAGCATCGGGACACTTGGCCTGCAAGCTGGGAGAAGGTAAAGGGGTGAGGCAGATGGCATCAGAGTGGTCCCTCCAGGAAGACCCAGCTACCAGGTGCAGCCTCCCCTGGCCACATCTCCTTCACCCAAAGGTTTCCCAAGTTGCCTTGGAGTGTTTCAGCCCAAGGAGGACTCCCAATCCCATGTGGGGAAGAAAAGGTCCCTAAGGAGAGCAGCTGGACAGCTCAGAATGGGCCATGGCCCATGATGAGCAAGCGGCAGCCAAGGACAGCCTCTGGGGCCTCCTGGCCTCTGGATGCTGAGCTGGCTCCAGGGCACCTCCCAGAAAATGGTCTTCTGGAGGAAGATCAGGAAATCAACAGAGCTGGCCCAACATGGTGGCTCACGCCTGTAATCCCAGCACTGTGGGAGGCCAAGGCAGGCGGATCACTTGAGGTCAGGAGTTCGAGAGCTGCCTGGCCAACATGGTGAAACCCTGTCTCTACAAAAATTGAACCCAGGAGGTGGAGATTGCAGTGAGTCCAGATCGCGCCACTACACTCCAGCCTGGGAGACAGAGACTCCGTCTCAAAAAAAAAAAAAAAAAAAAAGGAAATCAACAAGGAAGAATCCCACTCCCACCCCCACCCCAAACTAAACCTAAGCCTTGAGGAACTGAGGGCAGATGACTCAGGATGTTGGACTACCAGATAACGTGCTGGGTCTGTTCTGTAAGAACAGCTATGCCCTGGGAGAAAGGTTGAGGCCTAGGTTAAAACCTCTCGCTGACCTAGCGTGGCCTGGGGCTTCTTGGGCTGGACCTGCAGGCAGTGTTGAGGGAGACACCCAGAGTAGCAGCAACCCTTCCCCATCCCATGAAGGTGAAGTGAGAAGGAAAAGGGACTCTCCTCAACCCTCCCTGCCCCTGCTGCATCCTACCCCATCCAACCCCAGCTTCTGCCATGCTCTGCATAGCATTCATTCTTTGCTTACTCAAAAATCAGTTCAAAGGAAAGACTCTACTTCATATCTGCTGGGGTGGAGAGAGGGGTGATAGCTTCCTAATTGCCATGTTGCAATTTGCCAGTCGGTGCAGGCCGCCTGTTGCCGCCTGCCCTGTATTAAATACCTTCTCCCTGATTACAGCCCATGGGGCATGATTAGCTGCCTTCAGAGAACAAAGTCTACTTTCATTAGAAATGGGACTCGGCACGCACAGCAGAGCTGCACTGTGAACCCTCTGAACAGCTGAGCAGAGTGTAGACAGAATAGGTGTAAGGCATGATCTGTACCAGAAGCTGGCTGAGCAGTGTCCTTTAATAAAAGGAAAAAAATTTGCCAAGCATCACTCTTTAACCAGGAGGTGGGACTTATACCTGCTCCCTTTTGTGGGTACGCATATTTGATCAGGGGCTTCCACCGTGGTGGAAGATTGCTGTTGCTAGAGACAGAGTGGTATGAGAGAGAAATCTCTTCAGAATCCTGCTGCTCCCCAATATACTATCTTACCGTTCCCAGCAAGCACCCATAGGAGCAACAGCAAAAAGTTTCCAGCCCAAGAGCCAAAGATGCCGTCCCACTTCCCTTCTGCCATCCTTTCCGGGGTTCTGCCTAAAGCTCAGGCAAAGTCAGAGATGCAGAAGAGGAAAGGAGGTTCAAGCATCCATCCTTCTCCCAGCTGAGGCTGAGGCCATCCCTTCAACACCAGCCCAGGAGAGGGAGACAGGAATCCAGACTGGATATGGTTCTTTGGCTTTTCCAACTTCAGCCTTCCCCACCAAACATCTCCAGCTCCCCACGTTCTGCACTACTACCTCACTCCACAACTCTCCTGATCCTGGAGCAGCTAGCTTGCCCTAGAGAGCAACTACCTCCCTACTCTCCACATCACCAATACCTACTTCAGGTAATTGTGGCCCCATCAGTTTATCTGGGTTCAGATAATTTCTGAACCTACTACGAAGCCTTTCTGCTCTCAGCTGTCAATGAATCAAGCAAGTGAGAGACCTTAAGGAGTCAATGAACACAACCTTCTGAATCAGGAAGGGCCCACACATTACCATGAAAATCATCCAAGCTCTTCTTCATAATTCAACCAAGCAAAGTCAAACGGAAGTTAGTAATCGCTACTGCTTTTAAAATGAAAGGAACACCCAGCCGTTTCAGAATACACCAGCTGTGTTGTATGCCACCTTAATTCCCTTGGAACCCAGCAGGGTATAAATAAATAATAATAAATACAAGCCCTTCCTAAAGCCCCTCATCAACCACTAAAACACAAATGTCTGATCACACAGGGACTGGGGCCTCCCCCTCAGGAACTGTCCTGAGCTGTAAGTGCTGGATGTGGAGTCTCTGAAGTCTGCAAGCCTGTGGGAAGCTGTGCCCCAGTGGGGGTCAGCTACACTCCCGCCACACAAGTCTGGCCGCTTCTCAAGCCTCTGAAATCCAGTCTCTGCCCCCAACTGATGTCTAAGGAACACAAATGGTCACCCTGCAAGCGTAAGCCCTGGAACCAGGTGACCTGGCCTTGGTCCTGGGGATTGCTCATGAAGATCCCCACTCCTTGCACCATTAATACAGCCCCTCTCCCACTGACTCCCCATGAATAGCAGTCCCCCAGAGCAGTGGGCTGATCCCACCAAAACTGGGTTCGGCCTCGCCCACATCGTCTCCGGGGTACCCCTCCTGCTTGCCACCAGCCCCCAGTTTCCGGCATGCAGCTGTTCCTGAGATACATGAGTAAAGCCTTCAGCAATCCCGGGCGCGTGGCAGGCAGGCAGCCAACAGCTCATAGGGTGGGGACTGGGCAGAGGTTCTGCTCTGGGCTGAAGACAAGGCTAGAAGATGTCAGTCTGTGCCCAGACCAGCCCTGCTGCCCCTCCAACAGCTATGCCCGCCACCCCTCTGGGCAAGTACAACCTCACCCTCTTGGGACAAGTTGCCTGCAGCCCTGACCTGGCCCCCTGCCTACTCTAAACCAAACAGATTGACAGGGTTTTGAAAGCCAAAAAGAGTGGGAATTATTCTGCCCCAAAGCAATCCTGAGGACTCAGAACAGTGCTGGTGACCTGTGAGAGCTCATCTGGCTCCCACATGAGCAAACACTTCCAAGTCTATCCACCTGGCCTCACATCCAGACAAACACTTCACAGGAACAAGGGGCTAAAGAGCCAGGCAAACCAACCCCTCCCTGCAAAAAAAGAGGGCAAGAAATCCCCAAGGTCATAGCCTGCATTTGACATTAGACCCCATGCCCTCTCCTAAGAAAGGCCAAAGTGAAGGACCGGCCCTCAACCAGGCCTCAACTCCAGGCCCTTTTGCTTTCCTGGTCAGAGCCAAGTCAAGAAAGCCTCCAGCTTGTTAACTCCCCATTTGGGGTCCCTAAACATCTCTGCATTACTGCTAGTCCCCATGAATAATATATAGTACTATAAATGTTTATTTGTACATAGTACACTCATATATAATACATTATAAGCTCAATCCACATGCATATAAATAGGTATTGTTTATTCCTTAATCAACTATCATACATTCACTATTATTAATCATATAATAAAATTCATTTCCACATGGATATTGATCAGTACTATAAATCCTTAATATTGCATAGTACATATATTCATTTATTGGACGTAGTGCATTTTCATCAAGATATTTCTCATCGGGCCAGGCACAGTGGCTCATACCTGTAATCCCAACACTTTGGGAGGCCAAGGCGGGCAGATCACCTGAGGTCGGGAGTTCGAGACCAGCCTGACTAACATGGAGAAACCCCGTCTCTACTAAAAATACAAAATGAGCCGGGCGTGGTGGCGCATGCCTGTAATCCCAGCTACTCGGGAGGCTGAGGTAAGAGAATCGCTTAAACCTGGGAGGCGGAGGTTGCAGAAAGCCGAGATCGTGCCATTGCACTCCAGCCTGGGCAACAAGAGCGAAACTCTGTCTCAAAAAAAACCCAAAAAAACAAACAGATATTTCTGGTCAACATGGATATCCCCCACCAACTTTGGTCTCTTAATCTATCAACCTCCGAGAAATCATCATCCCGCTCAGGAGTGCTATCCTCCTCGCTCCGGGCCCATAACACACCCTCTCCCATTTACAAGCTCCCACCCAGTGCTGGTAGGCTGCTGCCTTCTCTCACCCAGCCCAAGGGGAACAGAATCCACTTAGGCAGCCTTCTGTTCTCAAGCTCCCCCTGTCCAGCCTCCCTAGCACCACACTGCCTCCGGAAGCCGAAGCCACAGTCTATCTAGAGTGACCTGTGTGGAACACCAGGAAACAACAGGCAATCAACTTTCTCATGATCTCCAGACCCGCCTCTCCTTCCCAAGCCTGGAGGGAGAAGGGACTGCGTGGGAGCTTCTCCAAGCCAGGCTGCACGCACCCATCTCCCAGTCTGAGGCCAGGACTTTTTCTGAGCCCAGTGTGGAATCCGAAGCCAGGTCCTGCCCCCACTCTACTGAGGCACCCTTCCCAGCTTTTCATGGCTAAAGTCCACCAGAAACTCCGGATGTGAAAAGAGGTGGGGGGGACAAACTTCACCTCCCAGAGCAACGGTCACCAATGGGAGTGACATCTCACATGGGTCCCTGGTTTGGGGCCCCAGCATTCAGTTTAAGTAGCTTCACTTTTCTGCCCAGGGAATTCCCCAGAACCAGGTCAAGGTTTTCCTCTACCTCCCCAATCCTAAAGAGAACCTTGCAGCTGATCCTAACTTCTTATCCTAGGGTGAGAGTAACAGGGACACTATCCAACCTTCCCTTCTTGATAAAGGGAGGAAATGATCTGATCTAGGAGAAAAGTCCCTTCCCACTCTAGTTCATCTGTCTCTGAGGCATGAGAAGCAGCAGCAGCATGGTAATTGAGGGATCTTCTCAAACTCTGTGCTAAAAGCACAGATTCAACAGAAACTCGAACCAATTCTGTATGAAGGGAGAAGTGAAGAGCACGCTGCTGACTCGGGGAAGGGTGACGGTGGGGGGTGGTCAGTGGAGCCCAGCAGCAGGCTGGTGATGGGCAGGTGGCCGTGAAGGGGGCACATCCCCACCCACAGCAAAGGGAGACTGGGAAAATAGAGGGACGCAGTAGTAAGAACAAGAGAGCAGAGGAGATGGCGTGATATAAGCTAAGGAGGGAGGCAGCCAGGCTGCGGGGAAGGATGGAGGACAGAGGCCCTGCTGGTGGCACCCCAGGGCAGGTTAGCTGGCTGAGGTCAGACTCACAGGGTTAGTGTCTTCTCCCCAACCAGCCAGCTCTCCTGGTTAGTGCAGTTAGCGACAGACTCATGGCAGATGCCCTCCAGGCACTCCATATAAACAGACAGCTTGGTTTGTGAGCAGCCCAACTCCGGAGCTGCAGAGAGAAAGCAGAGGAATGGCAAGCTGCAGGATGCCCAAGGGGACACACTGCACACTGCACTCTCCTGATGGGAAGCATCGCAGACTTACCACCAGACCCTCAGGGGCTTTCTCCCATCCGGAAACCATGCCAGATGGAAGCCAAGCACTCCCCCTGCCAACCAGGGAGGCCAGCTTGCTGACCTCAGGCAAAAAGCCTCTCTGGTTGGTCAACAGAAAGAGAGGACGGCTGTTGGAGAAGGGGCTCAGCTCCTCTATCTCGCCTGTTCCCCAAACACTGCTGCCAGGCTGCACCAGGACTCTGAAAGCTAGGCTGTAAGAACAAAGCCACCCACAGCTGCAGCTGCAACCCATCCCGCACCAGTGCCAGCAGAGTCCATCCCACCACCTCCCACAGGCTCTGAGGGGCTGGGAGAGAAGCAGCCCAAGGATTAGAGGCTATGACAAGGGCTGCGTCGGAAAGCACAGTACAATGGGGCAGTGTGTGCCTGGCCTACAGCTGGGCCAGTCAACAGCACGGGCTGCACACTGCCGCCTGGCCAGGGGTGGCACTTCCCAGGGAACCAGCCCCAGAGGAGCAACAGGGACTATTCTCCCCTCTCAGAACAAGCAACACGAGCAACAGAGCAAGAAGCTCTCCCATCAACGGCAGAAACAACTCTTCCATGAAGCCTCCAGACCACCCTGGGGGAAGTGACACCTCTAGCTCACAGACTGCAAGGCAAATGAGGCAAAAGCAGTGGCATTCCAGAGACCCCACAAGATGTGTCCCCTGGGGCGGGAGGACAGGACTGCAACACATATATCCACACCCACTGATGCTTAGCAGAGGGTAAGATGTTGGCAGGGAAAAGACAAGAGAGGGGTCCTCTCTCCTGTTCTAGGAAGCCCTGCAGGCTCTCTGATGACTCAGGGCAAAAAGGGAAGAGTCACCACCCTGGCCACAGAGGTGGGCCTGGCCTTTTCCCAAGCCTAGGATCAAGATTCACGCAGACAGGAAACACTTCCAATAATTGCCTACACACTGGGCTCCCCATGTTGCTCTGACTACAGCCCAAGAGCTCAAATAGGCCAAGGCCTGACTATGAAGATGAGACAACTGTCTAGAAAAAAAAGACAACAACTCTTCCGACAGGCCCTGACCCCTGCTCTAGACTGAGCACAGCCACTGACAGGTGACCTTCAGAATCCTCACCCACAAGAAAACAAAAACACCAACTGGGTCTGGTGTGCTTTTAAAAGAGCAGCAAGTGACATGGCTAATTCAAGGTTTCAGAAATCAGGGACTCTCACTGCACTAATATAGGATTTGAGAAATCAGATAATTTTTCTCTTTTCCAAGGCAAAAATGAAATGAGTGAAGGGGAGAGACACAGGTGAGATGGGAGTGCCAATGCCCACATCGCTGTTATATCCATCCTGATTCCCACTCAAGGACACTCCTGCCAATTTCATCTCAGAATAAAAAAATGTCCCTCAGAGACAGCCAGGGTGCCTGCTGTGGCAAGACCCTCTAGTAAAACTTCTCCATCCCTCCCAGGGAGCCAGCCCCAGAGGAACTCACTCGACTGGGAAGGAGGCTGTAACCAGGCTCCTCAGCGGCTCCAACAGGGACCATTCCACTCCTTGGTCACTTAAGTCAACAAAGAAAGCTGAAGAAGAGTCTGTATTAATATTGAGTTTTGGTGAGGAATGTCTAGACGTATAAAAAAAGCTATTAGAGGCCAGGTGCAGTGGCTCATGCCTGTAATCCCAGCACTTTGGGAAGCTGAGGCAGGCGGATCACCTGAGGTCAGGAATTCAAGACCAGCCTGGCCAACATGGTGAAACCCCCGTCTCTACTAAAAATACAAAAAATTAGCTGGGCGTGTTGGCTGGCGCCTATAATCCCAGCTACTCGGGAGGCTGAGGCAGGAGAATCGCTTGAACCTGGGAGGTGGAGGTTGCAGTGAGCCGAGATGGCACCATTGCACTCCAGCCTGGGTGACAAGAGCGAAACTCCATCTCAAAAAAAAAAAAAAAACTACTAGAAGGGTACAAGATAAATGGCGAACAGTGGTTCCCTATCTTTGGGGAAACAAGTTAGGCAGGAACAATGGGAGAAGAAAGGGAGGATCTTCTTACTTTTTATTTTGTATACTTTTCTGTATGGTTAGCATTTTACACAAGGGATGTATGTTTATGGTGAAACCAACAGTTCCTAGGCAAACAGACAAAAACCCTGCATCTACACTGTGCTTTATCATCCCAGAAGCTCTTTCCCTTCCATGATATTTCCTTTGATGCTTATGGTCCAGTGAGGCACAAAGAATAGGGAGCTCTCCCATTGTGAGGGTCAGAAAGCACAAGTGATTTGCCCAAGACCACAAGCAGAAGTGGGACATAACCCAGTTCCCCTGTCTCCAATACCAGTGCAAAGCCTGGAAAGCTCTTTTCCAGGAAGCCACAGGAATACCAGGACAATTCTGCCCTAATATCAAGACCCTCAAAGACTTCTGAGATTCAGTTCCCTACTTGGGCTACCTGTGAAGGTATAAAGAGGCCAACCACCGCTTGGTACCCAAAATGATAAGCAGAGTTTTATCCTATTGGTTAGCTGAGTAGAAGTCCAGGGTTTTGGGGTCTAGGATGGCTTCTCCGTAGGCGGATCCTCCTCTCAAGGGATGGTATTGAGTTCCCCACCACAGCACAGAAGCTTCTCACAAAGAGGGGCCATGTCCTTTATAAATTCTAAATGTCACCTAGCACACAATTGGCACAAGATAGTAACTAACAAAGAAGAGGTCCCACCCTTCTACTCAGGACCAGTCAAGGAGACTTAGTCCCCTTGAAGCCTAAGATATCCAACACAATCCAGTCTGGCTGGCTCACTCAACCCCCTCTCTGCTTAACATAAAACGCAGTTTATTACTTCCCGCAAGTTGCCATCTGCAAAGATATGCCACAACGCAATGCACATTCTCACACCCAGGGACAAGGGAGAGAACCCAGGGAAAACTCCTTCAGTCCATTTTTAGCTATTGGTTTCATCCTTTTGATTTATCTGGGCATTAACAAGGTTGTATTAAGCTCTGGCTGTGAGCACTGAGTACGCCTAGATGGGACTAGAGATAGGACCAGAAAAGCAAGCAGGTTACAGTGGGCAATAGAAAGGGCAGCATAGAGAATTACAAAGGAGCAGCCAGCAGCCAAAGACCTTTCTAGGGATGCTAATTAGGCAAAAAAAAATAGCTACTGGAGCCGGGCATGGTGGCTAACACCTGTAATCCCAGCACTTTGGGAGGCTGAGGCCGGTGGATCACCTGAGGTCAGGAGTTTGAGACCAGCCTGACCAACAAGGTGAAACCCCATCTCTACTAAAAACACAAAAATTAGCCGGGCATGGTGGCAGGCACCTGTAGTCCCAGCTACTCGGGAGGCTGGGACAGGAGAATTGCTTAAACCCAGGAGGCAGAGGTTGCAGTGAGCAGGGATCGCGCCGCTGCACTCCCAACTGGGCGACAGAGCAAGACTCCATCTCAAAAAAAAAAAAAAAAAAAGCTACTGGAAAGCTACTGGTACGTACTCACCTCCTCCTTTAACCCCCTTTCTGATTGCTTAGGGATGTGTTATTAGAACATAAACCGTCTGGCCGAGCATGGTGGTTCACGTCTGTAATCCCTGCACTTTGGGAGACCGAGGTGGGCGGATCACCTGAGGTCAGGAGTTCCAGACTAGCCTGGCCAAAATGGCGAAACCCCGTCTCTACTAAAAATACAAAAGTTAGCTGCGCGTGGTGGCACATGCCTGTAGTCCCAGCTACTCGGGAGGCTGAGCATTGCTTGAACCCAGGAGGCGGAGGTTGCAGTGAGCCAAGATCGCGCCACTGCACTCCACCCTGAGCAACAGAGCAAGACTCTGTCTCAAAAAAAGAAAAAAAAAAAAAACATAAAAAGGCTAAAAGGGAGACAGCTGAAGCCAAGCACCTGGAAGATGATTTAACCACATGAATGCAATCCTGGAAAATAATTAGTAATGCTATTGTTAACACTATCACCTTTTGTTTATGCAGGACCTTCCTTCCTGAGGGTGCAAAAGGTTTTGCCAGATAGATTCCATCTTCTTTAATCCCACTGAGGAAGGACTGAGTTGGGTCACACAGTAACCAACATTGCTCAGCACTTACTCTATAGTGCCTAAATGCTTGGCCTTCAGTAAAAAAGCTTGCCCCTAAGAAGCTTCAGAGACAGAAGATCTTACTCCTAGTGGGAGAGAGACAGGTTAACAGTCACTTCCAGTACAGTGTGGTTGAGTGCTTTGAGAGCACAGAGGAGAGGTACCTAGCTGGGACAAGGGTTTAAGGACCAGACAAGGCTGCCATCCAGAGAACTCAGACATATCTTCCTCATCTGATTGTAAACTCGCACTGGAGTATCCCTGGCATTATACACTTAATTCTGGAAAGAAATTCATTTGGTGTTTGTTAGCAATTGGGGCTCTAAGGACTACCCCCATCAACTACACTAGAAACAAAAAAGCAAAGAATGGATCATGATGCAGCTATCAGCCCCACTTGTGGGAAGCATCCAAGTTAAGCCTGTTCTGTGGCACAGGAAGACCATTAAAGCCCTAAGAAAAGTGGGGCCAAGAAGTCTGGCTTCCTCAATGCCTGGATGTGTTCCATCAGATTCACCCATTTTTCAATCCATAAAATATGGGGAAACATGGATATTGAAACTCTCCATCCAGTCATCCACTGTGAGCAGCTTTCTGTCTATCCCCAGCCTTAATTACATTACGAATCCACCACCACCAACCTCACCAGAACTGGAGAAGGCCAGCATATCACGATCATCAAAGGAGTCATCACAAAACAAGAGATGGGGAGGCTGGGCGTGGTGGCTCACGCCTGTAATCCTGGCACTTTGGGAGGCCCAGGTGGGTGGATCACCTGAGGCCAGGAGTTCAAGACCAGCCTGGCCAACTTGGTAAAACCCCGCCTCCACTAAAAATACAAAAAAATTAGCCAGGCACAGTGGCAGGCACCTGTAATCCCAGCTACTCAGGAGGCCGAGGCAGGAGAATTGCCTGAACCCGGGAGGTGGAGGTTGCAGTGAGCTGAGATCGTGCCACTGCACTCCAGCCTGGATGACAGAGCAAGACTCCGTCTTGGGAAAAACAAACAAACAGAGATGGGGAGAAACACCAACAATCTCTGCACAGGCTGCTCATTGATGATGCTCCTAATCTCACCTTTTTTACTGCTTCCTCACAAGAAAGGAGACTCCGTTTTACTCCCACCTCAAAATGCTCCTGGCTACCAGGCAGAAATCAAAAGGCTTATTTTAGATTTAATAGAACAAAGCCTTTTCCTATTTGCAGAGCTCCAAAATGGGAAATTTATTCATTCAACAAATATTTACCAAGTGTCCTTTATTTATTTATATATTTTTTTGAGATGAAGTCTCGCTCTTGTGCCCCAGGATGGAGTACAGTGGCATGATCTCAGCTCACTGTAACCTCCACCTCCCGGGTTCAAGCGATTCTCCTGCCTCAGCCTCCTGAGTAGCTGGGATTACAGGTGCCTGCCACCATGCCCGGCTAATTTTTGTATTTTTGGTAGAGACAGGGCTTCACCATGTTGGCCAGGCTGGTCTCGAACTCCTGACCTCAGGTGATCCACCCACCTCAGCCTCCCAAAGTGCTGGGATTGACAGGCATGAGCCACCGTGCCCAGCCCCAAGTGTCTTTTATATGCCAGGCACCATGCTATATGCTATGAACTCATTACTCCTGCAAAAAAGATGTCACCCATATTTTATTTTTTTTTTTGTTTTTAATTTTTTTAGAGATTGGGTCTGGCTCTGTCACCCATTCTGGAGTGCAATGGTGCAATCATAGCTCACTGCAGCCTCAAACTCCTGGGTTCAAGTTATCCTCCCACCTCAGCCTCCTCCTGAGGGTTAGGACCACAGGCACAAGCCACCATACCCAGCTAAGTTTTGAATGTCTTTTGTAGAGACAAAGTCTCATTATGTTGCTCAGTCAGTCTGGCTTCAAACTCTTGGCCTCAAGTGATCCTCCTGCCTCAGCCTTCCAAAGTGCTGGGATTTCAGGAGTGAGCTACTACACCCAGCCAACCTCATTTTAGAGACCAAGATGAGACCAAGAATCCTACTGGTTAAGGAACTTGCCCAAAGTTGCACAGGTGGTGAGTGGCAGAATTAGGATTTAAACCAGGTCTGCCTAGCTCCACAATCAGATTCTTTCACACTATTCATTACCATTCCCACCGACTCCTCTCCACCACATGTTCTGCAAAGTCCCCTGTCTACAGGAGATCAGCCCAGTGAAAGAAACAGACAAGTAAACAGAGCCCTCACCAAACAACATGGTAAGTGCCAAAACAGAGGTTCAAAGAAAGTGCTGCAGGGGACCAAGAGGAGGAAAGAAAAGCAGCGGAGGCTTCTCACTGGAGGTGACAAAGGAGCTGGGTCTTAGGGGATGGGCAGTTTCAGAGGCAGAGGTGAGCATTATGGACTGAGTGAAGTACATGGGCAAAGAAGATGAAACTAAATGGATGCCCATGATAGGTTTGGGAGCAGTGAGAAATTTGGGAGCAATGAAGCACAGGACAGATGAGGTGGAATAGCAGCAACTCAGGCTAATGGTCTGGGTCTGGACCCCAGTATAAGGAGCCTTTTGGCATGCCAAGCCAGACAGTGTGGGCTTTAACTTAAGTAAGGAAGAACCCATGGCATTTCTAAGGGAAGACTTTTTTTTTTTTTTTATTGAGATGGAGTCTTGCTCTGTTGCCCAGTTTGGAGTGCAATGGCACGATCTTGGTTCACTGAAACCTCCACCTCCTGGGTTCAAGTGATTCTCCTGCCTCAACCTCCTGAGTAGCTGGGATTGCAGGTACGCACCACCACGCCCAACTAATTTTTGTATTTTTAGTAGAGACAGGGTTTCATCATGTTCATCAGGCTGGTCTCGAACTCCTGATCTCGTGATTCACCTACCTCAGCCTCCCAAAGTGCTGGGATTACAGGCGTGAGCCACCACGCCCAGCCAGGAAGACTATTTTATAGGCAAATAATTTTGACAGCACCATGGAAGATAGACTGGTGTGAGAAGAGACTGCTGACCACATTTTATTCATTCTACATGCACCACGGCATCATAAAGCACCTATTAAGGCCCAGCACTGTCCTAAATGCTACAAACACAGTAGTGAATAAGACATAGTCTCTGTTCTCAGGGCACTTAGTCTTATGAGAATCAGACAAGTAAACAGGCAATTATGACACAGCATAAGTATCGGACAGAAGCACAGAAGAAGGGCACTCAAGGGGGCAGGGGTGAGATACTAAAGGAAGTGACGTTTAAACTGAGACCTGAAGGACAAAAAGGTAGGCAAAGGAGTAGCACCAGTGTATGCAAAGATCTAGAGGCTAGAATGAGGTCAGTTTGGAGAGCTATTTAAGAGCCTGAATCCAGGTGAGAAATGAAGGTTCCTTCACCCAGAGGTCGTTGGCATTCAAAATATGGTGGTGAGAAGGAAGTGAAGGGATTGGCTTCATAAATATCTGAATAAGGGGCACCCTGAGAATTGATTTACACAACAAAGAAAACAATAAAGGGGAAGAATCAGCTCAAAATCCATCATCCTTCACCTTGCAACTCCATAGTTTACTAAAATGTGACCCGAATCCAGAAAATTTGAGGACGTCTACCAAAGTACAAAGGTATACTCTTTAGAGATAACACGTTTCAGCACGCTGACTGCCACGCAATGCAAGATAAAATACACTATCCTAAGATATATGGCTCCCAAGTTCATGAAGTGGGGAGCGATACGTCTGACAGATACCGTCTGCTTCTCAAAATCACATGTGCCAAACAAATAGGAAAGGTCATCAGAGGGCCAGTGCAGAGTTCCCAGGGAAAGCCCAAAGTCCTGAGCCCGCAATTCCCCTGAAATCTAATTAGATGGCAGACACATGCCTACTTCAATGGCAGGGTAGAGAGTCATTTGTTGAAGAAAAAGAAGGGCCCTGAAGGTGTGTTAAATAGACAGGACATGACTCAGAAGGAGGAGGAGAGTGAGTCTTAAATACAGGGCAAAGGAAAGCCAGTCAATGAAACCTTGGGCACACCTCTACCTCAAGGCTACACTGGGCCTCCTGCCTGGCTAAAGGGAGAGACTGAGCACCGCTGCCAGGGCCTTCTTCAAACAACATAGGCTTCAGCAGCACATTTGTTTTCTATTTTCCCATTCAGCTGAGGGGACGAAGCTATTTAAAATGCCACTTCTTTTTTTTTTTTTCTGTGTAGTTTGCTACTTCCTATTTTTATTATTTATTGTTTCAAATTTTATTAATTTTATTCAGGAAAGACATTGACTGTTAAGTTTTTTTTTGGGGGGGGGGTGATGTCTTGCTATTTTTTAAAAATTATATCCAGACTATGAATTTAATATTTACTACGGCTAATCAACTGCTCATGTCAGTAATCAAAGTCAGAAATGAGCCTTATACGTACATCTACATTAAACACACACACACCCCTTTAAGGTGTGCTCAGTGTAGATTCTAATGTCAGTCTGTCCATTCAACCCAGGCCCAAGGTTGCATCACATCACCAAGTTGAATCATGAAGACAGCCCAGATTTGACTGACATGGCACAGCAGGCTCCCTCACCACAGCCCATGCACCAGTTACTATTTCTGAGAGGAAGGAGAGGGTTGTGATGAAAAACTCAGCCCCTAAACATTTTTTTAAATAATCAAAAAAAATTCTACTACAATATGGATATACATTTAACCATCCTGACAAACAAACATGAACCAGGATATAGTCAAACAAACAAGAAATACAAATTGCCACTACGCATATTTAAGTTAACTTGATACCAACCTAAAGAAAAAAAAAGCTCAACTGCTGAAGCTAGAATGCCTAGGTTCAAATACCAGCTCTGTCACTTACTAGCTGGGTGATCTTAAGCAAATTACTTAACCACTCTGCCTCCATTTTCTCATCTGTAAGACAGGGATAATAAGTTATCTACTTCATATGATTATGAAAATTAAATTAATTGGCCAGGCACGGTGGCTCACACCTGTAATCCTAGCACTTTGGGAGGCAGAAGTAGGCAGATCGCCTGAGGTCAGGAGTTTGACACCAGCATGACCAATGCGGTGAAACCCCCGTTTCTACTAAAAATACAAAAATTAGCCAGGCATGGTTGTGGGCACCTGTAATCCCAGCTACCTGGGAGGCTGAGGCAGGAGAATCACTTCAACCTGGGAGGCGGCGGTTGCAGTGAGGAGAGCACCATTGCACTCCGGCCTGGGCGACAAGAACGAGACTTCGTCTCAAAAAAAAAAAGTCAAAAATTAAATTAGTTAATACATGAAAAGCCCTTACAACAGTCCTACGCACAGAATGTGCTCAATAAGCACCATTATTGTTATTATTATCATCATTACTCAACTGCAAAGATAATTGTGTAGCCTCACAGCTTCAAACAGGAAATCACTGGCATTTTAACATTGCCTTAAATAGCCTAATGAGGATATTCTCACGACAAAAAAATCTGTATTATCCAAAAGCTCTGCTTCATCTCTTTAACATCAGGCTAGCAGCCCAAACCAATGCAGATGCTATCTATATAAAGAGACAGCAGGTTCAACCATGAAACAGAAATTAGTGCTGAGATCTGACTAGTATAACTAAAACTTACTGTCAGGCACTGAGTAAGCATATTAATGTATTAACTAATTTACCTTCACAACAACCCTATGCGATAGATACTCTTACTACCCACATTTGATTGATAAGAAAACTGAGGCATACAAAGCTATGCCATTAATAAAGGTCACAGAGCTACAAATGGCAAAGTCAAACAGACTTTTTTTTTTTGGAGACGCTTTTTTTCTTGAGATGGATGGAGTCTTGCTCTGTCACCTGACTGGAGTGCAGTGGTGCAATCTCAGCTCACTGCAACCTCCACCACCCAGGTTCAAGCGATTCTCCTGCCTCAGCCTCCTGAGTAGCTGGGACTACAGGCGCATGCCACCACGCCCAGCCGATTTTTGTATTTTTAGTAGAGATGGGGTTTCACCTTGTTGGCCAGGATGGTCTCGATCTCTTGACCTCGTGATCCGCCTGCCTCGGCCTCCCAAAATGCTAGAATTACAGGAGTGAGCCACTGCACCCTGCCAGTGCTTTTTTTGTTGTTTCTTGGAGACTGCATCTCCTACGCTGCCCAGGCTGGAGTACAATGGGTATTCACAGGTGCCATCATAGTGCATTGCAGCCTCAAACTCCTGGCCTCAAGTGCTCCTCCCATCTCAGTATCCCAAGTAGCTGGGACTACAGGTATGTGCCACTAGGCCGGGCTCAGAGTCAGTGCTATTAACTGTTATGTGTGTTCACCACACTACCCTTGGGTGATTACAATTACAATTTGAAAGGGGGCACGAATTGTCCTCAGAAAAAGGAGGTTCTCAACCTTCAGAAACAGAGTCACAGCTACATATCATCAGTTCTTCAAATACCTAAAGGTACTGAAGCTGACCTAGTAACAGTGACTTGGGTTGTTCTGTTTGGAGTAAGCCTTTGATTGGGGGGACAGGTACAGAGCAGACAGTAAATGAAGAGTTCTAGATCAAACCATCCTAGTCCACCATGAAGCGATGCTGATCCTGAAGCAGGCTTCAATAAGAAGGCTACTCCCAACTCTGGCTAGGGCAAAACACTCACCAAAGGAAGTGAAGGCCACATTCACTGTGTTCTCTGGCTCCAGTCCCTTTCCTTTCTCTCCAACACCAAATCCACTACCTCTCAGGCCATGCTTAGTTTGGCTACTGAGACTGATATTTTTCAAAAGTGGTTTGATGGGAAGATTACAAAGGAGAGAAAAAAACTACCAGAAAAGAAAAGAGCAAGTTCCATGATCCTTTCTTTGCATCACCACACTTGTCCAACTGTAAAGTAGCTCTCAAATATTAGGGGTCTCAAGGATAGGCAGTGCGGTGCTAAACATTCCCAGAGCTTTACATCAGTCCACTTGATCTCTTACCAGAAACTGATCTACATTTTTTCTCTCTAATCCCAACCTGCCTTTCCCTCACCTCTGATACCCCCACCAAAATCCACATCCCCAGAGGAACACTAATGAGCCCTTCTTACCAAAAAAGCAAAAGTAGACACACAGCGAGAATGAATTCAGGAGTCAGTGACAGCAGGTACCTAAATGGTCAGTGAACACGATCAGAATTTGTTTTCTCGTGACTCCCCACCATCTGTCACCCACAAATCTCCACTTCCAGGCAGGACGCCAAAGTGAAGAAGTGATGGGGATATTGAAGCAGAAACAATGAGCATGTAGGAAACTGCTTGTGACAGGGATGTGTTAACATCCTTCGGCCTGGTCTCTAGGCCTCTGTCCAGGTTTACTTGCATAGGTGAAGGCACACAAGGCTTAATTCTACACCAACTCTCAAAAGTCAGCCTGCAATCTACGCCAAACACTAACTTAAGGACCTCAGACAAAGGACAAACTCTATAAAAGTGAGCCCTTTTCAGACCAAATGTTTCTTGGCATCACTCTAAGCCCATGCATCCTCCTCCCAGGGAGCATGCCAGCCAGAAACCTGTCACTGGAAGCCACCTTACCCGCTCTGGGGTTGGACTGGGGCAAGTCGCTATCTCTTCTTCTTTCCAAGTAGGCACTGTAATTTCTTCCAGTCCCTGGGGCACCTGAATCTTCAGCTGAAATTGGGGCAGATGCTGCTAACAGCTGTGGAAAGGCTGATCTAAGCCTAGAAGAGGGTCATTTGACTGGCTTTAGTTCCCTCCTTAGCAGATCTGCCCGGCATCCTCCAGATCTCTCTTCCTCACTATCCCACTCTACTAGAAAGATCCCTTTCCCCTCTGGCCGGCCAGATACAGTCGGGCCTCTATCCCACGCTCCAGGCTTCTTTATTCGCGGCTAAGAAATTTTCCTCCAACTTGTGACTCTGCTTCTCCAGGGCCTGCACAACACCTACTTCTGGCTGCCCCGCCCCCAAATCCCCCTCCCCTAGGGCTGCCACTGGACCCTAGGGCCCCGGTCCGCCCCAGCTCCTTTTTTTCCTCTCCGCCTCGGACCTTACTCCATTCCATCTCCTCTTTTCAACCCTGGAGCCAGTACCCCCTTCGCCCCTACTACAGGCTAGGGCCCCCGCAATCCTCCCCAACTCTGGCTTCCCCGCCCGACTACTCCAACCCCACAACAAACTTTCCGCCGCTGCCAGCTGCGTTCAGGCCGCCATCTTGCCGCGGGGCAGGCCGGGTAGTGGCCAGGGCCGCGGGAATCCCCACGCACTTGGCGTGTCGCGTCATCTGAGGCGGGGCCATGGGGGCGGGGCCTCGGGTTGGGGAGGTGGGACACTAGGTAGGTGATGGTGAAAAATGGGGCTCTCCTGAAAGCAGGGATTGGAGGACTGGCCACAGAAGGAAGGAGGTGTCAGGAGCAGGGCAATAGCGGGAAGCGGGGAAAGAATCCAGTACTGAAAGAAAAAAAAAAAAAAAAAGAATAGGGGAACACATCTCAAAGATACAGTGGGAGAGAGAATCGTGCTACTGGTTCCCCGTCATCCAGAGAATAAAACCAGCTTTTCAGTTTGGCATTCAAAGATCCGCATGATCCAGGCTCTTCCACCTTCATCAGCCTCATTTTTTGCCTCTCCTGGGAACTTCAGGTTCCCAAATTGTCCTTTGTTTTCAGGACATCGGGCCTTAAGATGTCTAATCTCTCTCCTCCTCCTTTGCATCATCAATTCCTCCTATTCCTTCAAACCATCAGCTAAAATGTCACCTCCCCCAGAAAGATTTCCCTTTAGTGCTCCTTTTGCTGGGCATCACTAGCAACTTGTACATAGCTTTACTGTAGCTGTCCCGTGCAGTGTAATTATTTATTTACATGTTATACCACTTTTGCCCTGCTGCTTCTTCAGGGCAAAAACTATGTTTGATTGCATCTTCATACTCCCTAGCAGGTGCTTGGCACACAATAATTGCCTAATGAATAAATGGCATGTTTTCCTCCAATGCATTAAGCATATTTCTGCCTCAGGGTCTCTAAATTTGCTATTCCCCATACCTGGAATGTTCTTCCTCCAAATATTGACTCTCATTTGTGTCTTTGCTCAAGTGTCATCACTTTAGAGAAGCCTTCCTTGGCCACTCAATCTAAATCAGCATCCCTATTCTCCTTTACCCTGCTTTAATGTTTTCATTCATAGTACTTATCATTATCTGACATTATATTAAATATTTATTGTTTATTGATCATCTCCCCACTACAAAGCAAACTCCAGAGGTCTGGGATGTTTTCTTGCTCATCACAGTATCCCCAGTGTCTAAAACAATGCCTGGCATAGTAGGTATTCAATAGATTTTTTTTATTCTGTTTGTTTAATTAATTAATTAATTTTTGAGACAGGGTCTCACTCTGTTGCCCAGGCTGGAGTGTAGTGGTGCGATCTCGGCTCACTGCAACCTCCGCCTCCCGGGTTCAAGTGATTCTCCCACCTCAGTTTCCTGTGTAGCTGGGATTACAGGCGCATGCCAGCTAATTTTTTGTATTTTTAGTAGAGATGGGAGTTCCACCATTCCACCATGTTGGCCAGGCTGGTCTCGAACTCCTGACCTCAAGTGATCCACCTGCCTCAGCCTCCCAAAGTGCTGAGATTACAGGTGTGAGCCACTGCACCGGCCAGTAAATATTTATTGAATGAATAAATGGTATGGAGGTTGGTGATTGACAGATTTTGGAATATACTGGTGGAGAAGAGGGGTTGAAAATACTATAAAATAAGAAAATGCATAGATGGAAGTTACATGACCTCAAGGCCCCACTTAGCACTAACAGGAATGGTAGCAAAGACAAGCCCCAGACTCAGCAAAGGAGAGAGTGAGATGAGGATCAGGTGGAATTCTGCAGCTGGGTCCTCAGGGAGCACAGCCATCCTAGGAAAGCCCCAGGGCACCGAGCAGGCCAGGTAGAGGAAATGAGGAAGGCTGGAGGCCAGGAGTCTCCTCAGACCTAAAGACATCATCCACCCCGAGCCCAGGCCTCTCTTGGCCAGATGGTTCCGGAGAAGCATCTGTCCCTCCATAAATTATCCAGGGCCCCCTCCAGCCTATCCTCTCTGGTGACAGCCGGAACAATTGTCCAGGAATTCCATCTGCTCCCCTGTCCCTCTCCCCTCCGCAGCTCATCAACATTTCAGAGCAGCAAGGTATCCCATTTCCCTGGGCCTAGAGATGGAGCTGGTCTGCCCCTTGGTGAAGCTGATCTCATGTACCCACCCCCCATCAACGCACACACACAAAAACCTCAGCAGAGGCTTCCAGATTCCCAGAGGGAGAGGTCAGCCATTTTTATTTCCCATCCCATCCATGCCTTTCTATCCTATATATCTTTTTAAAAATTAATTTAATAAAATTACACTAACTAAACTAGCCTGGCCAACATAGTGAAACCCCCTCTCTACTAAAAATACAAAAATTAGTTGGGCATGGTGGCATGCACTTGTAGTCCCAGCTACTCAGGAGGCTGAGGCAAGAGAATTGCTCGAACCCGGAAGGCGGAGGTTGTGGTGAGCCAAGATCGTGCCACTGCGCTCCAGCCTGGGCGACAGAGCAAGACTCCATCTCAAAAAAAAAAAACAAAATGACTTTTGCTGTTTACCAAAAGGTATCTGGCTGAAGGAAGAAATTTAGGAAGCTGGTTTGCTTTTCTAAATAGGTATAATTCCTAGATATCGTTTCAACCTTCCCAGAAATTGTTTTGGGGTTCACAAAGGGAGAAAGGCTGTTGTACTTTCAACTATAGATTTGAAAAGCAATTCAAGTTTATATTTGGAAACAAGGGAAGTATCAGTAAACATAAACATACTTTTGAAAAGAATAGGAATCACAGTCCTCTAGAGTTTTTTATTATTATTATGATTTATTATTATTTTTTAAGATGGAGTTTCACCCTTCTTGCCCAGGCTGGAGTGCAATGGCATGATCTCTACTCATTGCAACCTCCACCTCCTGGGTTCAAGCGATTCTTCTGCCTCAGCCTCCCAAATAGCTGAGATTACAGGTGCCCACCACCACACCCAGATAATTTTTGTATTTTAGTAGAGATGGGTTTTCACCATGTTGGTCAGGCTGGTCTGAAACTCCTGACCTCAGGTGATCCACCTGCCTCGGCCTCCCAAAGTGCTGGGATTACAGGCATGAGCCACCATGTCCAGCCTATTATTATTATTATTATTATTATTATTATTTGAGACAGAGTTTCGCTCTGTCGTCCAGGCTGGAGTGCAGTGGTGCGATCTCGGCTCATTGCAACCTCCGCCTCCCAGATTCAAGCAATTCTCTGCCTCAGCCTCCCAAGTAGCTGAAATTACAGGTGCCCACCACCACGCCCAGCTAATTTTTGTATTTTTAGTAGAAACGGGGTTTCACCATCTTGGCCAGGCTGGTCTTGAACTCCTGACCTTGTGATCCACCTGCCTCGGCCTCCCAAAGTGGTGGGATTACAGGCATGAGCCACTGCGCCCGGCCTATTATTATTTTTAATATGGAAGGCTTTACGAATTCATGTATCATCCTTGCACAGGGGCCATGCTAATCTTCCCTGAATCATTCCAGTTTTAGTATATGTGCTGCTGAAGCAAGCACAAGTTTTTAACTTTTAACATATGAGAGATAAAGTTATTTTCATTGTAGCGAGGCTGGTTTGCTTCATCATTCCTCCCTCTGTGGATGGACAAACCCACTTATGTACCTAAATATTTATTAGGCCACAATAAAATAGTTGTTCTCTATCTTTGTGAGAGAACCATGAGGAAAGTGGTAAAAATTAGGGGTCCTTCTAGCTTTCAGGGTCTTAAGAAATAGCTGCAAGTTGCGGAAGAGTCAGGCTCACTTCATTTTGATGACAATTTTCATATGGTTGGTGTCTATAGGGCTGCAGGTATGCAGGGCCCATCTGCACAAACATGGTCAAGCATTTCTCAAGGCATAATCCACCTAGGTCCAAGGCAGTCCTTTCTGATGATTTAATTTATGTGGACTAGTCACCCTGCTGGGACAGATGTGCTTGGTGTGGAGTCCGGGGTTGGCATGACACACTCTACATAGGCAAAAGGGTCTTGGAATAGAAGCAGTGGACAAAGATAGCAATTTGAGCTTCAGGTATTAAAGGAAATTGCTGGGAAAGAGGAGTCAAAACCATACTGGACTCAGCCCCACAGTCGTGTGACCTGTTCATTATGACAGCTAGAAGGGCCTTAGGCCATATGCAGCCTTTTTGATTGCCAGCAACATTATCTACTAACAATGTGAAGCCATGAGGCTATGTTCCTATTTGTGACTCTGATTTTGTGATGCTGAACCATGTATACATGGTTGTTATAACAATGATTTCAAAACTTCAAGAGGTGATAACTTAATCTACTTCCCTAGATTTAAGTTATACACATTTCCTAATTCTTCAGTCTATTAATAGAAGTCCACAGCTGCCAACTTGGTGGATGAGCTTTTATTAGATGTAATGACTTTTTCCTAACTTGGGATGTTGAATTTTATGGAAGTGTAAGAAATGTAATTTTAAAGACCTTGAAACTTGGTGGGAACTTGCATTCTTCATATTATTAAAACCATTTGGCTGGGCACGATGGTTCACGCCTGTAATCCCAACACTTTAGGAGGCCGAGGCAGGCGGATCACCTGAGGTCGAGAGTTTGAGACCAGCCTGACCAAAATGGAGAAACCCTGTCTCTACTAAAAATACAAAAAATTAGCCAGGTGTGGTGGTGCATGCCTGTAATCCCAGCTACTCAGGAGACTGAGGCAGGACAATCGCTTGAATGCAGGAGGCAGAGGTTGCAGTGAGCCAGCCTGGGCAACAAGAGCAAAACTCTGTCCCAAAAAAAAAAAAATTTTATCTCTCAAAAAATAATTAAAGTAGGAACTCAAATAAATATTTGTACACCTGTGGTCATAGCAACATTATTTTACAATAGCCAAAAGGTAGAAACAACACAAATGTTCATTGATGGATTAATGGATAAACAAAATGTAGCAAATACATACAATGGAATATTATTCAGCCTTGAAAAGGAAGGAATTCTGACACAGGCTACAACATGGATAAACCTTGAGGATACCACACAAAGTGAAATAAGTCAGTCACAAAAAGACAAATACTGAATGATTCCACTTATTTTAGGTACTTAGAGCAGTCAAATTCATAAAGATAGAAAATAGAATGGTCGGCCGGGCGCTGTGGCTCACGCCTGTAATCCTAACACTTTGGGAGGCCAAGGCAGGCAGATCACAAGGTCAGAAGTTCGAGACCAGCCTGGCCAACATGGTGAAACCCTGTCTCTACTAAAAATTCAAAAATTAGCCTAGTGTGGTGGCAGATGCCTGTAATCCCAGCTACTTGGGAGGCTGAGGCAGAGAATTGTTTGAACCTGGGAGGCAGAGGTTGCAGTGAGCCAAGATCACGCCACTGCCCTCCAGCCTGGGTGACAGAGTGAGACTCCGTCTCAAAAAAAAAGAAGAAAGAAAATAGAATGGTCATTGCCAGGGGCTGTAAAAAATTAGGAGTTAATGTTGTGTTCTTATTTTGTTTTTGTTTTTTTTTATTTATTTATTTTAGAGGCAGAGTCTCGCTCTGTTGCCCAGGCTGTAGTGCAGTGGCATGATCATAGCTCACTGCAGCCTCAAACTCCTGGGCTCAAGCGATCCTCTAGACTTAGCTTCCCAAGTAGCTAGGACTCTAGGCACACCTGCCTAATTTTTTAATTTTTTTGGAGGGCATCTATGTTCACCACTGTACCACCAATGCTTTTTAAATTTTTTATAGAAACGGAGTCACACTTTGTTGTCCAGGCTGGTCTTGAACTCCTGGACTCAATAGATCCTCCTGCCTCAGCCTCCCAAAGAGCTGGGATTACAGGCATAAGCCACCACACCTGGCCATCCATACATCTTTATATGATACCAAGTCTTGTTTTCTGGCTTCTGGTGAGATCTCACTTTCCCAACTCTAAAGCAGGAACTCCCTGAGAGCAGAGCTTGTTTCCCTCACCTCAGACTTTGGGCACCCTGAGGCTAGAGTCTGTGCCTTCCCTCTCAGACTGTGAATCGAATCCTGGGAAAGCTCAGAAAGTGCAGAAGTGGTTTACCTCTCTTTTCTGGACTGCACTGGGACCTGTTTGTCCAGCTCTGCTTCACTCTGACCCAGTAGGAGCTGGGCAGTTCTCCAGTCCCTCATCTCTTTGCTGAATCAGGAAGTCCTCCCTCCATCCCAGGTCAACACCTGAAAGTTGGCCTTGAAAGTGTAACTGGGCAGCTTAACTTCAAAATGCATTTTCAAACCTTTCTTTTCCTTTCTCTCAGGTCTCAAGATGTAACCTTGAAGCTTACTGTGTAAACTCTTTTTTCTCCCTTCTCCTTATTCTTAAAATATAGCCTTGAAATGTACTTTCTTTCAGGCCGGGCGCAGTGGCTCATGCCTGTAATCCTAGCGCTTTGGGAGGCCAAGGTGGGTGGATTGCCTGAGTTCAGGAGTTCAAGACCAGCCTGGGCAACACGGTGAAACCCCGTCTCTACTAAAATACAAAAATTAGCTGGGCGTAGCAGTGTGCACCTGTAATCCCAGCTATCTGGGAGGCTGAGACAGGAGAATCTCTTGAACCTGGGAGGCGGAGGTTGCAGTGAGCCGAGATGGCGCCATTGCACCCCAGCCTGGGTGACAGAGCGAGACTCTGTCTCAAAAACAAAAAAGAAAGGAAGGAAGGAAGGAAGGAAGGAAGGAAGGAAGGAAGAGAAAGAAAGAAAGAAAGAAAGAAAGAAAGAAAGAAAGAAAGAAAGAAAGAAAGAAAGAAAGAAAGAAAAGAAAGAAAGAAACTTTCTTTCTTTTTTCTTTTTTTTGTTCTGAAACAGAGTCTTGCCATGTCTCCCAGGCTGGAGTACAGCGGCACGAACTCGGCTCATCACAACCTCCACCTCCCGGGTTCAAGTGACTGTCCTGCCTCAGCCTCCCAAGTAGCTGGGATTACAGGCACATGCCACCAAGCCCAGCTAATTTTTGTATTTTTAGTAGAGATGGGGTTTCACCATGTTGGCCAGGCTGGTCTCAAACTCCTGACCTCAGGTGATCCACCCGCCTTGGCCTCCCAAAGTGCTGGGATTATAGGCGTGAGCCACCACGCCCGGCAACCTTGTTCTTTTTAACTGGACTCTGTAAGTGGTGACTCACTCTGTCGCCCGGTCTGGAATGCAGTGGCGCGATCTTGGCTCACTGCAACCTCTGCCTCCCGGGTTCAAGCGATTCAGCCTCCTGAGTAGCTGGGACTACAGGTGTGCACCACCACACACGGCTGATTTTTGTATTTTTAGTAGAGGTGGGGTTTCACCATGTTGGCCAGGCTGGTCTCAAACTCCTGACCTCAAATGATCTGCCTGCTTCGGTCTCCCAAAGTGCTGGAGTTACAGGCGTTAGCCATGACACCTGGCCCAAAAATTTCAAGTAAATCTCCAGAGATGACTCCTTTAGCAGCTACTGGAAGGGCTGGACCATGACCCATCTGTGATATTGGTGCTTCCCCCACCACCCCATCAGCCCTGGGTAGTTCCAGAGTGGAAGGGGCTCCACAAGTACATGAATGAGTGGTACCGCGGTGCTTCACATGCATGGTTCTAGCTATGAGTGACCCTCTCGTCTTTCCAGGTCTGTGTACATGCATCTGCACACCCTTGTGGTTTCAATGGGTGTGTTCCTTTGCTTGACTTTTTTTTTTTTTTTTTTTTGAGACAGAGTTTCACTCTTGTTGCCCAGGCTGGAGTGCAATGGCATGATCTCGGCTCACTGCAACCTCCGTCTCCCGGGTTCACGCAATTCTCCTGCCTGAGCCTCCCTAGTAGCTGGGATTACAGGCATCCACTACCACATCTGGCTAATTTTTTAGTAGAGACAAGGTTTCACCATGTTGGCCAGGCTGGTCTCAAACTCCTGACCTCAGGTGATCCACCTGTCTTGGCGTCCCAAAGTGCTGGGATTACAGGTGTGAGCCACCGCACCCCGCCTGCTTGACATTTTGGATAGGAGCTGCATGACTGCACACTCATCCTATCAGAGGGCAAAGCCTCCTATCACTTTTCAACTCACCCTAAAGCCCACCGTCGGTATCCTCCCTGGCCCAGCTCCCTCTTTCCCTGAGCAGGTATTTTCAGCTATCCTAAGCAAGGTATGCAGGGCCTGCGCTTTGGCACAACAGCCCTGGAGGCACACGATAAGTGTGCCAACACAGACATGCACACAGTCAAACAGCCAAAAGATAGGGAACAATGGCTGGGTTTGGATTTCAGCCCTGGGGCTGCTGGCTCCACCTCCCGTGGTGAGGTAGGGGTAGGATGGGGGAAGGAAACAATCAGAGGGAAAGAACATTGTTTCAGGACCCAAAGGCCCCTGCGCTGGCAGAAGGCCTCACAAAGGGTGGGCTACTTGGATGTGCCTGACTCCTTCCCAGCACAGACTCTGTCTCCATCCTGGGGCCCCCACTTCTTAGGCTGACCAGCACTGTCTTGGAGAGGCAGTGACAGGCCAGAACAAGCAGGGGCAGGATTATCCCTTACCTGGTGAGGACAAGGGCCAGCTCTGCGTGCCCCTGGGTCTCCGTGAAGTCTAGGGCCCACAGGTGCCTCTGCACCCCCTGTTTATTGGGGGCATGTGGGGTGAGTGAATATGTCTGCCCTGCTAGGCGGTAAGTTGCTCGAGGTCAGGGCCTAGCACGTTTTTTCATTTGTATTAATTCAGTCACTCATTCAACTCACATTTATTGAATGTTTGGCACTGAGTTGGGGTCCCCTCCCTGCTCCTGCCCACAATCTGTGGGTGGGTCAATGGAGGTGTGAATGAAGAGTGACAGCCCTTGTTCCCTGTTCTCTGGTCTCTGCATTCTCATTTGGTAATACGCAAAACTCTGTGTGAAAAGGAGGCTAAGGAGAGAAGAGGAAAACTTGAGAATCCACTCTCCAGGTGAAGGGTAGGGAGGCCAAGAGCGATAAATTCTTATAAGTGGAGGCCCTGGAGGAGGGGTTTATTGATAAGTCCTCAGAAAAATGCTCAGGAAAGTAGGGAATCCTGAGGGTTGGGTACTGAGGTGTTCTGGAGCAGTATAGTTACCGTTCAAGTCTGGAGTGAAAGCCAGAAATCAGCCTCATGTGTCTAGTGACCACCCAAAAAAGAAAGCCACTATTAAGACAGGCTTAGGAGGATCCTAAAGTCATGAGGCTGCCAGCCCAACCTGTTCCAAAATCCTCCAAGGAACAGCCACTAGGTTGTACGCAGGGAAGCAGAAATTAGAGCCAAGAAGTGAAGAGCATCAGCCAGGGGCCCTCACCAGCTGTATCAGTCACTTTTCTCGAGGGTAGGACAGCGATAAGAGTAGGGTCCCTGGAGCAGACTGCCTGGCTTCATCGCCCAGCTGTCACCTAACTAACTGCATGAACACAAGCAGATGACTGGAGCTGTCTGTGCCTCTGTCTTCCCATCTGTAAATGAGGGTTAAGCAGAGCACCTACCTCACAGAGTTGTCTTGAGGGTCAAAAGAGTTCATGTACATGAGTGCTTAGACCAGTGCCTGGTACATAGAATGTCCGTCTATTTTACCAGTGAGGGTTTGGAGTCTCAGAGAGGTTAGCTGTCTCCTGAAGGCCACCCAGCTGCAGACAATAGAGCCAGAATTTGAAGTGACTTCTAGTACTCTTGCCTTGACATCACACAGCCTGAAGAATCATAGGAGTGATCCCAGGCTGCTGACTTGAGGAGTGAGGTGATAACAATGGCATGGTAGGATGTTTAGCCTCTAGGCACACTGCAGATTGGATGCATGAGGGAAACCGGTAGGCCTGACGGCCGTGAGACCAAGTAGGAAACGCTTGTCATGAGCCTGGCATGGTGAGGAGGGTGCTGACAAGGGCTGAGGTGATCAGACAGAATGGACACAGGGCCATGGGAGAAGGAGGACTGGACAACATTTGGTGGCCAGCTGGAAAAAAATAGAGGAGTTAGAGGAGGCTTTAAGGTTTTAAGCTCTAGTTACCCAAAGAATAGTGGGATTTCTGCCAAAAACAAGTATTGGGTGGGGGATTGTATTAGTCCATTTTCACGCTGCTGACAAAGACATACCTGAGACTGGGCAATTATAAAGGAAAGAGGTTTAATGGACTCACAGTTCCACGTGGCTGGGGAGGCCTCACAATCATGGCAGAAGGCAAGGAGGAGCAAATCACATCCTACATGGCGGCAGGGAAGAGGGAGAATAAGGACCAAGTGAAAGGGGTTTCCCCTTATAAAACCATCAGACCTCGTGAGACTTATTCACTACCATGAGAATGGTATGGGAGAAACCACCCCCATGATTCAATTATCTCCCACCAGGTCCCTCCCACAACACGTGGGAATTATGGGAGCTACAATTCAAGATGGAATTTGGGTGGGGATGCAGCCAAACCATATCAGGGATGTTCTTGGAAATCCAAGCAGTGAGACAAGCCCTCTTTACTGGGTGATTTTTAAATGGGCGAAGGGGGCGTGCTAGAAAAATTTCACAGAAACAGAAACCTGGACTAAAGGATGCCTTTTATGTAAAGGGGCTAATAGTGGCTAGATTCCTGAAGACACTAGGACAGAAACAATTGCTCAAAGGCAAGCCCCAGCATAGCCCAGCTCAGCCTCCCGTCATTGCTTCTGTTGCCAACCCCCTCTCCTGCTCCAGGGTAGGAAACTGACTTTACCAGGGATCCCCCAATGCCTCCACAACCACTCACCTCAGCCCCCACTCTCTAACCTCCTGTACACATACCTGACTTTTATACACACTCTCTCATTCTACCCTCACAGGGACCCTGTTAGAGAGCAGGGCTGGTGCTATTCTCCCCATTTCACAAGTGGGGAAACTGAGGCCTGAGAAGTTTATGAGACTTTCTCAGGATCACACAACCAATGCCAATCAGTGACCAGATTCCAAATCCTGTGCACTTCACTTCATTACACCACATCTGCACTTCCAGAGATCTCAAGCAGATTGGAGCCAGAGGCACGCACCTGCCTTTCCTCAGCAGATCCATAGACATCCCTTGATGTCTGAGGGCATTCATTTTCTCTCTGGGAATAATGGAATGATAGCATAATGGAATGGAATGGAGGCAGTGAAAATGGGCAGAGAGGGATGTGGCAACATTATGGATAAGCACCAAACATCAGGGCTGAAAACATCCTTAGAGACCATTGAGTGAACTCCCTCTGTTTTCAAGGGAAACTTAGGCCCAGAAAGAAGGGACTTGCCCCCACAGGATACTGCAAAGTTTATCCCACTCCCTTTATTCTAGTTATCTATCACTGCATAGAACAAATCACCTCAAAGCCTAGTGGCTTGAGACATTTTATTATCTGTCCAATTTCTGTGGGTCAGGGACTCAGTCAGGACTCAGCTGGGTGGTTCTGACTTTGTGTCTCATATAGCTGCAGTCAGTCGGTGGCTGGAGGTAAACCAGCAGGGGCTGGAGCAGCCCAGGTCTGTCTGGGCATCTCTGTTCATTCACATACTCTCCAGCCCTCTCCTTGTGGTAGCCTCCCCAATGGGGCTAGTTTGGGCTTCCCCACAACTTGATGACCTCAGGGCAATCAGACTGATTACTCATGTCTCCAAGACAAGTGTCCCAAGAGAATAAGGAGAAAGCTGTATCATCTTTTGTCATCTAACCTCAAAAGTCACATAATATCACTTCTACCATAGTCACAAGGCTGCCTAAAGGGAGCCTAAAGGGAGGAGTGTCAAAGTCACACATTATAAGGGAAACGTGTGAGATGGGAGGTCTTATGGTAGCCATCTTTGGAAAATACAATTTGCCACACCCTTGCATAATCACCTAGATCAATAGCATGGCCCAGGGGAAAGATGGGCCTGGGTCTGAACCCCAGCTTCATCATTCACTAGCTCTATGACTGGGGAAGTCACCTAACTCCTGGTATCTTCTCCTACCTCATATATAAAACTAGAATAATAAGGCTGGGCCCAGTGGCTCACACCTGTAATCCCAGCACTTTGGGAGGCCAAGGCGGGCAGATCACCTGAGGTCAGGAGTTCCAGCCCAGCCTGGCCAACATGGCGAAAACCTGTCTCTACTAAAAATACAAAAATTAGTCAGGCCTGCTGGCGCATACCTGTAATCCCAGCTACTCCAGAGGCTGAGGCAGGGGAATCGTTTAAATCCGGGAGGTAGAGGTTGCAGTGAGCTGAGATCATGCCACTGCACTCCAGCCTGGACAACAGAGTGAGACTCAGTCTCAAACAAACAAACAAAGAAAAACACTAGAATAATAATAATGCCTGTCTGGCAGAGTTATGGTGAAAATTAAATACAAGGGCATGGCTCTTTATTAATTAAAGTAGTATAAGGGATGGTGTGTTCACTGCTATTTATTTCTTTATTTTTGACAGAGTCTTCCTCTGTTGCCCAGGCTGGAGTGCAATGGCAGCATGATCCGGGCTAACTGCAACCTCTGCCTCCGGGTTCAAGCAATTCTTCTGCCTCAGCCTCCCGAGTAGCTGGGATAACAGGTGCGCGACACCACGCCTAGCTATTTTTTTGTATTTTTAGTAGTGACGGAATTTCGCCATGTTAGCCAGGCTGGTCTCGAACTCCTGACCTCAGGTAATCCACCCACCTCGGTCTCCCAAAGTGCTGGGATTACAGGCATGAGCCACCGTGCCCAGCCCACTGCTTTTTATTTAAAAAAGAAAAAATTGGGCCGGGCGCAGTGGCTCACGCCTGTAATCCCAGCACTTTGGGAGGCCAAGGAGGGTGGATCACGACGTCAGGAGTTCGAGACCAGCCTGGCCAACATGGTGAAACCCCCGTCTCTACTAAAAATACAAAAATTAGCTGGGCGTGGAGGCGCGTGCCTGTAATCCCTGTTACTCGGGAGGCTGAGGCAGGAGAATCGCTTGAACCCGGGAGGCGGAGGTTGCAGTGAGCCAAGATCACGCCATTGCAATCCAGCCTGGGCGACAGGGCAAGACTCTATCTCAAAAAAAAAAAAAAAAAAAAGAAAAAAAGAAAGTAGTGTAAGGGAATATCCTGGGGCAGAGGTGGGGTTATTATTTAATATATAGGATGATCAGTGAGGGCTTGTTTACTAACATGAGATTTGAGCAGAGAGCTGAATGAACTCAGGGAGTGAGCTATGAAAATATCTGGGTTATAGCATTCCAGGCAGAGAACAGCTAGTGCAAAGATCCTGAGGCAGGGAACATGCTTATATGTTCAAGGATCAACTCAGGGCCGGGCACGGTGGCTCACTCCTGTAATCCCAGCACTTTGGGAGGCTGATAACAGGCGGATCACGAGGTCAGGAAATCGAGACCATCCTGGCTAACATAGTGAAAGCCCGTCTCTACTAAAAATACAAAAAAAAAAAAAAAATTAGCCAGGCGTGGTGGCGGGTGCCTGTAGTCCCAGCTACTCAGAAGGCTAAGGCAGGAGAATGGCATGAAGTCGGGAGGCGGAGCTTGCAGTGAGCCGAGATCGCACCACTGCTCTCCAGCCTGGGTGACAGAACAAGACTCCATTTCAAAAAAAAAAAAAAAAAGGATCAACTCAGAGGCCAGTTTGGATGGGACAGAGTGAGGTAGGAGTGTGCAGGGAATAAGATCAGATGGGAAAAAAAAAAAGATCAGATGGGAGCCACTGGAGGGTTTGGAACAAAGATATGAAAAAATCTAACTTCCATTTTTTAAATAAAATTTTAATTTTTGAATAATTTTAGATTTATAGAAAAGTTCCAAAGATTGTATAGAGATTTCCCAAATATGACTCACCCAATTTCCCTTAGTGTTAACATTATACCTTATCATGGTACATTTGTCAAAACTAAGAAGCCAACGTTAGTACCCTGGTATAAGCTAAATTCTAGACTTTATTCAGACTTTGCCAGTTTTACCACTATTGATGTTTTTCTGTTTCAGAATCCAGTTTGGGATAATACATCACACTTAGCTGGCTTCCATTTTCTTTCCATCAGGATCACCCTGGCTGCTGCATAATAGAAGACCAATTAAGAAGCAATTGCGGCCCAACACTTTGGGAGGCTGAGGTGGGTGGATCACCTGAGGTCAGGAGTTCGAGACCACCCTGACCAACATGGAGAAACTCCATCTCTACTAAAAATCCAAAATTAACCAGGCATGGTGGCGCATGCCTGTAATCCCAGCTACTCGGGAGGCTAAGGCAGGAGAATTCCTTGAACCCGGGAGGCAGAGGTTGCAGTGAGACCAGATGGCACCATTGCACTCCAGCCTGGGCAACAAGAGCAAAACTCCGTCTCAAAAACAACAGCAACAAAAACAAAACCAAAGAGGCCATTGCAGTAGTCCAGGCAAAAGATAATGGGGGCTTGAACTAGGGTGTTAGAGGTCACATTGTGAAAAGTGGTCAGATTCTGGATGAATTTGAAGGCAGAGGCAATGGAATTTGCAGGATGTGGATTATAGGAGAAAGAGGAGAATCAAGCATGACCCCAAGATTGGGGGCTAAACAACTAGACAGATGGACTAGCCATGGACTGGAATGGGTACAGCTGACAAAGGAAAACTATTTGGGCTGGAGATCAGGAGTTTGCAGCAGTCAGACACACAAGTCTGGTACTACCAAATTTATTTTTAAATTAATTAATTAATTTATTTATTTTCATAAGGACAGGGTCTTGTTATGTTGCTCAGGCCTGAGCAACAAAACTGAAGTCTCAAACTTCTGGGCTCAAGCGATCCTCCCACCTCAGCCTCCCAAAGTGCTGGGCTTACCAGGCATGAGCCACCATGCCCAGCCAGACACACGAGTCTGGATTTCAGGGATAAAGCTTGACTGGAAACATAAATTTGGGAGTCGTTAAGTTATAGCCATTCCAAGCAGTTAGGCTGGATGAGATCATGAAAGGAGGGAGTGAAGATAGAAAAGACAAGAGGTCTGAGGATGGAGCCCTGGGGCTGAGGAACATGTTGGGAAGATGAGGAGGATGCAAAAGAGACCGAGAAGGGGTGGCCATTGCAGTAGGTGAAGAAGCTAGTGAGTGATCCCAGAAACCCAGTAAACTGTGGCAAATGCAGTTAACAGAGCCAGTGAGGTGAGGACTGAGAATTAATCATTGGATTTGGCAGTGGTGAGGGCATTGGTGAACTTTACAAGAGTGATTCTGGAATGGTGGGGTGAGAGTGGGTTCAAGAGAGAATAAGAGGAGAGGAGGTGAAGAGAGCAAGGATAGACTAATATTTTTGAAGAGTTTTCAGTAAAGAAGAGCAGACAAATGTAGGGGGTTGAGGGAGGTGATTTACTTATTTATTTAAGATCTGAGAGAGGTTGATGACAATGCTCTCGTAGAGGCAAGCAAACTGATGATGCAGAAGAGAAGGAGAGAAATCAGAGAGACCTGATGAGAGAGGATGTGAACTAGTGCCCAGGTGAAGGAGTTCACTTAGGTAAGAGCACAGGCAGTTCACGTACAGTAACAAGAGGGATGTCAGAATATATGGAGACAGATGCAGGTAGATGGAGGGGGCGTGTGGAAATTCTTTCAGATTGCTTCTATTTTCTCCATGAAGTTGAGAGCAAGACCATCAACAGAGTGAGCAGAGAGGAGGAGGGGGTGGAGGTTGGAGGAGAGAGGAGAATAAAATAATTGTTGGGGTGGGTGGAGGAGTGTACAGAGCTAAGGAAATCCGAGAGTATTGGTGATCAACACAAACAGCATTTGAAGGTCATGAATTTAAGTGAGACCAGCTAGTTGGGAGGTATGTTTCTTCAGCTGTTTGGGTGAAGGCTGAAGAAGTCACAGCGGCTGGGCGCAGTGGCTCATGCCTGTAATCCTAGCACTATAGGAGGCTGAGGCAGGTGGATCACAAGGTCAGGAGACTGAGACCATCCTGGCCAACACAGTGAAACCCCGTCTCTACTAAAAATACAAAAAAAAATTAGCCGGGTGTGGTGGTAGGTGCCTGTAATCCCAGCTACTCAGGAGGCTGAGGCAAGAGGATTGCTTGAATCCGGGATGTGGAGGTTTCAGTGAGCCGAGATCGCACCACTGCACTCCAGCCTGGGCGACAGAGCAAGACTGCGTATCAGAAAAAAAAAAAAGAAGTCACAGCAGTGGAGTTTTGCCACATGAATATGATGGAGGGAGAGGGGGCCAGGGAGTTAAGCATGTATGCAAGTGACTAATTATAATGATGAGGCATGGAATCAAAGCTGAGGAAGCGGAAGGGTGGATGTGATGGGGATAGGGGATGGTGAAAAGGAGATAGAATCAACAAATAAAAGACAAGGCCGGGCCCAGGCGCGGTGGCTCACGCCTGAAATCCCAGCACTTTGGGAGGCTGAGGCGGGTGGATCACCTGAGGTCAGGAGTTCGAGACCAGCCTGGCCAACATGGTAAAACCCCATCCCTACTAAAAATACAAAAAATTAGCTGGACGTGGTGTCACGTGTCTATAATCCCAACTACTCAGGAGGCTGAGGCTGAGGCAGTAGAATCACTTGAACCCGGGAGATGGAGGTTGCAGTGAGCTGAGATCGTGCCATTGCACTCTGGCCTGGGGGACAGAGTGAGGCTCTGTCTCAAAAAAAAAAAAAAAAAGAAAAAGAAAAAGAAAGACAAGGCTGACAGGCTGACTTATTCACAGTAGGCACAGTGCCTAAGTTCTATAATACTTTTAAGGGCCCACAAAATGTTTTCGTTTTGAATTTATTTTAAAATCAGAAGAAAAAATGAATACAATAAAAATAAGTATATAATAATGAATTCAGGCCAGGCACAGTGGCTCACGCCTGTAATCCCAGCACTTTGGGAAGCCAAGGCAGGCAGATCACCTGAGGTCGGGAGTTCGAGACCAGCCTCACCAAAATGGAGAAAACCTGTCTCTACTAAAAATACAAAATTAGCTGGGTATGGTGGCACTTGCCTGCAATCCCAGCTACTTGGGAGGCTGAGGCAGGAGAATCGCTTGAACCTGGGAGGTGGAGGTTGCGGTGAGCCAAGATCGTGCCGTTGCACTCCAGCCTGGGCAACAACAGCAAAACTCCATCTCAAAAAAAAAAAAAAATGAATTCAGCCTGGATTATAGTAGTCCTTATACTGATGTAGTTATGTAATATAATTTTTAATATTCTTTTATGGAGGAAGGGACCCACTAAGGTGAAATGGCTAAGGCCCATGAAAGCCATGATGTGGCTTTTATGAGAGATCGCAGTGGGTTAGCAGAATTGTTTGAGCCAAGGTGCTAGAGGTCATGGTCTGGAAAGATAGGAGTTGGTAATAGGAAAGTGTGATACTTAAAATAGAGATGATGGAGTGTGTGAAGCTATTGGTAGCAACAAGGTTTAGGGTGGGATCATCTTTCTCACTGGAGAGGAAGAAATCAAGGAAATGAGAAGCTGGTTTTATCAGATATCTATTGCTATATTAACAAACCATTCCAAAATTTAGTGGCTTAAAACAACCACCATTTATCTGCTTATAGCTTGGCAATATGGGCTGGGCTCTGCTGAGCAGTTCTTCTGTTTGTCTTGCCTAGGTTCACTCATGTGGCTGCAGTCATCTGGAAGCTTAACTGGGGCCAGGTAATCCAATATGACTGCACGTCTAGTGGTTGTTGGCCAGGGTACCTCAGCTCTCCTCCACGGGGCGTTTCATCTTCCAGTAGGCTAGATGGACTTCTTGACATGATGTTGGAAGCATTCTAAGAGGCAAAGCGGCAAGCTGCAAGTCTCTTGAGACCTAGACCCTAGGAACTCACACAACATCATTTCTACCCCATTCTATCAGCTAAAGCAAGTCATAAGGCCAGCCCAGATTCAAGCAAGAGGTTGAGAAATATACTCCACCTCTTGCTGGGAAAAGCAGCAAAATAATTGCAAAGCGTCTTGTAGAACAGGAGGAAGAAAAGTGGCCATCTTTGCAATCTATCACACTTGTTGGAAGAACTGTCTATGTCATATTGAATCATCAAGAATCACCAATAATTTGACAGAAGTGAGAGTGAAGAGACTGACAAGCCAGGTGCTAAAATCTTCAAAGCACAAGGGGGCACTAAGTGATACCTCTAATGGCATCAACTACCTTTATTATTTCATGAGTGAATCTCAGTACATTTTATCAGTTAAAAAGAATTTATTTTTCATGACTTCTTTGACTCAGTCACTCATCAATTCAGACTTGATCATAAGGAAGGAGCCTAAAACATGGGGAAAAAACCTACCTTCATAAAAATGTGTGGCACTAATAAATATTATCTGGGAGCTGTATCCTCAGTGGCTCTGGTATCTAATGGTAATATATGACTACTCAATATTTGTTGAATGAATTTATAATGACAAAAAAAGTAAACAACCTAAGCAGCCAATAACTAGGGCTAAGTAAAGTAAATATAGTATATCTATTTAATGGAATATCACATAGCCATAAAAAATGCTTTTGAGAACTATCAATATATGACATGGAGTAAAAAAAAGCAGGATACAATACTGTAGGTACATTATGATTATACCTCTGTAAAAATATCTGAATGGAAAAAAGGAATCAAAACAACAATAATTGTGGTTTTCTCAAGCTAGTAGGATTGTGGGTGGTTTTTTTCCTTTCCTTTTCTTTGAGATGGAGTCTTGCTCTTGTTGCCCAGGCTAGAGTGCAGTGGCATGATCTAGGCTCACCGCAACCTCTGCCTCCCAGGTGCAAGCGATTCTCCTGCCTCAGCCTCTCAAGTAGCTGGGATTAAAGGCAGGTGCCACCACGCCCGGCTAATTTTGTATTTTTAGTAGAGACAGGTTTTCTCCATGGTGGTGAGGCTGGTCTCGAACTCCTGACCTCAGGTGATCTGCCTGCCTTGGCCTCCCAAAGTGCTGGATTTACAGGCGTGAGCCACCGCGCCCAGCCAGTTTGCTTTCTTTTTTTTTTTTTTTTTGAGACGGAGTCTCGCTCTGTCACCCAGGCTGGAGTGCAGTGGTGCTATCTCGGCTCACTGCAAGCTCCGCCCCCTGGGTTCATGCCATTCTCCTGCCTCAGCCTCCCGAGTAGCTGGGACTACAGGCGCCTGCCACCACACCCAGCTAATTTTTTGTATTTTTAGTAGAGACGGGGCTTCACCGTGTTAGCCAGGATGGTCTCGATCTCCTGACCTCATGATCCTCTCACCTCAGCCTCCCAAAGTGTTGGGATTACAGGCGTGAGCCACCGCACCTGGCCTTTTTCTTTTTACTTTATTCTAAAAAAATGTTAGGCTGGGCACGGTGACTCATGCCTGTAACCCTAGCACTTTGGGAGGCCAAGGCCGGTGGACCACTTGGGGTCACTTCGAGACTAGCCGGGCCAACATGGCGAAACCCCGTCTCTACTGAAAATGCAAAAATTAACTGGGCAGGCCGAGGGCAGTGGCTCACGCCTGTGATCCCAGCACTTTGGGAGGCCAAGCGGGCAGATGACCTGAGGTCAGGAGTTGTAAACCAGCCTGGCCAACATGGCGAAACCCTGTCTCCACTACAAATACAAAAATTAGCCTGGCTTGGTGGGGGCGCGCCTGTAATCCCAGCTACTCGGGAGGCTGAGGCAGAAGAATTGCTTGAACCCGGGAGGCGGAGGTTGCAGTGAGCCAAGATGGAGCCATTGCACTTCAGCCTGGGTGACAGAGCGAGACCCTGTCTCAAAAAAAAAAAAAAAAAAAAAGAGTTAATTAAACAAACAGAATTTTAAAAAAATTTATTGAATACCTACTATGCCAGGCATTGTTTTAGACACTGGGGATGCTGTGATGAGCAAGAAAACATCCCAGACCTCTGGAGTTTGCTTTGTAGTGGGGAGATGGTCAATAAACAATAAATATTTAATATAATGTCAGATAATGATATCTGACAGAGAAAAGCACTGAAAGTCTCGAGAAAAAAAAATTAGCTGGGCGTGGTGGCGCTGTGCCTGCAATTCCAGCTATACTGGAGGCTGAGACGAGGTTGTACTGAGCTGAGGTTGCACTACTGCACTCCAGCCTGGGCGACAGAGTGATAATCTCAAGGAAAAACAAACAAACAACAACAAAAAACAAGTTATAGATGTTCATTGTTTAAAAAAAAAAAAAAAGGGGCGGGCGCGGTGGCTCACGCCTGTAATCCCAGCACTTTGGGAGGTCGAGGCGGGCGGATCACGAGGTCAGGAAATCAAGACCATCCTGGCTACCATGGTGAAACCCCGTCTTTACTAAAAATACAAAAAAAAATTAGCCGGGCGGGGTGGTGGGCGCCTGTAGTCCCAGCTACTTGGGACGTTGAGGCAGGAGAATGGCGTGAACCTGGGAGGCGGAGCTTGCAGAGAGCCGAGATAGCGCCACTGCACTCCAGCTTGGGCCACAAAGCGAGACTCCGTCTCAAAAAAAAAAAAAAAAAAAAAAAAAAAAGTGTTAATGCTGAAAAGTATTAATAAGAAAAAAAAAAAAACCTCTATAATTCGATCATCCAGAGAAAAGCACTGCCAATGTCAAAGTACGTTCTTCTTTGTTTCCGGCTTCCCCCCACCGCACTTTACATATTCTTAGCTTTTTTGGACATCTTTAGACGTCAAAAAAAAAAAAAAGTATTTTTAACAGTCACATAGTGTTGATGTGCCATAATTTATTTGCCTACAGTAATTTTTGAATTATAGGTTGTTTGCAATTTTTCACCAAAAAAAAAAATGTGTTTAAACAAAATGAATGGTACAGCCATGTCATTACTCAAATTCAGAGAGCTCTTCAGGGAAGAGGCGATCACAGCTGAGAGGAGGCCAGCTAGGGAGCTGAGTGGGTGTAAGTGTTATATCCAATGGAGACTGCAGGAAAAATGAGCCCTGGGGCTCTGTGCCTGTGGAGGTGGCTGTGTGAAGGTGGGAAGCTGCTCTGCCCCGACTAGCGACTGCTCCTTCCGATGTTTTGAATTTAAAGATGGTGAAATCTCAATCTGAAGGACTAGAGATGGGCGCTAGCGTTCCTGACCTCTGCCCTGTTGTCCTGCACAAACTAGAAATTATGTTCTGGGTCCTTGTCTTTTTTTGGGGGGGGGCGGGGGTCGGAGTTTTGCTCTGTCCCCCAAGCTGGAGTGCAGTGGCGCGATCTTGGCTAACTGCAACGTCTGCCTCCCGGGTTTTCAAGCGATTTTCCTGCCTCAGCCTTCCGAGTAGCTGGGATTACAGGCGCGCACCACCACGCCTGGCTAATTTCTGTATTTTTAATAGAGACGGGTTTCACCATGTTGGCCAGGCTGGTCTCGAACTCCTGACCTCAGGTGATCCGCCCGCCTCAGCCTCCCAAAGTGCTGGAATTATAGGCGTGAGCCCACCGAGCTTGGCTGGGTCCTTGTCTTGAAATGTGTCTCTGAGCCATTAGCCAGAAGGGGGCAAAGAGGCCTGGAGGGCAGCTTTCCCCCACTCCCCCTCCGTTACTCTCTGAATCTGAGCTCCAGGTTTGGGCAGTTGAGGTTTAGCCTGAGGCCAAGGACGAACGTGATGGGGTACAGGAGAAGACTTGGCGGTGGAGGGGGTTTTGTGTGCACATTTACAGAGTCAGGGGCATTCCCAGTCCAGAAAGGATTCTCAGAGGCAGTCACAAAAAGGAATGGGGTGGAAGGGCTGAGACTTGAGGGAGGGAAGGGTGGTGGGGGTAGGGCCGGGGTGTGGTTGGGTGGATCGGGTTGATATTTATATAGGGATAGGTTGATCTTGGAAGGCTGGAGACGGCAACGTGGACAGGAAGAAGCGGAGGGCGAGGAGGAGCAGAGGAGCACACAGATGAAGCAGGTGATGAAGGCTTTACAAGCGGGGAGGCGTGGGCTGGTGACAGGCGGAGGGCGGGGAGCGATTGCCTGCGTGTGCATAGATCTATATGAGAAGCGTGATGAGCGGCGGACAAGCGAAGGCAGGGCTGGGGCGTGGGCCGCGGAGCGCTGGTCGGGAAAGTGGGCATGGGAGATGAGAGAATAACGGGGTTGCGCTCCTTTGGCTTAATAGTTTGCTCCCATTGAGACTCCTAAGATTTCCTCCTCTCTTGGAAGGAAGCTGGGTTCGGGGCGTTGGGTAGCCGCGGAGGGCCGGGGCCCCGGGGCGCGCCGGGTGCTAGGTGTGCGCCGTGCGTCGCGGGGGGGGGGATGGGGGTGGGGGCGGGCTCCGCCCCTGGCAGGGGGCCTGAGCGCGCGCGAGGAGCAGCCGCTGCCGCCGCTCGGGGTCGCCTGGAGCCCCAGATTCCCGAGCGCTCGGCTCGCATGGCAGCCGCTTCGGCGCCCGGCCCCGCGGCCAGCTAGGGGCGGCCCCGCGCTCCCTCACGGCCCCTCGGCGGCGCCCGTCGGATCCGGCCTCTCTCTGCGCCCCGGGGCGCGCCACCTCCCCGCCGGAGGTGAGGACTGCGGGGACAGGGCGCGGTGGGGATTCCAGGCCCCGCGCCGCCGCCGAACCCAGCGCGGCGGAGATAGAAAGGGGACGTGGGAGAGAGTGGTGGTGGCGGGGGGGGGGGCTGTCGGAGCTGTGGGGCGGAGACTGCTCGCTGCCGGGAACCGTCCTTCCCTCCGGCCCCCGCGTCCCCTCCGTGCTCGAGGCCGCCTCTCGGCGCTGTCCCCATCCCGCGGACCCCTCCGTCCTGACTACGATCCCAACCCCAGCCATTCCCGCGCCTGGCCTCGCTCCGCGATGCCCATCTTTCCCCTCCTTGCAGACCCCGCTCCCGGGTTCCTGTCTTCGCTCTCCTCGCTCTCTTCGCCTGCTCAACCCTTCCCTGCCCCCATCCTCCCGCTACCCCCATCCCCTTCTTCTGTCCCGGCGCCCCTCTCCCTCGTCGGCTCCTGTCACTTGGAACCCGTATCCGTGCCGCTATCTCCGCGTCCGGCCGCCTCCCAACCGGTGCCGTCCCACAGGTGTCCACGCGTCCGGCCGTCCATCCGTCCGTCCCTCCTGGGGCCGGCGCTGACCATGCCCAGCGGCTGCCGCTGCCTGCATCTCGTGTGCCTGTTGTGCATTCTGGGGGCTCCCGGTCAGCCTGTCCGAGGTGAGCGCGCCCGCTGGGCTCCAGTCGCGGCCCTGTCCAGCCGTCCTCGCTTGCACGTTGACCTCTGCCGGCCGGAGGCGGCACTGCAGTCGCTCCGACCCGCGGGGCAAGCAAGACCGAGGTTGCCTTTTTGGAATGGGATGAGTTTCTGTGTTATGTCCTGCCCTAGGGTTGAGTCCGCTCAGTTACTGGAACCCCAATCCTCTCCTGAGTCCCGCATCCCAGCGAGCTGTGCCCTGACTCAGACTCACCCCTCCCACATCAATCTCTTGCAGCCGATGACTGCAGCTCCCACTGTGACCTGGCCCACGGCTGCTGTGCACCTGACGGCTCCTGCAGGTACCTGTCCTGAGCACGTGCCCCCAAACCCTTTGGTACCCATTTCTAAGCCCTTCACGTGCACAACAGTGTCTAGGGGCTTCAGACTCTACTCTTCATGCCTCATCACTCCTATGGCTGACTGGCCAGTCCCCCTTTCCCCTTTACCTCACCTCTCTTGCTTCTTCTAGTTTTTATCTCCCCACTTCTTTAATCTCCCAAGTCTGATCCAGGGATTGTCTGAACTCCTGACAGGGAGAGAGACCTAAAGCTTGAGAGAGCTTGGGGATTGGGTGCCATGAGGAAATGGAAAGATAAAGGAAAAAGGGAAAGAGAAATGGTTTAGCCTGGAAAAGAAATGCTGCAGGGAGAGTTGCTGGGGAGAAACACTTACAATGAAAGAGGATCTTTCTTGATGAGTTTGAGTAGTTGACTCACTGGGAGATTGGGCAAATTCTGTAGCAGGAGGAAAGTGGACATAAGGAAATGAGTTGATGAGGCAGGTAGTTCAATTGGCTGGGGGTCTTTGAGACTCTTCACCCCTGGAGGGCTTTTAAAATATGGGTCAAGTGTTTGCCCTGGAATCATGGTGGGAGGATAGTCCTGATGACCTTTTTTGTTTTTATTTTTATTTTTTGTTTTTGAGACAGAGTCTCGCTTTGTTGCCAAGGCTGGAGTGCAGTGGCGCGATCTCAGCTCACTGCAGCCTCTGCCTCTTGTGTTCAAGTTCCCCTGCCTCAGCCTCCTCAATAATGGATTACAGATGCACACCACCATGCCCGGGTAATTTTTTGTATTTTTTGTAGAGACGGGGTTTCACCCAGTTGGCCAGGCTGGTCTTGAACTCCTGACCTCAAGTGATCCACCTGCCTCGACCTCCCAAAGTGCTGGGATTACAGGCGTGAGCAACCACGCCCCGGCCCTGATGGCCTTTCAAGGTCATTCTTCTTTAAATGTTTGTGAGCACCTCAGACATGCCAGGAGGGGTACTGGAGGCATTTACAGACATCTTATTTCTTCCTCTACTCAACCCTGCAAGGTGTATCCCCAATTTACAGGTGAGAAAACTGAGGCTCAGGTTAAAGTACAGAACCAGGGTTTGAGTGCTGGTGTCTGATGGTCTGATTCCGTATATGTGTCCTATGACCCTGCACAGTCCTACACCTACCTGGGACAGGTCTGCTTTCCCTTAGGGGCTGTCATATGTCCTCTTGGTTTCTAGAAGCTCTGGTTCTGTCTCCTCCATTTCTTCACATCCATGACCCAGAGCCCTGACCCTGTGCTTCTCCCCGTCAGGTGTGACCCGGGCTGGGAGGGGCTGCACTGTGAGCGCTGTGTGAGGATGCCTGGCTGCCAGCACGGTACCTGCCACCAGCCATGGCAGTGCATCTGCCACAGTGGCTGGGCAGGCAAGTTCTGTGACAAAGGTAGGGGGGAGGAAGGGTAGCTTTTGGTTGGGAACCCCATGTTCTTAGGGGAACAGCCATCAGTATTTATTGAGTGCCTATTTTGTCCTTGTCAAACCCTCAAATACATGGTATTTTATCATTTTTTTAAATCTTAGACTTTTTATATGTTGTCTGAATTGATCCTCAACATAACCCCATGGGGCAGGAAACACAGCTGCTAAAAATTGTACTCATTTTACAGATGAGGAAACTAAGGCCCACAGAAGAGCTATAACCTGCTCAAAGTCAGGTTTTTTTGTTTGTTTTGTTTTGAGATGGAGTCTCACTCTGTCACCCAGGCTGGAGTGCAGTGGTGCGATCTCGGCTCACTGTAACCTCCGCCTCCTGGGTTCAAGTGATTCTCGTGCCTCAGCCTCCCCAGTAGCTGGAATTACAGGCACCCGCCACTTCAGCTAATTTTTGTATTTTTAGTAGAGATAGGGTTTCACCATGTTGGCCAGGCTGGTCTCGAACTCCTGACCTCAAGTGATCCACCCGCCTTGGCCTCCCAAAGTGCTGGAATTATAGGCATGAGCCACTGTACCGGCCTAATGTTTGTATTTTTAGTAGAGATGGGGTTTTGCCATGTTGGCCAGGCTGGTCTTGAACTCCTGACCTCAAGTCATCTGCCCACCTTGGTCTTCCAAAGTGCTGGGATTACAGGCATGAGCCACAGTACCCAGCCCAAGGTCAGTTTGAGACAGACTGAGAGCCAGGGCCAGGAGCCTCCTGACTCCAAATTCAGTGTTGTTGTCTCTCCCTAGCATACCACGCCAGCCTGGGCTGGGTTTGTAGTATAGCCACACCTACAGAACCTGGGGCCTGGAAGGCGTGGACAAGTCTGGTCTGGGGACCAGATGGGAGGGGTTATCCCAGAGCCTTTCCTGTCCCCTCTCCAGATGAACATATCTGTACCACGCAGTCCCCCTGCCAGAATGGAGGCCAGTGCATGTATGACGGGGGCGGTGAGTACCATTGTGTGTGCTTACCAGGCTTCCATGGGCGTGACTGCGAGCGCAAGGCTGGACCCTGTGAACAGGCAGGGTGAGTGCTGGGCCCTCAGGGTGAGTGGAAGGTTAGACCAGAACCTGGTGATGGGATGAGAAAAGAGGCAGGACTGTTGGGAGGGTGGGGGACTGAGAGTCAGACCCACACGGGGACACTCAGATAAAACCCCTGCATGCCAAAGTGTTCCTAGTTCAGGGTTTCTCAACTTTTTTTTTTGTACCTTCTGAGCCATTTCTTCAACAATCTATAGGAGCTAGAGGGGTAACAAACGTGTGACTGTTCTGGTTGGGGAGGGTGGGTGTGGGGAGACTGAAGGGCCTGGGTCTCTCCTCATCCTCTCCTGAACGCTGGCTTGCACCCTTCTGTGTCACAGTAGGGATGAGGAAACAGCCTGCAGGGCTGGACTTGTCCTCATTTCTGCATCAGGCCCAGGAGCCTGTGAGGATAATAATAGCACACTTACCCTGAGCCCTGCCTTCTGGCTGGGCCCTGTGCTAATGGCTTGACATTGATTATTTCACTCAACCCTCACAATTAGGGAAGCTGGGTACTATTTTTATTCTCATTTTTAAAATGAGGTATTTGAGGCTCGGAGTGTGTAGCCCAAGATGACATGGCGGGCAGTGGTCAGGATACTGACCTGGGCTGCCCTACAGGTGTTGGTAAGTTGGTTATCATGTCCTCTCTCACCCCTACCACAGCTCCCCATGCCGCAATGGCGGGCAGTGCCAGGACGACCAGGGCTTTGCTCTCAACTTCACGTGCCGCTGCTTGGTGGGCTTTGTGGGTGCCCGCTGTGAGGTAAATGTGGATGACTGCCTGATGCGGCCTTGTGCTAACGGTGCCACCTGCCTTGACGGCATAAACCGCTTCTCCTGCCTCTGTCCTGAGGGCTTTGCTGGACGCTTCTGCACCATCAACCTGGATGACTGTGCCAGCCGCCCATGCCAGAGAGGGGCCCGCTGTCGGGACCGTGTCCACGACTTCGACTGCCTCTGCCCCAGTGGCTATGGTGGCAAGACCTGTGAGCTTGTCTTACCTGTCCCAGACCCCCCAACCACAGTGGACACCCCTCTAGGGCCCACCTCAGCTGTAGTGGTACCTGCCACGGGGCCAGCCCCCCACAGCGCAGGGGCTGGTCTGCTGCGGATCTCAGTGAAGGAGGTGGTGCGGAGGCAAGAGGCTGGGCTAGGTGAGCCTAGCTTGGTGGCCCTGGTGGTGTTTGGGGCCCTCACTGCTGCCCTGGTTCTGGCTACTGTGTTGCTGACCCTGAGGGCCTGGCGCCGGGGTGTCTGCCCCCCTGGACCCTGTTGCTACCCTGCCCCACACTATGCTCCAGCGTGCCAGGACCAGGAGTGTCAGGTTAGCATGCTGCCAGCAGGGCTCCCCCTGCCACGTGACTTGCCCCCTGAGCCTGGAAAGACCACAGCACTGTGATGGAGGTGGGGGCTTTCTGGCCCCCTTCCTCACCTCTTCCACCCCTCAGACTGGAGTGGTCCGTTCTCACCACCCTTCAGCTTGGGTACACACACAGAGGAGACCTCAGCCTCACACCAGAAATATTATTTTTTTAATACACAGAATGTAAGATGGAATTTTATCAAATAAAACTATGAAAATGCAAGTGGGCTCCTATGCCAGAAAAACCCACCTGGCGTTCCAGATGCAAGAGGGCCAGAGCAGAGGCCTGGTTCTGGGGAAGCCTCAGGATGCTGCCCACCAAGGAGTGATTTCCAAAGAGTAATCCAGGGTGCCCTTTTCCCTTCTGGGGAAGTGTGGAGAGGTAGAGCCCCAGAGGAGAATGTAAACAAGCAGCCAGCACCTCTGTATAGGCCCGGCCTGGATCAGAGAGAGGGGAGAACTCTGCAGGGTGTGGGATTGGGCTCAGGGACCTCCGAGTGAGGCAGGGACTCCCTGCTGGCTGCTCTGCAGCAGCTGCTGGAACAGGGAGTGGGGCTGGTTGCGCAGGGTGGCCGGGGAGTCCAGCTCTACCACTCTCCCCGCTTGTAGCACCAGCACCCGGTCTGAGTTCAGGATCGTGTTGAGCCTGTGAGGGGGAAGATGGTCAGTGTAGGGGATGAGGGACAATGCCCTAAGTAAGAACACTGACCTGCTTTCCCTCCTCTCCCCTCGGGACACCACAGGTCTGTCCCCACAGGCTTTAGCCCCTGGCTTGGTGCTGGGGAAGGGACTGCAGAGTCCCTCAGATAATGTGCTATAAAGGGCCCTAGGCAGTGCTATAAAGGGCCCTCAGATAATGTGCTATAAAGGGCCCTAGGCAGTGCTATAAAGGACCCTTCTCGTCCCTGGAGAAGGAGGAGCTGAGATCTGGGGGGGCAGGATCTCTAAGGCCCTGACCACTGGGGTCCCTGAAAGCAACGGAGGCTCTCGGTGCATGCTACCACAGTCCCTGATTAGGCTGTTACCAGGCGTTTACATACCTATGGGCAATGGTCAGCACTGTCTTGTTGGCAAAGCGTTTGCAGATGGTCTGCTGGAGCAGCTGGTCTGTCTTCTGGTCCACACTTGCTGTGGCCTCATCGATACACAGGATCTGGAATATGGGAATGGGGTAGGGGATAAGAAGGAAGGAGAGGCTGCAGGGTGGGTTGGGCCTGGCCCAAGCAACAGCCCCTACCACAGCTCCCCACTTCCAGCTCTAAAAGGAAAATGAACTTGGTCCCCTAAAACCTCTCCCCACTCTACCTCCCCACCTCCCGGCCCCCAGCCTTCTTCCTGGCCCTCTCTAATGTCTCTTTCTCTCACCTTACCTTGGCATCTGTGAGGAGAGCCCTGGCCAAACACAACAGCTGCCTCTGCCCAAGAGATAAGCTCCGGCCCCCCTCACCCAGCTCACCATCCAGACCACCTGCAAGGAAAGCATCTTCGTTGCAGGGCCCAGGCCATCCCTGCTCCCTTCTTGCTCTAAGGTCAGGGTCCAGCACTCACCCATGGATGTAATCACCTCACTCAGGTGGCACTGCTTCAGGGCCTGCCACAAGGCCCTGTCCTTATGTAGGCCCTGGGGGTCCAGGTTTTCCCGAACAGTCCCACTGAACAAAAAGGGCTCCTGGGGGATGATAGCCAACTGGGATCTGGGGGACAATGACATGGAGTCTAGTGGTTGGAGATGTAGCCACTTCTGCTCCCAGCTCAGTTTCTGACTACAGGGCTAGCACCTCCATGAAAGCCTGGGTATGAGACCTGAACATAACCCCACTCTGCTCCCCACCCCATCCCCACCAAATGATCTGTTAGTAGCTGGGTACCTAGAACTGTGCCAGTGCTATGAGCAATACCAAAGAAACCAAAGGCTGGACTCTGTCCTCAAGGTGCCTACATTTCACGGAGGTGCACACACACAAACCAGACAAAACAAATGGGCTAAACTGTGTGGCACTGACTCCAGGGGTGGCAGTGGCTACGCAGGGAATGACCAGAGCGACTGAAAGGGCAGGTGACACTTCAAGGTTGGAGTGGGCCTAGAATTGGGTCCTGAAGACATGATGGAGCTATAAGGTAGGGCCACCACAGCTTAGAAGAGAAGGCAGAAGAGGCAGGCCTAGGGCTTTAGGATACAGCTTCCCTACCTTTTCCATGTCACCGTACTCAGAGAAAATGATACTAGGTTGACCTGGAGGTAAGGAAGGGTTGTATACCCTCCAGTGAGGCCACCTGAAGCCAAGGGCAACCGGTTCAGGTCTCAAGCTGTCTGAAGCACTGCCTGCTGAGCCTAGGACTCAGGGGATCAGTATCTTGGGGCACAAGAGTGGAGGGTGTATGGTAGGAAGTACAAGAAAGATGAAGCTGGAAAGGTGGCCTGGGTCAGGGCGAGGAAGACCTTGAGATCACCAGCCATGAATCTGGACCTGGGCACTAGGAGTTCGCTGTCCTTGCCTGCTCATCCTGTCCTCCATTTCAGCCCCCTGATCAGCCCTGGCTGCTGTGAGTTTATATAAAGCCTTCCTGGCTATGCCCTCCTCTAAGTGCCAGTAGTTCTGGTTCCCCCTTCCCCTCCCAAGTCCATCTCCCCCAGACCTGAGCTGGGCCAGCTCCAGCTGGCTGGTGTCCACGCCGTCCAGCAGCACTCGCCCTGAACTGGGCTCTAGCAGCCGGAAGAGCACCAACAACAGGGAAGACTTGCCGGAGCCTGTGCGGCCCACGATGCCCAACTTCTCTCCAGGCTGCACGCAGAAGGTCACTCCATCCAGGGCATTCGGCAGCCCTGGCCGGTACGCCAACACCACGTCCTGGAACTCCACGCCCCCCTGGGTCAGCCAGCCGGTGCCCAGCTGGTGGGGTCCATGGGTGGGAGACAGACGGGGAAAGGGAGATAGGGGAGATGAGGAGCGATGGTGAGGAGGGGAGAATAATGAGAAATGGACAGTGTGAGAGGAATGAGAGAATGAGAGATGGGGAAGAAGGGACATGGTGAAGAATTGTGGTCATCATGAAGAGAGGTTATGGGAGCTGAGAAAGATGGGTGGGCAAAAAGAAAGGAATTGTGAGGGAGACTGGGGCCTTCAGGGTTCCAGAGCTTTGGCCTGGGGTGGGGGTACAGGCCCACCTGCAGTGGCTGGCCCTGGGGTTCCTGGGGCAGGTCACAGGTGTACTCTTCCAGCCGCTCGACGCTCACCAGCATGGCCTCTGTCTGTGTGAAGCTGCTCACCAGGCCCGAGAGCAGGCCCGTCAGGGACAGGGCATAAGACAGCGACAAGCCCACCAGCCCTGGGGGAGAGAAGTACCAGCTGCTGGGAGAGCTTGGACACCGGGACGTTTGTGGGAGACTCCCCAGGCTGTGGACTGCTGGCATTTAAAGGAAGCAACAGAGGCTGGGCGCGGTGGCTCACGCCTGTAATTCCAGCACTTTGGGAGGCCAAGGCAGGTGGATCACGAGGTCAGGAGTTTGAGACCAGCCTGGCCAACATGGTGAAACCCTGTCTCTACTAAAAATACAAAAATTAGCTGGGCGTGGTGGCAGGCGCCTGTAATCCCAGCTACTTGGGAGGCTGAGACAGGAGAATTGCTTGAACCCAGGAGGCAGAGGTTGCAGTGAGCCGAGATCGTGCCACTGCACTCCAGCCTGGGCAACAGAGCGAGACTCCATCTCAAAAAAAAAAACAAAACAAAAAAGCAACAGAGAAGCAGGAGGGTGATAGGACCTAGCCAGGAGCACAGGAGGCCAGATGCAGGGCAGGGGGTGGGCCTGGAGAAGCTGGGAGGGACGGCATGTGGGAGACTGAAGCGGGCTGGGGCAGTGTGGTGGGGACGGGGTGGAAGCAGGGAAGGGACTGAGACCAGCAGCTCAGAAGACTCATTCTAGTCCCCAAGCCACCACCACCTGGGCAAGTCCCTCCTGGGGATTGTCTCCTCAACTCCAAACGGGGGTGATGATGATAATCATGATACATCCTCACAGGGAACCCTGGGTGGGAGGTGAAAATGTTGGGGGGATGGTGCAGGGAGAGATCTGGGAGAGCGGTGGACTAACTTGTGGATGAGGTAGGGGTGAGGGGTCCTGGGTGGCACCTGGGTTAGCGAGGCCCTGCTGGTGCTGCACCAGAGCGATGCCTGCGATAGCGCTGACCACTGCCGCCCCCATGAGCTGTAGCCGAATGTCCAGCCACTGCATTGTGGCACTGGTGGCAAACTGGCACCTCTGGTTTAGCTCAAGGAGTCGCAGGTTCTCCTCCTCAAACCTAGGGAAGGCCAGAGGGATGTGAAGCCACTCCACTGTTGCCCTGAGCCACCCAGCCTCAGGGCCTCAACAGGGAAGGCCCTTATTGAGCAGCTCCTTCTTGGGAGCTGGTCTGTATACCCACAGGCCTCCCTCAGGGCTGCAGATGCCAGTGTGCTCTTTCAAAGTGGGGGTCCACTCTGCCTCCCTATCTCCTTCTTCTGTTGCTTTCCTCCTTCCCCATCCCTTGTCCCCAGGAGGGCTGAACCAACCATACCCTGCATATTCCTCTTCTTGGGGGTCTCTCTTTTCCTCTCCCCCCAACACCTCATCCCCCTGGGCTCTGGTTCACACACCTGTAGGTGGCCCCTGTGGCCCGGAGCACAGAGAGGCCAGCCAAGGTATCGGCCAGATGGCTATACAGTGGAGACAGGGTGAGGCTGCCCAGGCGCCGCAGCTCCCGTGAGGAGGCCCTGTAGTGGCGCTGCACGTGATAGTACATGATGCTCAAAGGCGGCAGCAGGAGCAGCAGCCAGGGCAGGCCAGAGCCCAGCACGGCCAGGAGCCCCAGCAGGCCTGCCGCGTTGGCCAGGAGGATGTTGAGGATGAAGGGCAGGCTGTCATCCGCACAGGCCACATCAGAGGAGAAGCGGTTTAGGATCCGGCCCGTGGGTGTGGCATTGAAGAAAGTCACTGGTGCCTGGGAGAAGGACGCTGATTGGGCCAGGGCAGAGTCTGGCAGAAGAGGGGTTGGCAGGCAGCACTGGGGGAGGTGGGGTGGAGGGGAAGGCCCAAGATAGAGAATAGGGAAGGACTAAAATATCCCCAGAATTTGGGGGCAGAGAAGAGAGATTGGCAGAGGTTGAGGAAGAATATCCCAGGGCAGGAAAGACTCTCCCATCCCCAGTGGAGCCCGAGTATTGGGAGGACACTCCACAGGGGCTAGGACTGCACTCCCCTACCCCCGAGGTCCCAGCCCCTCACCATAAGGACTCGATGCAGCAGGCGGCGATGCAGAGTGGCAGCTGCTTGAAGGGTGCCTGCTGCAAAGAGCACTGCCCGGAGAAGGGTGCAGAGGGAATTTACACCAGCAATGGTCGCATACACGGTGAGGTAGAAACGGATGTCTGAGGAGCCATTGGGGGCAGCTTTGGGCAGTGGGAACACTGGGATGCTGGGTGGTGAGGAGGGGGCTGTCGGTAACCAAAACTAGGGCCACTCGGGGGTCCTTTCTCCTCCCCCATGCCATCTCTCCCACCCTCCAGAAGTCACAGCATCTGGAATACCGGCCACAACCCTCACTCCCTGCCTGGCGACCACTCTGAGAGCACCAGGCCTACCCCCAGCCCCAGCCACTCACTAGAGGTTTCCAGGGGAAAAGAGGAGCAGCTGCGGAGAGAAGAGCCCCATAGAAGCTGGGCTGGTGGAGGGTTGCGCCTCCTGGGAGCTATTCTCAGCCTTCAGCTGAGAGATCCAGTGGGAGAGCCACCAGTCAGCAGCGTTCCGCGTGGCTGGGTGGGGACAGGAAGGAAAAAGCTGTAAGAGGCTCCTCTCCCTTGTTCATTCTATTCCAATGCCCCCTTTCTCCGCCCTTGCCTCTGGTTCCTGCCCATCTCCATCCGCCTGGCCTGGCCTCCCCACCCTGCCACTACCCCATATCCTCCCTAGTGTGGGCTTCTCTCATAGGCCCGTCACCCTTCAGCTCTGGGGAGAACAGGATCTCAGACTTGCAGAATGGGAGCTAACCTAGGGGGCAGAACAGAAGCCAGCTATAGAGCACATGCCTCTGGCCCCTGGGCATCTCTCAGAATTAGGAGTATGGCTTTTGTCCCAGCTGTGACCCATGCTTGGTGAGTCTCTGGGCTTTGTAATGATTAGTGCAAGGTAATGGGCACCTAGACAGCACAGCCGTTACGATGTAAGAGACTCCCAGGCACGCTCTCACCTTGCATGAGAAGCAGAGAGAAGAGGATGGCTAAGGCCAAGCCCTGGCCCACGGCCTTCCAGTAAGCTTGGTACACGTGCAAGGCCACGGCGCCCTCCTTCTTGCTTTCTTCCTGCAGCAGGCGACCAGATGTGCTCTGCTCCTCCTCCAGCCCCTCCTTTGTTTTCTCTGGGTTCTGTACTGACTGGGCTGTGGCTGTGAGAATCAGGGGTCATGGAAGAATTAAGCTTGCAGGGTGCCAGCTGAAAACTCAGTATTTCAGAGGAGCGGGCAGCCGTTGTAGAAAAAGCTCTACAGTGTGGCAGGGAAAAGCAAGCCCTTTTCTCCCACTGGGGAGCCATACCTGAGTCAGACTCTTGTCCATTCTCAGCCCAGGCTTTGGGGACAGCTTGTACCAGTGGCAGAATCTCAGAGGGAGGTCCTGGAGGGTAGAAGGGGAGATTGGGAGAGGACTGTTCTGAGTCTATACTATGCCTTTCTCAGTGCGTGTGCAGATCCCACCTCTCATCCTCTCAGGCCTCCCCGTCTAACCCACCCTAGCAGGATACCCCTAGACCTCGAGCAGGACTCTTAGGCCTCCCTCTCTAACCCACCCTGCTCTGGATACCCCTAGACCTCGAGCAGGACTCAAGTCCATCCTTGTAAACCTTGATTCCGACCAGCAGAGAGGGACGAATGTCCATCCCCAAGAGGACCGCCAGAGCTATGCCTGCCACTCTGTCCAGGGTTACTTCTCATTACTGCAGAGCTTTTTCTCATGCTTCGCTCAATTCCTAATATCTGGCTGGAGCTTCATTTCCTCCTATTTCTCTCCCAGTAAACTTGCAGGTGGTCACATCCCTCTGCATAAAAATCTTTCAGAGTTTAAAAATTTTTGTTTTTACAAAAAGACCATTCTAAACCTGACTCCTTTCTCTTCTCTGAAGATATGAGAATGTTCTCAGAGACCCTGGGCCTTTAAGTTCCCAAGAGCACCCAGTCACAAAGCCCATGAGTCCCAAATACACTGGCATTTTACCAACGTACTCCTTTTCCCTCCTGTTCTCCCAGTTCCTCACACCAGTTCTGTGAAGGCGGGAGGCAGCAATGACTGGCTCAGGGCACACATGCAGCAGGGGGCAGAGTCTGTACTTCACAATCCCCTGCCAGACCTGGGCAGACACCTCCCTCACACGGGGCTCCTGCCCCCATTACCAGCCCGGATGAGGCGCCCGGCCTCCATCAGCAGCACCGCGTCAGCCCTCTCCAGGTACTCAGTGCGGTGGGTGCAGAGCAGCCGTGTGGTGTAGCTCAGCATGCCCAGGATGCACCTGTGCAGCAGGTGGTTGGCCACATCTGCATCCACAGCGGCCAGAGGGTCATCGAGGAGATAGAGCTCCTTTTCCTATGGAGACGTGAGGGTACCGTGGGCACCAGGACCCAAAGGCTCTCCGGAGAAGATCTCAAAGTGATCAGAGAAGACAGTTGAGAGAAACTCTGGGGGCTACCCCTACACTAGCAGAGAAGGAGGTGAGACCTGAGGGTGGACATCCCTTCAGGCAAGAAAGAACAGCACCCCAGGGCCAGCACTCAGCTTTCCTAGGTCCCAGGCCCTCAGCCCATATAACACTTTTTTTTTTTTTTGAGACATGGTCTTGCTCTGTTGCCCAGGCTGGAGTGCAGTGGCATGAACACCACTCACTGCAGCCTCAATTTCCCAGGCTCAAGTGATCCTTCCCACCTCAGCCTCCTGAGTAGCTGGGACTACAGGTGCATGCTATCAAGCCCAGCTAAATTTTTTTGGAGACAGGGTTTCATTCTCATCACCCAGGCTGGAGTGCAATGGTGTGATCTTGGCTCACTGCAACCTCTGCCTCTCGGGTTCAAGCGATTCTCCTGCCTCAGCCTCCCGAGTAGCTGGAATTACAGGCATGTGCCACTATGCCCAGCTAATTTTTGTATGTTTTTCAGTAGCGATGGGGTTTCACCATGTTGGCCCAGCTGGTCTCGAACTCCTGACCTCAAGTGATCCACCCTCCTCGGCCTCTCAAAGTGCTAGGATTACACCAACTAACTTTTTAAAATTATTTTTTGTAGAGACAGGGTTTTGCCACATTGCCCAGGCTGATCTTAAACTCCTGGGCCCAAGCAATCCTCCTGCCTTGGCCTCCCAAAGTGCTGGGATTACAGACCTAAGCCACCATGCCCAGCCTACAAATACTTTTTAAAGGCCTTGAACTCTGCCTTAAATCTGCAAAAGGGGATGAGATGGCCAATACCTCAGGAACATGCAAGGGAGGAGGGAAGGAACCAGATGCTAAGGAAAATATTCCTATCCTCCTAACTCAGCCAAGTTCCCAAGGCTCTGGACTCCCCCCACCTCCCTGCCACTGCAACCTCCATCTTTAACTGACCTGGTAGACAGCACGAGCAAGGGCAATCCGGGCACGCTGTCCTCCGCTAAGGGTGACACCCTTCTCCCCCACCTCTGTCTGGTCTCCAGCAGGCAGGATCTGATGGAACAGGTGCCCCAGTGGGTCAGGGAGCTCCCATTACCTTCTGGCCCACTTCCTATCCCTTTGCAGGAGATAGTGGGAGTCAAGAGAAGTAGGGAGCTTGAGGAGAGTAGACTTAAATTTGGGGTGAGCTAGTCAGAGGAGACAAGACATAATTCCAATAACATCAAGCACTTATTGAACACTATGTGCCTAGCACTTTACAGGCATTCTCTCATTCAAGCCCCAATGTAATCTTATGAAGATGGTATCATTTCCTTTTCTCAGGTGCAACCAAAGCTCAGACAGATTAACTAGCTGGCCCACAGCTAGTAAGGGGCAGGACACAAGTTCAGATTCAGATTCTTAACTACTTTGTTACATTTACTACCCTTTTTTTTTTTTGAGACGGAGTCTCGCTCTGTCGCCAGGCTGGAGTGCAGTGGCACAATCTCAGCTCACTGAAACCTCCACCTCCTGGGTTCAAGCGATTTTCCTGCCTCAGCCTCTCGAGTAGCTGGGACTACAGGCGTGTGCCACCATGCCCAGCTAATTTTTGCATTTTTAGTAGAGACGGGGTTTCACCATGTTAGCCAGGATGGTCTCGATCTCCTGACCTTGTGATCCACCCACCTTGGCCTCCCAAAGTGCTGGGATTATAGGCGTGAGCCACCGTGCCTGGCCTATTACCCTGTCTTTTTAACAGGCAAGGTAGTAAGGTATCTTGGGCAGATTTGATGTAAAAGCTTTTATAGGTTTTTACTTTTTTGTGTGTGTGAGACAGAGTCTTGCTCTGTCGCCCAGGCTGGAGTGCAGTGGCATGATCTCAGCTCACTGCAACCTCCGCCTCTCGGGTTCATGCAATTCTCCTGCCTCAGCCTCCAGAGTAGCTAGGACTACAGGTGTGAGCCATGACACCCAGCTAATTTTTGTTTTTTTTGTTTGTTTGTTTTTTTTTTTTGTAGAGAAGAGATTTTACCATATTGCCCTGGGTGGTCTGGTATTTTTTTTTTTTTGAGACGGAGTCTCACTCTGTTGCACAGGCTGGAGTACAATGGCGCGATCTTGGCTCACTGAAACCTCCGCCTCCTGGGTTCAAGCTAGATTCTCCTGCCTCAGCCTCCCGAGTAGCTGGGATTACAGGTGCCCACGACCACGCCCAGCTATTTTTTGTATTTTTAGTAGAGATGGGGTTTCACCATGTTGGCCAGGCTGGTCTCGAACTCCTGACCTCATGATCTGCCCACCTTGGACTTCCAAAGTGCTGGGATTACAGGCGTGAGCCACCACTGTTAAGCCTGGCTGCCCTGGGTGGTCTTGAACTCCTGACCTCAAGCGATCCACCCTCCTTGGCCTCCCAAAATGCTAGGATTACAGGCATGAGCCACCACGCCTGGCCAATCATTCATTGCTTTCCCAAGTCTGCTAGGTCCTAGGTACTGTTGTAGGCACTAAGGAAAGAGATGAACAACAAAGCTTTTAGCTCAGGGGACTCACCATCTAGTGGATCACGGGTGCTTCCTCTGCGTGAGGAAGGGAATCCCTTTGCTTAGTAGCCCATTCCTGAGGCCACAAGAAGCCTTAGAGGTAGTACATTCCTTCTCTAAAAACCTACGAAAGCTGGGCCGGGCACAGTGGCTCACGCCTGTAATCCCAGCACTTTGGGAGGCCAAGGCGGGCGGATCACTTGAGCCCAACAGTTCGAGACCAGCCTGGGCAACATGGTGAAACCCCATCTCTACTAAAAATACAAAAATTAGGCAGGCGTGGCAGCTTACACCTGTAGTCCCAGCTACTCAGGAGGCTGAGGCAAGAGAATTACTTGAACCCGAGCGGCAAAGGTTGCAGTAAGCCGAGATCATTCCACTGCACTCCAGCCTGAGCGACAGAGCAAGACTCTGTCTCACACACACGAAAAAGTAAAAACCTATAAAAGCTTTTACATAAAATCTGCCCAAGATATCTTACTACCTTGACTGTTAAAAAGACAGGGTAGTAGGCCAGGCGCGGTGGCTCACGCCTGTAATCCCAGCACCTTGGGAGGCCAAGGTGGGCAGATCACAAGGTCAGGAGATGGAGACCATTCTGGCCAACATGGTGAAACCCTGTTTCTACTAGAAATACAAAAATTAGCTGGGCATGGTGGCACGCAGCTGTAGTCCCAGCTACTCGAGAGGCTGAGGCAGGAGAATCGCTTGAATCCAGGAGGCGGAGGTTGCAGTGAGCCGAGATTGTGCCACTGCACTCCAGCCTGGCAACACAGTGAGACTCCGTCTCAAAAACACAAAACAAAACAAAACAAAACGAAAATTAGCTGGGTGTGGTGGCTCACTCCTGTAGTCCCAGCCACTTGAGGGGCTGAGGTGGGAGGATCATTTGAGCCCGGGAGGCAGAGGCTGCAGTGAGCCAAGATGGCGCCACTGCATTCCAGCCTGGGGGACAGAAAAAAGACCCTGTCTCAAAAAAAAAAAAATTAATCAATTTTAAAAAAGTAATAAAAAGAATGACAGCTGGATACAGAATGCCCCATGGTCAAGGTTAAAAGTGCTCCTTTTCAGGGACATTCCACATTTACCTGGGTAGGGTAGTGGTGGTGACATTTCTGAAGGGGACAGCAGGGTTGGGTGGGAAGTCAAGGGAGAAATCTGGAATCTCTTCTCCTATAAATATAGTACTCTGGACTGGGGGCAAGGGGAAATCTAATAGCTTGGCAGGTTTCCCTAGGGTAACCTGCAACCAAATGAAACTTTGACTCTTCCAAGCCTTCCCAGTGGGAAGTGGGTATGGAGAAGGGGACAAGGAGCCAGGCTGTGCAGAGCTAAGCCCCACAGGTGGAACCCTCCCTAGCTCCAGAGGCCTTAGGGCTCTTCCCACAACTGTGCAGAACACACAGTCACCACCCTACTGGGCCCTATCAGAAGGGGCAGCTGGACACTCTGGGAGGACCACAGTCCGATGGCCATTCCTAGATAAGTGATGCCCGAGTAGAAGCAACCCCTTTCCAGAAAAGCAAAGCTCCTGGTTTGAGGTGTCAGGGACACTGGAGAAACAGGCAGCTAAGAGGTTTCAAGGCCAGGCACTCACACTGAGGTCATCATTGAGGGCGCAGGCTTCTAGCACCTCCTTGTACAGCTGTGCATCAAATGTCTTCCCAAAGAGGATGTTGTCTCGGATGGTGGCAAACTGGATCCAGGGTTCCTGGGTGGCCAGGCCAAAGCCCTTGGACAGCCCCCGCACTGCCACATGCCCACGCAGCCTGCAGAGAGCCAGGCGAGCAATATGAGGACCAGCTCTCCTCTGGGTCCCTCCATGCCCAGCCCTTGACTCCTAGAAGCCTCCCCAGGCTGCTGTCTTCTACACAGGGTCCCCCTTCATGTCACATGACTGAGATGGCAGCTCCTGAGGTCAAGGGGTCCTAATGAAGCCCATTCTGGGCGAAGAAGGGAAGAAATAGCTCTTTGGCTACAGCCAAGCAGCTGTTGTACTTACATCTGTTCAGGAGCTCAGTGGAGAGTATGGCCACCACATTGTACTTGTTCCCATCTGAAAACAAGGTCCTCCCTCAAACCTATGCTCCTCTCTGGATCCCTTCTCTGCACAGCCACATTTCTGAAAGAATAGCTGACACTGGATGTTTCCATTCCTTTGCTGACTATTATAGCATTTAAAACACTCTGGTGTAATGATTACAATGATTCGCTTTCTTGGCCACCTCCTTCTTTCCAGATTGAAAACTCTCCCAATAAAGGGACCATGCGTTGCTCTTCTTAGTACCCCTGACCCCCAAAAGGTGTCCAACACATAAGAGGGGCTCAGTGTTTGCTAAAGGACAAAGTAAGGACAGGGGTGCATAGGAGGTTGGTTACCTGTGGAGCTCTCCAGCGATGGCAGCCAGCAGGGAGCTCTTCCCACAGCCGACCTTCCCCACGATGCCCACCAGCATACCCTGCAAGGAAGCCACACAAGCATCTGCTATTGGTAGGAGACAGGACAGAGGTGGCAGTGGTCTCCCTCTTGACACTCTGGGCTGCCAGTCCTCCCACTGAGGCTTCTCTTTTCTTCTTTCTTTAGTGTGTAGGGAAAGAATTCTCCGCTTCACAGGCTGATCAACAAATCAGGCTCTAGAAAAGTAGGGTGTTTTTTTCTCCACTCAGAGTGGCTATCAGTTTCACTGTCTATGTGAAGGGCCTCTGAAGGGGAGCAGCATGCCAGAGAGAATGGGAGGAAACCACCCAAGAACTTCCAAGGTAAACTCTGAGACAGGCACTCCAGAACGGGAGAGGGAAGGGTAGAATTCCAGGCTTTAGGGCCTGGATGATGGGTTGGCTAAGTCGACCTGTGGCTAGAGTTACCATATCTCAGGGGAAAAAGCAGAGCTTTGCATAGATCCCTATTTCTGTGGCTTAAATTTTTCTGTTTACCTTTTTTTTTTTTTTTTTTTTTTTTGGTCATATGTTCATGGAGCTATCTCCCTGCTCAAAAAAATATAAAAAAAAAAAAGTCCTAGTTCCTTCTCTAGAAGGGACTGGGCTCTCAGAAGCTCTATCTGCCTGTGATGCCCCAACCCTGCCAGCCAGGGTTGACCCAGCTACAAGTGGGCACCACTTCTGAGACCTTTCCATGGGAATTTGGGATCAGGTCCCAGAGGCAGCTTCTCCTTGTTGGCTGTAACTTGTAAACTCGAGCATTCTCTGTAGTCACATCTTCTGCTCAGTGGAGGGTGTGTCCACAGAGAGAAGAGAACCAGGCAAATACAGGGAGAGAGGCACACAGAAGCAGAGAGCTCTGCGAGTTGAGGCCTGGTTCTGGGCTGTTTCTAAGATCCAGCTGCGTTCCTGCCTTTGGATTCTGCAATGTATCTCTACATCCTTATTATAAATTCTTGTTTGCTTAAGCTAGCTCTAGTGTGTTTCTGTAACTTATACCCAAAAAAGCCCCAACTAACACATTAGCAAAATTCCTTTGTACAAATCTAGCCTTGTCTTGCCTGAACTAAGAGGAAAAACAAAACATACAGCCCAAGCCAGAAACGTGAGCCAAATGTGGTGGAGGCAATTCAGCCACCACCAGAGAATGCCGGGTTGAGCTGTGGGGCACAGGGTTGGACAAAGGTCAGGAGAGAGTGAAAACTCAGAACAGGAGGTGAACAGGAGTTGGCTTATTGCCAGGAATGCCCCATTTTAAGTTCTTTGTATGCTGTAGCATGAGTCACAGGGTGTGATTGCTTTTCACCAGCCTAAACAGAGGATCCCCATTTGCAAAATATTTCTTGGAAGCACTTGCTGGGCCTCTCCCCCAGATCCCCAATCTGGGGGAGATGCTACATAAACCCCAGGGCCTGTTCTGAATGCTGCAGCTTCTGAGGGACATGGAGAGACAAGCACACCCATTGGTCTGGACTGGATGGATACAAGCTGCCTAAAGACCAGAGAGAGGTGCAACTATTCTGAGATTCAGATGTGAGGTGTCATCTCCTCATGATTAGAACCTGCTCACCAAATGCCTATCCCTCCTGCAGCAATTAGAGCTGCAGAGCCATCAGCTATGATTGGCTCGGTCACTGCTTCTCTGACATGAGTTCCCATCTCTCTCGTTAGTCTGAGGACTCTCCCAGGGTGTCTGTCCAACAAACCTTTTTCACTTCGAGATGACTGATGAAGGTCTCCAGGCTGGTTCCAACTGGGTCCCAGGAGAACAAGGCTCCATGCAGCTCCAATACTGTAGATGGCTCTGCAGGGGGATCTGAACAGAGAAGCCACTTGATTTGGGCTCCTAATCTACCACAATCTGTTTGGGGAGGGTAAATCATGTAATTCACTTGCCAGCCCCATATCTACCTGCCCAAAGCTAAATGAGTCTGTTTTGGATTCCGCTCTCTCTAAGCCCTCTTGGTGACATCTATGCGCAGCACCCAAGTGGCTCCACTTCCCTCCTCACCCTGTGCCAGGTTCTGCCCACTAGCTTCCCATTACCTGGGCTGTAGTAGGCCTGGGGGTTGTGGTTTGGAAGGTCGAGGAAAAGCTGGATCCGGTCCAAGGACACTTTGGCCTCCAGGAGACCATTGATCACCCAAGGGAAGTTGTTGAGAGGAAGAATGAGCATTCGCACCAGTGCCAGGGCCGTGAACACCTGAGTGAGGTGGGTGCAGGGTGAAGCCCCAGGAGTTATCTAAGGGCCTGTTTCTATGGGAAGCCCTGTGGACAGGTCTACGGAGGGAAGAACTGGGCAATGACAGAACTGAAGGGCTGGCTGGCCAATCCTGGGATCAGATGTGGCAGAGATGGTCACTTAAAGAATCCTAGAAATTCCAATGTTCCTCAAGGGATTCAGGTTGCATTTTTTTTTTTCTTGACGAGTCTTGCTCTGTCACCTAAGCTGGAGTGCAGTGGCATAATCTCGGCTCACTGCAACTTCCACCTCCAGGGTTCAAGTGATTCTCCTACCCTAGCCTCCTGAGTAGCTGGGATCACAGGCATGCATCACCACACCTGGTTAATTTTTATATTTTTAGTAGAGACAAGGTTTCACCATGTTGGTCAGGCTGGTCTCGAACTCCTGACATCAGGTGATCCGCCTGCCTTGGCCTCCCAAAGTGCTGGAATTACAGGTGTGAGCCACCACGCCTGGCCAAGGTTGCATCTTTTTAACTAGGCAGGCCTAGCTCATTTTGAGTCTTTTTTTTAGAATTTCCAAGTAGCAACATCACCTGGCCTTGGCTAGACCCAGGATTGCATCATACATTTTTTTCCTAAGGCCATTAGAACGAGGATGAAGAGACCTAACCCCAAGCCTGGAACTGAATAGAAGCTGGAGTGAAAGGTAGAGGAGAGGAAAGAAAGGAACTCCTTCACAGAGGGGAGGGTTATATATCCAAGGCCCCCACAAAAAGGTTTCTTCAGTTTTCCCTTGGTTGAGAGATGAGGCAGTCAGGGATCCCTCCCTCCTTCTCAGCCAGCACTGAGGGCCCAAGCCTCTGTCTTCACTTCGCTGAAGTCTCCTTGATGCTGGTCCCCTTCCTTCCTGGTCCTCACCTTGGTGGCAGTGAGCTGGTGCCCCATGAGGACATAGGTGATGAAGATAACGATGGAGATGACAACCGGTAGGGCAGCCCACAGGTATACACAGGCCGCATCCAGGTATTTGATGACCCGGAGTCGCCCCAGCTCTCGAGCCCGGCAGGCCTCTACTCGGGCTCCCAGTGCCTGCTCCCACCCGCAGAACTTGATGACCCGAATGCCACTCAGCAGCTCTGTCACAAGCTAGGGAAAGGAGACAAGGGAGAGGCGTGAAGTGGAGGCACTGCTCATGTGTCTTCCCTGCCAAGCCTTCCCCAGGCTGCTGGCAGAATGTTCAGTACTCTAAGCTCCCAGATACTCTGCACTGCCCTAGTCTTGGTTTTCTTCCTCACCTCAGTACTTTCTGGAAATCCTGCCCTTCAAATCCTTTTCAGCCCTGGGTTGCTTCCCCTCCCAGTCTCTTACTTCTCCATTTGCTCCAGCTGGGGACAGCTTGGAGTGGGAATTCCCCACCTTCCTAGGAGGAGTGGTGGAAGGTGGAGCCAGGTCACCACAGTGGAGTAAAAGCTCTCCTCCCATTAGATGAGGGACAAAGGGCTATCTCCCAAAACCAAAAGATGTGGGCTTCGGGGGCTGGCCCCCCAGTTCCGGCCCCCGGCTTGAGTGGCACAGAAACTATTCCTGTAGAAGTACACAGGCATAAGAGGCCACACTACAGCCCAGGGTCAAACAGGCTAATGGGCCCAGGGAAGATGGGCAAGGGCCAAAACTCCTCGTCTGTAGCTGTCACAGGTAGGGGAAAATGCCTCATGCCATAACCATCTATCAACCTCCCTTCCCTCCAGGAGCACTCTGAGCTGTTCCACTAAGGGTCGACAACTATGCTGTATGAACCCCCAGGACTGCCATCCCCTTTGTGAAGGTACCCACAATCACTGCAGAACCCAGAGCTCTGCAGATTCAGCCAAACCCTAAACACCTGGAGTTGACCCAGGCAGGAAAGTGACCTATTCCCTTCCCCTCAGCCTACCCAAAGAGGCAGCTGAGGTTCTCCTAGGTCTCTACATGCAGCCATGGGGTGGTCTGTGCCCTAGATAAGGAGGTTGGAGACTTGGGTCCCAGCTCTGGCCCTAAAGACCTGTTTGGAGCCAGACAGATGACTTCCTACCTCCCAGGGTGGCCACATGTATTCAGAGCTTACTTTGTGACTGGCACTACACTAAGCATTATCTCATGAGATCCTTACAACTCTACAAGGTAAGCTACTACTATTCTCACTTTACAGATGAGGAAGGGGAAGCCCAAATAGGTTAAGTGACTTGTCTGAAGTGATTGAACCAGTAAGTGTAGAGCCAGGATTTGAACCCAGGTCTACCTTTCTCCAGTCTCAGCTCTTAACTTTGAGGTCACTCTCACTCCCTCAGGTAGTGTGCATGGGAAGACCTGGGGACCTGGGCTGGGTGGGGTCTCCAGATAGCTGAGGGACCCCAAGTACCCGCTCACCTTAACCCGCGCATCCTTGTGCTGTAGCATTTCCTGGTTGCTGGCCATGATGCGGGTGGCAATCACTTTGTTGACGGGTACCAGCAGCAGTGCCAAGATGAGACCACCCACGAAGGCCACGCCTACCTGCTGGTACAGCAGGTAGAGGGTGATGGCCAGTTGCAGGGGCAGGCCCCAGGCTTCATGGAAGCTCCCAGCAAAGTTAAGCAGCCGTTCAGAGTCAGTGCCTAGTAGGTTCAGGGCCTCCCCAGTAGGAGGGCGGCTGGGCCCCAGCTGTAAAGCCTTGCAGTACAGGATGTTCAGCACAGCCCCCCGTGCCTGAAGTGTTACCTTATATACCTCATACCCATACTGATTCTGCAGCACAGCACCCAGCACAGCCCCACCGGCTAGCCCCAGAGCATAGAGCAGGCCGTGGCTTAGTGGCTCCTGCCCCTCTTCCAGGAAGCCCACCAGTAGGGAGAGCAACAGGGGCCCTGAGAATCCCAACATGGTCCCCACCAGCTTCAGCAGTCCAAGTGCCAGATAGCACCGTCCAAAGGCCCCATACAAGGCCCTCCACAGCCGTGCCCCCTCCTGCCAGTGTGCCTGGAAGACACGAGCCAGGTAGGTTGGCTGCAGTCTGTGGGGGAGGCGGCAAATGTCCTGAGGCTGCCGGAGCTCTCCACAGGCCCCACGGGCCAGCAAGGGTGCCAGCCAGGCATAGGAAAAGCGTGACAGCCAACTCTCCCCATCTTCAGCCACCTCAGGTTCTTGATCCTCGGGCAGGAGGGGCTCCTGAGCCCAGGGTTCTCGTGGTCCCCCAGGAGCTGCCCATCCCAGTGCATAGGCCAAGAGTGCAGCCAGCTGCAGGATGAGCAAGCATAGGCGGGCCATGGGCCCTGGGAGAAGTGGGGGCAGAAGTGTGCCTCGCTGGCAATGCCACAACACGGTCAGCACTAGGGCTGGAGCTGGCAGCAAGGCTACCAGGGCCAAGGCCAAGGGACCCCGGGAGTGGCCATGAGGGGAATGTGCCAACACCCACAGGGCCAGGCTGTGGCTGATCCAGGCCACAGCTGCCACGCACCCTGCCAACACCTCTAGCCCTATGGGTCCTGGGCCTGCCCCTGGTGGCAAAGCAACTGGAAGAAGGTCTAGCAGCGGGAAGACGGAAAGCAGGAAGGAAGCTGCAAGTCGGAGGCGCCATCCAGGACTGCAGGGTAGGATGTAATCTGGACTCCTGGGGACAAGGGGGAAGACAAGGAGGCACATCGTGGCTGACTCAGGAGCCAGACATACCCCTCACCTCCAATAATTCACTTACCTAAGGAATCAACTCCCTTCCTGCCTTGCACATCTTATCCCTACTCCACTTTACCTCAGAACCCAGGGTCTTTTCTCCCAGGAAGTCTTCCCAGATGAACCTAACTCATTTTCTGACCAACTGAGCTAACCGGCCACCTGAACCTAACTCATTTTCTAAACTACCCACACCATTTCTGATTCATGTTTTTTTTTAAACCACAGACATTAACAATTTTGAGGTAAGATTGTACTTAACATGAAGACTAACTAGGAAAAAAAAAATCCTGGGTACTACGTTTGCTACTTTGGTGATGGGATCATTAGAAGCCCAAACTTCAGCATCACATAATATATCCATGTATAATAACAAACAAGCACATATGCCTCATGAATCTAAAATTTTAAAAAAAATCCAGGCTGGGCGCCGTGGCTCACGCCTGTAATCCTAGCACTTTGGGAGGCTGAGACGGGAGGATCGCCTGAGGTTAGGAGTTCGAGACCAGCCTGGCCAACATGGTGAAACCCCCATCTTTACCAAAAATGCAAAAATTAGCCAGGCATGGTGGCAGGCACCTGCAATCCCAGCTACTCAGGAGGCTGAGGCAGGAGAATCGCTTGAATCTGGGAGATGGAGGTTGCAGTGAGCTGAGATCACGCCAATGCACTCCAGCCTGGGTGACAGGGGAAGACTCCGTCTCAGGAAAAAAAAGAAAATCCAAAGTTTTCATGCAGATAACTGATAAAGGGTACATATTCATTTTTACAAAAGGATCCACCTAACAGTACCCTTAAATTCACCTGAAGCACTATTAAATGAATAAAAATCGGACTTACATACAGCTTTTATATTCTAATATGGTAGCCTAAACTTTATAAAGGCTTGGAATATTCTACTCTCTTTCCACTGATTATAGAAGGTGGTGTGGATTGCTTTTGCGACTCCTTTAGCTAAAGAAAAATATCTCTTTTTGCTTGTGTTTATATCTTCTTGGCATAAAAAAATGTTTTTAATAAACAAAAGGTGATCTGTCTGCATTAAGAATCAAATACAGGGGCTGGTCACAGTGGCTTATGCCCGTAATCCCAGCACTTTGGGAGGCTGAAGCAGGCAGATCACTTGAGATCAGCAGTTTGAGACCAGCCTGGCCAACATGGTAAAACCCGGTCTCTAATAAAAATACAAAAATTAGCAGGGAATGGTGGCACACACCTGTAATCCCAGCTACTTTGGGACACTGAGGCACGAGAATCGCTTGAACCTGGGAGGCGGAGGTTGCAGTGAGCTGAGATCGTGCCACTGTACTCCAGCCTGGGTGACAAAGAGAGACTCTGTCCAAAAAAAAAAAAAAGAATCAAATACAGGAAAACGTATCTGCAGCAGTGAGTATCAGGATGTCTTGAAAGTTCATACAAAAAGAGGACTGAGTCTGTTACACCCTTTGTGGCACGGCTAGGTTACTAAAAAAGTTTACTTGTAAGCTAAAATGCAGAGTCTTGCTCTGTCGCCAGGCTGGAGCGCAATGGCGTGATCTCAGCTCGCTGCAACCTCCGCCTCCCAGGTTCAAGCGATTCCCCTGCCTCAGCCTCCCGAGTAGCTGGGGGTTTTCTTAAAAGTCCACCTGATGACAGTTATTTGTAGGGATTTAGATGGGAATAAAAAATCAGCCTTTAAGAATTCTATTTCTGGGCTGGGCATGGTGGCTCAAGCCTGTAATCCCAGCACTTTGGGAGGCAGAGGCAGGTGGATCACTTGAGGCCAGGAGTTCAAGACCAGCCTGTGTAACACAGTGAAACTCCATCTCTAGTAAAAATACGAAAACTGGCCAGGCATGGTGGCACATGCCTGTAGTCTCAGCTACTCTGGAGGCTAAGGCAGGAGAATCGCTTGAACCCAAGAGGTGGAGGTTGCAGTGGGCCGAGATCGTGCCACTGCTCTCCAGCCTGGGTGACAGAGTAAGACCCTGTCTCAAAGAAAAAAAAAATTTTTTTCTATTTCTGGCTGGGCATGGTGGCTCACATTTGTAAACCCAGAACTTTAGGAGGCTGAGGCAGAAGGATTGCTTGAGCCCAAGAGTTCAAGACCAGCCTGGACAACAAAGCAAGGCCTTGTCTCTACTAAAAATAATTTTTTCTTTTTGAGACAGAGTCTCGCTTTGTCGTCCAGGCTGGAGTGCAGTGGTGCAATCTTGGCGCACCACAACCTCTGCCTCCTGGGTTCAAGCGATTCAAGATGGGGTTTCACCATGTTGACCAGGCTGGTTTCAAACTCCTGACCTCCAGTGATCTGCCTGTCTCAGCCTCCCAAAGTGCTGGGATTACAGGCATGAGCCACTGGGCCCGGCCAATTTTTTGTATTTTTAGTAGAGATGGCATTCTGCCACGTTGGCAGGCTGGTCTCGAACTCCTGGCCTCCTACAGTGCTGGCATTACAGGCTTGAGCCACTGCACCCGGCCTATTAAAAATAATTTTTAAAAAAATTAGCCAGGTGTGGTGGCATGCACTTGTGGCCCCAGCAAATCAAAAGGCTGAGGTGAGAGGTTGCTGGAGCCCAGGAGGTTGAGGCTGCAGTGAACTGTGATTGCACCACTGTACTTCAGCCTGGGCAACAGAGGGAGACGCTGCCTCAAAAAACAAAACAACAATAACAATCCCCCCTCCCCCCCGCCACACACACACACACACACACACACACACACACACACAAGAAAGAAAAGAAAGAAAGAAAAGAAAGAAGGAAAAGAAAAAAATATATATATTTCCTAAGATGTGGGGACCCAAGAAAGAACACTGGGCCCTTGGAGGCATAAACTGGCCCCAAGTTGGCCATCAACCAGCCTCATCACCCCTTCAAGTCTCTTTTCCTCTCTGAATCTCACTTTCCTCACCAGTATGGTGAGCAGTGAGTCTCAAGTTAAAGCCTTCTGAGGCCCTTTCCTGTCTTAGATTCTCGATCTCTCTAACCCTTCTCAGCAACACACACAAGGCTGATAAGTGAAGTGAAGCACAATTTCTATTGATCACATGATGGTCTTTCTTGCTTTCCCAGGGGGCGGATGAATCCCTTCCTTGGATAGGAGAAGCTGTGTATCCGCTTGGTCTGGGAGGAATCCTGATTTGTTTCTTACACAGAGACAAAAGTCTAGAAGGGTTTAATCACCTAGCATAGACAGCCTTCTCAGAAGAGCAGCTATTAAAAATTGGCACAGTCTTTTGGGAACTCAGTCTAATGAGAAAGCAAGAAAGACCTCTTGGATAGAGACACTTCCCCCCATCAGACTAGGAACTCCCAAAGGCAGAGACCACACCGTCCTCCTATCTTCTCGGCAGCCAGAATGAGACTAACTTTAGTCATCTCTAGCCATACAAGAACTAAATACAAAATCAAGTTGAGTTTAGCATCCACACCTTATAGCCCTTAATTGGGGAAGGCTTAATGTTTGATTTTGCTCTTCTTGTCTATCTACTGCTTCCTCTTCAGCTGAGCCTAGGTATGCTTTTCTTAATCTGGAAACACTAAGGTTTCATGGGTTGCAGTGGTGAGAAACTGAGCCTACAACTTAAACACATCATCGCTTTTGGCTAAAAACGTTGTTCCCCCAATTCTGCCTCCAATTCATGACAGCTGAGTCCGGGTAGCTGAAAATGGACAATTCTGATGATTTCTGATACTCATCGGACCTTTAAAAACATGCCAGGCGCTGCACTATATGCTTAAATTCATTATCTCATTTAAACCTCCCAACAATGAGACTCAGAGAAGGCAGGTACTTGCCCAAGAACAGCCACATTGCTGCTAAGTAGCAATGCTTAGATTTTATTCTACTTCTGCCCTACTCCAGAGACCTCGCTATTCTGGTGACACTGCCGGAAGATGTAGGCCGCGGGTGAGATCTGCAGGCACACATGGACAGATGCCTTGCGCCCGTCTCTACCCACCTCGGGGTGCCCAAGTAACAGGCACTGAGCACGGCGAGGAGCGCGTGGGGCAGGGCGCTGAGCACCAGCTGGGTGAAGCAGTGGCCTGTGGTGTCCCCCTCCCACAGCGGGAGCGGCCACGCTGCGCTGCTGCCGCACAGCTGGGCCAGAAGTCGTTCCATGGACGCCTCACCTGAAGGGAAAGTTGAGGGTGACGGCTGTGCAGGGTAACAGCCGGCTTTGCCTGCACTTCCCAGCCGGGTCTCCCTGTCTCCAGCCCCGCCCTGGAACCGGGACCGCCCGTCGCTTCCGCCCCGAAGCCAGACCCCGCCCATTCTCGCGGTACCAAGGGTAAAAACGGGAGGAGGTTTCCCCAGTGGATTTCTGGACGCTGGTCACCCACCTTGCCATCTGTTTTTCCCCTCCCGTTTCTCCGCCCCCAGGCATCCGGAACCTCAAACCTGAAGAAGCTGCTGTGCACCGGATTCCGATATCCTGAGAACTGGTGTATGCAAAAAAAAAAAAAGTACTGCCCGGCCGGGGTGCTGGGCCCGCCCCGGCTGGCACCCCACCTAGAGGTTGGAAGACCTAGCCGGCGCTATTCGCCACGCCCATATGCTGGTAGCTGCACGCATGTGCACTGCTCTCTGCTTCGGCTGGCCTTTGCACGCAGGCGCGCTGGTGCAGACGCACAGTTGCGTTTTGGTACGCTTTTGTGGCCTGACTTGCGTTAAGGATCCATCCCTCCCTTAGTGCAACGTCATTTATAACCTCTCACGTGGAGTATTCGCTCACAACTGTGTAAGCTTACTAGTTGGCACAAGCATTGCAATCTCCATTTCTTGAAGAGGTGGGGAGCCGGGCACGGTTGCGCGCCTCGGTAGTCCCTGCGCGCCCGTAGTCTCTGCGCGCCGGTAGATCCCAGGAGGATGGCCTGAGCCCAGGAGTTCGAGAACAGTCCAAGCAGCATAGCGAGACCCCAGTCTCAGATAGATAGATGGATGGATGGAAATTCAAACATACCTGCCCCACGGACAAATAATGCCATTTTGGGACACACTGTTTTCCCTTATTATTCTAGGGCTGCATGACCTTGGACAAGTTACCTAACTTTTTTGAGCCTCAACTTTTTTTTGGGGGGGGGACGGAGTCTCGCTCTGTCACCAGGCTGGAGTGCAGTGGCACAATCTCGGTTCACTGCAACCTCCGCCTCCCGGGTTAAAGCGATTCTCCTGCCTCAGCCTCCCGAGTAGCTGGGACTACAGGCGCGCGCAACCACGCCCAGCCAATTTTTTTGTTCGTATTTTTAGTAGAGACGGGGTTTCACCATGTTGGCAAGGATGGTCTCGATCTCCTGACCTCGTGATCCGTCCGCCTTGGCCTTCCGAAGAGCCGGGATTACAGGCGTGAGCCACCACCCCGGCCGAGCCTCAACTTCTTTATTTGTACAACAGGGACAATACCAATACTAAAGTACTGTTGAGAGAGTTGAATAATTAATTTAGAGTGCTTAGGGCAAGTGCTTTGCCTAGGGTAGTCCTCCAATAAATCTTTTAAGGAAGCAGTGGGAAGAACATAACCTTTATAATTATACGGACCTGGGTTTGAATGCTTTTAGCAGAGGGATGTTGGGCAGGTTACTTCTGCATCTTTATTTTATTATGTTTGTCAGGCATGGTGTTGGTATCCGCCTTTACATAGGTGTGTACAGTGCTTGAAGAAGAAAAGCTAAACAAATGACAATTATGGTTATCCCACTTAATCTCAGTAAGAAGCCCCATATCCCTCAACGTCAAGAATTAATTTTCCTATTTTTAAAAACTAAGAGATGTAGGTTTGCATTTCACAATCTTTAGTAATTAATTAACAGAGTCTTGCTACCTGGCCCAGGCTGGTCTTGAACTCCTGGCCTCAGGTGATGCGCTTGCCTTGGCCTCCCAAAGTGCTGGGATTATAGGTGTGAGCCACTGCACCTGGCCAGGCTCCACTTCTAATTCTAATTCACTTGCTGTTTCCATCACATCTGCAGTTACTTCCTCCACTGATGTCTTGAAGGTCCATCCGTGAAGGTTGGAATCAGCTTCTTCCAAACTTCTGTTAATGTTGATATACGTTGTCCTCCTCCCATGAATCCCATGAATCACAGTTTTTTATTTATTTATTTATTTATTTTTATTGATCATTCTTGGGTGTTTCTCGCAGAAGGGGATTTGGCAGGGTCATAAGACAATAGTGGAGGGAAGGTCAGCAGATAAACAAGTGAACAAAGGTCTCTGGTTTTCCTAGGCAGAGGACCCTGCGGCCTTCCGCAGTGTTTGTGTCCCTGGGTACTTGAGATTAGGGAGTGGTGATGACTCTTAACGAGCATGCTGCCATCAAGCATCTGTTTAACAAAGCACTTGCACCGCCCTTAATCCATTTAACCCTCAGCGGACACAGCACATGTTTCAGAGAGCAGGGGGTTGGGGGTAAGGTCATATATTAACAGCATTCCAAGGCAGAAGAATTTTTCTTAGTACAGAACAAAATGGAGTCTCCTATGTCTACTTCTTTCTACACAGACACAGCAACAATCTGATTTCTCTATCTTTTCCCCACATTTCCCCCTTTTCTATTCGACAAAACCACCATCGTCATCATGGCCCGTTCTCAATGAGCTGTTGGGTACACCTCCCAGATGGGGTGGCGGCCGGGCAGAGGGGCTCATCACTTCCCAGAAGGGGCGGCCGGACAGAGGCGCCCCCCACCTCCAGGACAGGGCAGCTGGCCGGGCGGAGGCGCCCCCCCCCACCTCCTGGACGGGGCAGCTAGCCGGGCGGGGGCTGCCCCCCACCTCCCGGACGGGGCAGCTGCCAGGCGGAGACGCTCCTCACTTCCCAGACAGGGCAGCTGCCGGGCGGAGGGGCTCCTCACTTCTCAGACGGGGCGGCTGCTGGGCGGAGGGGCTCCTCACTTCTCAGACGGGGCGGCCGGGCAGAGACGCTCCTCATCTCCCAGACGGGGCGGCGGGGCAGAGGCGCTCCCCACATCTCAGACGATGGGCGGCCGGGCAGAGACGCTCCTCACTTCCTAGACGGGATGGCGGCCAGGCAGAGGCTGCAATCTCGGCACTTTGGGAGGCCAAGGCAGGCGGCTGGGAGGTGGAGGTTGTAGCCAGCCGAGATCACGCCACTGCACTCCAGCCTGGGCAACATTGAGCACTGAGTGAATGAGACTCCGTCTGCATTCCCGGTACCTCGGGAGGCCGAGGCTGGCAGATAACTCACGGTTAGGAGCTGGAGACCAGCCCGGCCAACACAGCGAAACCCCGTCTCCACCAAAAAAAATATGAAAACCAGTCAGGCGTGGCGGCGCGCGCCTGCAATCCCAGGCACTCGGCAGGCTGAGGCAGGAGAATCAGGCAGGGAGGTTGCAGTGAGCCGAGATAGCGGCAGTACAGTCCAGCTTCTGCTCGGCATCAGAGGGAGACTGTGGAAAGAGAGGGAGAGGGAGACCGTGGGGAGAGGGAGAGGGAGACCGTGGGGAGAGGGAGAGGGAGGGGGAGGGGGGAGAGAGAGCGCTTTTTTTTTTAATGGAGGCAGGGTCTCACTATGTTGCTTAAGCTGGTCTCAAACTCCTGGCCTCAAGCCATCCTCCTGCCTCAGCCTCCCAAAGTGCTGGAATTGCAGACATGAGCCAACATGCCTGGCTCACAGATATTCCTAATGGCATCTAGTGTGGTGAATGTTTTCCAGAGGGTTTTAAATTTACTTTGTCCAGATCCATCAGAGGAATCACTGTCTATGACAGCTATAGCCTTATGGAATGTATTTCCTAAATAATACTTGGGCCAAGCACAGTGGCTCACACTTCTAATGCTAGCACTTTGGGAGGCCAAGGTGAGAGGATTGCTTGTGGCCAGAAGTTTGAGACCAGCCTGGGCAACATAGCAAGACCTCATCTCTACAAAAATAAAAATAAAAAATTAGCCGGGCATGGCAGTGCCCACCTGTAGTCACTGCTACTCAGGAGGCTGAGGTGGGAGGATGGGTTGAGCCCAAGAGTTTAAGGTTGCAGTGAACTATGATTGGGCCACTGTACTCTAGCCTGGGCAACAGAGTGAGACCCTGTCTCTAAAATGATACTTGAGGCCAGGCGCAGTGGCTCACGCCTGTAATCCTAGCACTTTGGGAGGCCAAGGCAGGCAGATCACCTGAGGTCAGGAGTTCAAGACCAGCCTTGCCGATATGGGGAAAACCCAGCTCTACTGAAACTACAAAACTTAGCCAGGCATGATGGTGTGTACCTTTAATCCCAGCTACTTGGGAGGCTGAGGCAGGAGAATTGCTTGAACCTGGGAAGCAGAGGTTTCAGGGAGCTGAGACCATGCCACTGCACTCCAGCCTGGGTGACAGAGCAAGACTCCCATCTCAAAATAAATAAATAATAATAATAATAAAATACTCTAAAGTTGAAATTACTCCTTGATCCGTGGACTGCAGAATGGATGTTGTAGTTTTTTTCGTTTCTTTTTTTGTTTGTTTTTGAGATGGAGTCTCACTCTGCTGCCCTGGCTAGAGTGCAGTGGCGTGATCTTGGCTCACGGCAACCTCTGCCTCCCAGGTTCAAGTGATTCTCCTGCCTCAGCCTCCCAAGTAGCTGGGATTACAGGTGTGGGCCACCACACCTGGCTAATTTTTGTATTTTTAGTAGAGACGGGTTTCACCATTTGGCCAGGCTGGTCTAGAACTCTTGACCTCAAGTGATCTGCCGTCTTGGCTTCTCAAAGTGCTGGGATTACAGGCATGAGCCACCATGCCCAGTCTGAATGTTGTGTTAACAGGCATAAAAACAACAGTCATCTCCTTATACATCTCCATCAGAGCTCCTGAATGACTGGATGCATTGTCAATAAACGGTAACATTTTGAAAGGAATCTTTTTTTCTGAGAAGTAGTCCTCCAAAGTGGGCTTAAAATATTCAATAGACCATGTTATAAACAGATGTGCTGTCATCCAGGCTTTGTTGTTCCATTTATAAGGCACAGATAAAGTAGATTTGGCTGTGTGTGGTGGCTCACGCCTGAAATCCCACCATTTCGGGAGGCCGAGGCAGGCAGATCACTTGAGATCAGGAATTTGAGATCAGCCTGGCCAACATGGCGAAACCCTGTCTCTACTAAAAATACAAAAATTAGCTGGGTGTGGTGGTGCGTGCCTGTAATCCCAGCTACTCGGGAGGCTGAGGCAGGAGAATTGCTTGAACCCGGGAGGTGGAGGTTGCAGTGAGCCAAGATTATGCTACTGCACTGCAGCCTGAGTGACAGAGCAAGACACCATCTCCAAAAAAAAAAAAAATAGCTTTAACATAATTCTTAAGAGCCCTAGGATTTTCAGAATAGTAAATGAGCATTAATTTCAACTTAAAGTCACCAATTGCATTAACACCTAACAAGAGAGTCAGCCTGTCCTTTGAAGCTTTGAAGCTAGGCATTGACTTTTCCTCTCTAGCTATGAAAGTCTTAGATGGCATCTTCTTCTGATAGAAAGCTGTTTCATCTACTTTCAAAATCTGTTGTTTCATCCAGGTGTGGTGTCTCACGCCTGTAATCCCAGCACTTTGGGAGGTCAAGGAGGGTGGATCACAAGATCAGGAGTTCGAGACCAGTCTGTCCAACATTGTGAAACTGTGTCTCTACTAAAAATACAAAAATCAGCTGGGCGTGGTGGTGTGTGTCTGTAATCCCAGCTACTCCGGAGGCTGAGGCAGGAGAATTGCTTGAACCCGGGAGGCTGAGGTTGCAGTGATCCAAGATCACACCACTGCACTCCAGCCTGGCGACAGAGTGAGAAATCTGTTGTTTCATGTAGCCACCTTCATCATTGATCTTAGCTAGATCTTCTGGTTAACTGGCGACAGCTTCTGCTTCAGCACTTGCTGCTTCACTAGCACTTTTATATTATAGAGATGGCTTCTTTCCTTAAACGTCATGAATCAACCTCTGATAGCATCAAACTTTTCCTATGCGGCTTCCTCACCTCTCTCAGTCTTCATAGAATTGAAGAGTTAGGGCATTACTCTGGATTAGACTTTGGCTTAAGGGGATGTTGTAGTTGGTTGGGTCCTTATCCAGACACTAAAATGTTCTCCATATCAGCAATAAGGCTGTTTTGCATTCTTATCATTTGTGTGTTCAGTGGAATAGCACTTCTAATTTCCTTCAATAAATTTTCCTTTGCATTCACAACTTGCTGTTTGGCCAAGAGGCTTAGTTTCTGACCTATGTTGGCTTTCAACATGCCTTCCTCACTAAGTTTGATCATTTCTAGCTTTTTTTTTTTTCGCACATTCTCCATCCTAGAAGCTTTTTTTTTTTTTTTTTTTTTTTAAGTGAGAAATGTGCAACTCTTTCTTTCACTTGAAAACTTAGAGGCCACTGGGCCTGGTGCGATGGCTCACGCCTGTAATCCCAGCACTTTGGGAGGCTGAGGTGGGTGGATTGCCTGAGGTCAGGAGTTCGAGGCTAGCCTGGCCAACATGGTGAAACCCCGTCTCTACTAAAAATACAAAAATTAGCCAGGCATGGAGGCGCAAGCCTGTAATCCCAGCTACTCGGGAGGCTGAGGCAGGAGAATCGCTTGAACCCAGGAGGTGGAGGTTGCAATGAGCCGAGATCATGCCATTGTACTCCAGCCTGGGCTACAAGAGTGAAACTCCGTCTCAAAAAAAAAAAAAAGAAAAAAGAAAACTTAGAGGCCATTGTAGAGTTATTTATTTATTTATTTATTTATTTATTTATTTATTTTCAAGATAGAGTCTTGCTCTGTCGCCCAGGCTGGAGTGCAGTGGCACAATCTCAGCTCACTGCAACCTCCGCCTCCTGGGTTCAAGTGATTCTCCTGCCTCAGCCTTCCAAGGAGCTGGGACTACAGGAGCATGCCACCACACTCGGCTATTTTTTGTATTTTTAGTAGAGACAGGGTCTCACCACCTTGTCCAGGCTGATCTTGAACTCCTGGCCTCAAGTGATCCACCTGCCTCGGCCTCCCAAATTGCTGAGATTACAGGTGTGAGCCACCCACCCGGCCTCATTTTAGGGTAGTAATGGACCTAATTTTAATACTGTGTGTGTCAGGGAATAAGGAGGCTCAAAAAGAGGGAGATAGGGGAATGGCTGGTAGGTGGTGCAGTCAAAGAACACATATTTATTAACTTCTGTGTCTTACATAGGTGTGATTTGTGGCATCCCAAAACAATTACAATAGTAACATCAAAGATCACTGATCACAGTGATCACAGATCACTATAACAGACAGAGTGATAATTAAAAGTTTGAAATACTGTGAAAATTACCAAAATGTGATACAGAAACACGAAGTGAGCACACGCTGTTGGAAAAATGATGCTGATAGACTTGCCCAACACCAGGTTGCCACAAACCTTCTATTTGTAAAAATGTAATCTGCAAAGTGCAATAAAGCGAGATGCAGGTGAATGAGTTATGCCTGCATATATTTGAAATTTTTTCACAATAAAGTTTTTAAAAATGGAGATTTGCAGAATATGGAATAGTGTGTTTCAAAGAGTGGTCTATATAGCATTTGCTTTGGAGTCACCTGAGCTGCTTATTAAAATGCAGATTCCAAAGTCCACTCTAGACCTGCTGAATAAGACTCTCTAGGAGAGGATCCTACAATCTGCAGTTGGGTGATTCTTGCACTCAGGTTTAAGCACCACAGATGTCAAGAGCCTTGCCGAGGATTATAGAACTAGTACACATCACAGCACATGTTCTAGATCAGGATCCGCAATACCCAATCCACACCCTTAACACAAGGCCTCATGGTCTAAATTGAATCAGGAACCTCCCTCAAGACTTTTTACTTGAACTACTGTCAAGTACTAAAATATATTATTTTACATTAATAACCTTTTGATTATAATTGCAATACCCTCAGCACTCCTTGCCTATCGCCTTGTAAGATGTGCCTTTGCTCCTCCTTCACCTTCCACCATGATTGTGAGGCCTCCCCAGCTATGTGGAATTGTGAGTCCATTAAACCTCTTTTCCTTTATAAATTACCCAGTCGTGGGTATGTCTTGAAAATGTAGAAATGAAGAAAAGTATGAAGAAAAATTTAAAATCCTTAGAGACACAGTTAGCTAACTGCTAAATTTCAAGCAAGAGCTAACTAGGTGGGGAGACATTATTCAGGGGTACCCCTAACAACCCATCACTTTCTGACTGCTTTCACCATCTACCCCTGCAGTGAATCCTGTGCCTACCATTCCTCTTGGCACTGAGAGCAAGGCAGATGGATCCAAAATCATTATTCTTCTCATTAAATCTTTGGATGTGTCTTCTCACTCACAGACACCCTCTTGACCACAGAATTGCACACACATCAAATGCAGATATGCACATGTGTCCCTGATGTAACTCACAAAATCTAACATTCATACTTATATATTTTTTAGTCCAGCACAGATGCTAACCACTTTTTTTTTCTCTCTGTGCCAAGGTTCTATCTTTTCCTTCTTCCACCTAATTTTCCAGGCTTCAGAGCATGTTGGGGCTTTCAGGTCCCCAGTAAGAATTGTAAGTTATATAATCACTCCTAGTCTGGAAAGCTGATGGGCAGGCAGGTTAATTTAAGAGCTCTAGTTTAACCCAAGAAAATAAGAAAGTTAGAAAAAATAAACTTTTTTTTTCTTTTTTGAGACGGAGTCTCACTCTGTTGCCCAGGCTGGAGTACAATGGCACAATCTCAACTCACCGCAACCTCCGCCTCCTGGGTTCAAGTGATTCTCCTGCCTCAGCCTCCCGAGTAGCTGGGATTATAGGCACACGCCACCACACCTGGCTAATTTTTGTGTTTTTGGTAGAGACGGAGTTTCATCATGTTGGCCAGGCTGGTCTCGAACTCCTGACCTCAGGTGATCCACCCTCCTCAGCCTCCCTTTCTCTTCTTAGTCATTAAAAACCATGGCTATGGCTGGGCACAGTGCCTCACACCTGTATTCCCAGAACTTTGGGAGGCCAAGGTGGGTGGATCACCTGAGGTCAGGAGTTCAAGACCAGTCTGACCAACATAGAGAAACCCGCGTCTACTAAAAATACAAAATTAGCTGGGCATGGTTGCGCATGCCTGTAATCCCAGCTACTCGGGAGGCTGAGGCAGAAGAATGGCTTGAACCCAGGAGTTGGAGGTTTTGGTGAGCTGAGATGGCGCCATTGCACTCCAGCCTGGGCAACAAGAGCAAAACTCCGTCTCAACAACAACAACAACAACAAACAAAAACAAAAACAAACAAAACCCATGGCCGCCTGGCTGACTGGGTAAGCAGCTACTTGCAAGTTTTAGCTACTGTACACAAATACATCATCCTACTACAGAGGTCTGCCCTAAAGTGTATGTGTGGGTTTTTGTTGTTGTTGTTGTTGTTGTTTGGTTTGGTTTTGGTTTTGGTTTGAGACAGGGTCTTTCTCTATGCATCAAGGCTGGAATGTAGTGCCATGATCATGGCTCACCGTAGCCTCCACCTCCTGTGCTCAAGCGATCCTCCTGCCTCAGCCTCCCAAGTATCTGGGACAGTTAAAGTGTGTTTCACTGCATGTATACAGCTGGATGAGGTAAAGTTAAGTCAGAGGACAAGAGGACTCTTTAGAGAGTCCACTTCTGAAAGGAGGGTTAAAGGGACAGATAATGCTTCTGTCAAGGATTCCTCTTCCTCCCTTTCACCCCAAGCTGGTGCTCAGGTGGGGAGGACCCTAGTCTTACCAGCCCTCTGAAGTAGGTGGGAGAGGATGTGGTCCCCTCATTTTATTCTTTCTTTCTTTCTTTCCTTCCTTCCTTCCTTCCTTCCTTCCTTCCTTCCTTCCTTCCTTCCTTCCTTCCTTCCTTTCTTTCTTTCTTTCTTTCTTTCTTTCTTTCTTTCTTTCTTTCTTTCTTTCTTTCTTTCTTTAGGGAAAGAGGGAATGGGATGCCAGAAGCCTATAGCCCACCCAAATACTAACCAGGCACAACCCTGCTTAGCTTCCAAGATCAGACAAGATTGCGTGTTTTCAGGGTGGTATGGCCATAGACCTCTTATTTTCATAACGTTCCAGAGTCCTTATTTTTGATAAGAAGTTTGGCAAAGGAGTCATGCCATCAGTAGGATCCTTTCTGATGGTTACAAATAACCAACTAATTAATATTTGCCCAGGACATAAAGGAGGAAAGATAATTTAAAACAAATAATTCCTCAACATCATATGGCATTGCATCTACACATTTCACATTTTCCAGGTTAAAAAATAAAAATAAATGAAAACAATATCATATGGCCCTTTAGTTTCACCCAGTTTCCCAGAGACCTTTACACCATAGTTTCTGAAAAATGAGTCAAAGGTACAAGTTTGTCTCCTTCCTTCCACTTTGGGGAATTGGGGAATTGTTGGTAAGTGAAGTAACACCTAGGTGGGAAGAAGAGGAAATCATTGGTCACAAGATAATTCACAGTCCATAAAGTGGAAGGATGACCAAATTCTCCAAAACCTGGGTGGCCAAAGAAAGATTCTATTAATACAACTTTGAAAACTGACTTCAAACTCATTACACCCAGATCTGACGTGAACTGAGTGTGGATGCCCAGATGCTTGGAGTAGAGGTGGGCAGAGATGGCAGGAGTGGAGGTGGGCAGGTTCAGTGGAGTGCCTAGGAGGTAGTGGGAGGTAAGGGAAGGAAGCAGAAGTACCTTGAGGAATGATGAAGAGTCCTCACAGCACGATGGCTTTCCAAGGCAGTAGGTCCTGACTTCCAGCTCCCCTCTTGGCTTACTTTCTCCTTTCTGCCCATACTTTTCTCTACAGTTATCAGAAGCTGATTATCTGGAAGGCAAGGGGACAAGTGTAGCTAGAGCTGGGGCTGGGCAAGTCCACTGCCACTCGGCCAGGTCACCATTTTTTGAACATCTTCATTGAGATATAATTCACAAACCATAGAATTTACCCCTTTAAAGTGTAAAATTCAGTGACTTTTTAGTACATTCAGATTTATGCAACCGTCATCATATACATATTTTTTTAAGATAGAGTCTTATTGTTGCCCAGTCTGGAGTGCAGTGGTGTGATCTTGACTCACTGCAGCTGCCACCTCCCGGGTTCAAGTGATTCTCCTGACTCAGCCTCCTGAGTAGCTAGGACTACAGGCGCACACCACCATGCCCAGCTAATTTTTTTTTTTTTTTTTTTTTGGTAGAGATGGTGTTTCGCCATGTTGGCCAGACTGGTCTCGAACTCTTTTTTTTTTTTTGAGACGGAATCTCGCTCTGTCGCCCAGGCTGGAGTGCAGTGGCGCGATCTCTGCTCACTGCAAGCTCCGCCTCCCGGGTTCACGCCTTTCTCCTGCCTCAGCCTCCCAAGTAGCTGGGACTACAGGTGCCTGCCACCACGTCCAGATAATTTTTTGTATTTTTAGTAGAGACGGGGTTTCACCGTGTTAACCAGGATAGTCTCGATCTCCTGACCTCGTGATCCGCCTGTCTCAGCCTCCCAAAGTGCTGGGGTTACAGGCGTGAGCCACCGCACCTGGCCCTCGAACTCTTGACCTCAGATGATCTGCCTGCCTTGGCCTCTCAAAGTGCTGGGATTACAGGCCTGAGCTACCAAGCCCAGCCCATAATTAATTTGAGAAGATTTTCATCACTCCCTAAAAAATCTCCATACCTATTAGCAATTAGTCCCCGTTTCAACCCACCTGCCGCAGTGCTTGGCAACCATGAATACACTTTTCTGTATCTATAGATTTTCTTGCCTATACTGAACATTTCATGTAAATGGAATCATACACGTGTGTCCTTTTGCATCTGGCTTTGTTCACTTAGCATGTTTTCAAGGTTCATCCATGTTGTGGCATGTGTCAGTACTTCATTTTAACACTGAATAGTATTTCTTTGTACAGATATACTGCACTTGATTTTCCATTTATCAGTTGATGAACATTCATGTTTCTACTTTTTAGTTATTATGAATAATGTTGCTATAAGTTATTCAGGTACAAGGTTTTTGTGGATATAGGATTTCTTTCTTTTTTTTTTTTTTTTTTTTTTGCAGCTAGGAGTGCAATTGCTGGGCCACATGGTAACTCCAATTTTAACATTTTGAAGAGCTACCAAACTGTTTTGCAAAGTGACAGCAGCATTTTGAAATCCCAGCAGCAGCTGGGCATGGTGGCTTATGCCTTTAATCCCAGAACTTTGGGAGGCTGAGGCAGGAGGATTGCTTGAGCTCAGAAGTTCAAGACCAGCCTGGGCAACAAAGCAAGACCTGGTCTCTACAAAACAAAACAAAACAATATATAGATAGATAGATAAATAAAATACATATATATTTATATATACAGTAATCAATACATACACACACACACACACACACACACACACATATATGGCCAGGCGTGGTGGTGCACACTTGTAGTCCCAGCTACTCAAGATGCTGAGGCAAGAGAATTGCTTCAGCCCAGGAGTTCAAGGCTGCAGTGAGCTATGATGGCACCATTGCACTCCAACCTGGGCGACAGAGTGAGACCTTGTCTCACAAATAAAATAAAATAAAATCCCACCAGCAATGTATACAGGTTCCAATTTCTTTATATCCTCACTGACACCTATTGTTTGAGTTTTTATTATACCCATTATAGTGGGTGGGTAGTGGCATCTCGGTCACCATTTGTGACGTCACCTGCAATGATATTAGTCTTTTTTTTTTTTTTTTTTTTGAGACAGAGTCTGACTCTGTCGCCCAGGCTTGGAGTGCAGTGGCGCGATCTCGGCTCACTGCAACTTTCACCTCCTGGGTTTAGGTGATTCTCCTGCCTCAGCCTCCCGAGTAGCAGGGATTACAGACACCCACCACCACACCCAGCTAATTTATGTATTTTTAGTAGAGACAAGGTTTCGTCATGTTGACCAGACTGGTCTCGAGCTCCTGACCTCAGGTGGTCCGCCCGTCTCAGCCTCCCAGAGTGCTGGGATTACAGGCATGAGCCACTGCACCTGGCCAATGCTAGTCTTAAGGCTGGAATTAGGCCTGGCCAGCTTGTCATCTGCATCTCTTTTCTAAAGATGACATTTCATATGTATAGAATCATACAATATGTAGTCTTTTGCTCTGGCTTCTTTCACTTAGAATAATGTTTTTGGAGTTCACCCATGTTGTAGCATGCATCAGTACCTCATTCATTTTTTTTGGGTGTGAGGTAAAATATACGTAACATCACCACTTTAATCATTTCAGCATACAGTTCTGTTGCACTAAGTATATTTGGAATACTGCACAACCATTATCACCGTTCATCTTCAGTACTGTTTCTTCTTTTTTCTTAGATCCAGGGACAAACTAGATCCAGTACTTTTTTCATCTTCCCAAACTGAAACTCTGTACACATTGAACAACAACTACCCGTTCCCTCTCTCTAGCTCCTGGCAACCACCACTCTATTTTCTGTCTCTATAACTTTGACTGCTCCAGGTACCTCATAAGTGGAATCACACAACATTTGTCCTCTTATAACTGGCCTATTTCAGGGTTCATCCATGTTGTGGCACATGTCAGACTTTGTTTTTATAGCTAAATAATATTCCATTTTCTGGATAAACATTTGTTTATAGATGGTGATGGATGAATATACATTTTGTTTACCCATTCCTCTATTAACTGACATTTGGGTTGTTTCCATCTTTTAGCCCAAATGAATAATGGTATGTTATTTATTTATCTTTTTTTTTTTTTTGAGACGGAGTCTCACACTTTCACCCAGGCTGGAGTGCGGTGGTGCAATCTCAGCTCACTGCAAGCTCCGCCTCCTGGGTTCACACCATTCTCCTGTCTTAGCCTCCCGAGTAGCTAGGACTATAGGCACCCACCACCACGCCCAGCTATTTTTTTGTATTTTTAGTAGAGACGGTGTTTCACCGTGTTAGCCAGGATGGTCTCGATCTCCTGACCTTGTGATCCTCCCATCTCGGCCTCCCAAAGTGCTGGGATTACAGGCGTGAGCCACCCTGCCCAGCTGAATAATGCTATTGTTATGGGATCTTTGAGGTGTCACTTTTCTGGCCAGAAACCTCTAGGGCCAGTGGTGCCTTTGTGTGACTCGGGCCCACTCAGCTCCTTCTACCCACTCAGGCTGGCAGGCTGTGCTTGACTTATGCTACCTGTCTGGATCCCTTGCCTGACAAGGGTGAGCCAGGCATGGAATGGCAAGGGGTGTGTGGGCAAGAAAGCACAGGGTCCAGCCACTGTACACAGTCAGGCATGCTGGCTGCTGCAGGGGGGCAGGCAGCTCCAAGTGCTGGCACAGGTGGCAGCTCTCTGTGAGGCTGCAGCTGGACCAAGTGGACTGCAAGCAGCTTCCCTGGCTAGCACCGGGAATGCAGTGGCACCTGGAAGCTTGGAGACACCAGGAACCACAGGGCCTCAAAGAGGGAGTCACAGCCCTGGCTTGGGGAGGTCCCAGGTCTGGGCTCCCTGAAGGGCTGCAGCTCTTCTCTTCTCCGCCTGCAAAGTGGCGAGTAAGGGGCATGTTTCAGCCCTGTTCGTGTTACAGGGCTTGCCATTTGATGGGTCCCGAGTTCTTGTCTTGCCACCAGGAAGAATGAGGCATGCAGACGAGTGGAGGGTGGAGGCATGCAGACAAGTGGAGGGTAAGCAAGATGAAGAGGAGCTTTATCGAGCAGTAGAACAGCTCAGAGGTCTGCTATGGGTAGCCCCTTTCTGCAGCCAAGGTGTTCCGATGAGTGTTCAGCCCTCAGCAGAGAGGACGAGGCACTGGTGTTGGTGGCTCCTCTCTGCTCCTGGTTGTCCCCTCATCTCTGCAGTTCTTAGCAGAGAGGCCCTGGAGTGAGTTGCTCCTCTCTGCAGGCAGGTCATCCCTGGAGTGGGAAGCTCCTCTCTGCTGCTGGTCACCTGGGTGTCTGCTCTGCTCTGCTGAGTCCAGGGTGTTTATGGGCTTGAGTGGGGAAGTGCATACTGACTGGTCCATGGGCAGCCATGTAGGGGCCCAGGAAAAAGCACTATGAGTTCCCCCTCCTGTAGGCAGGACTGGTAGCCTGGCCCCCAGGTCACAGGACTTCCTTAGCTTGAAGGTGGGGCTTCACCGGGACTGCCCTCTTCTGCCCAGGAGCCATTGCCTCCTGCCACCAACATCCATGGCACTCAGGTTACTTGTGCCAACGGGCATCTGCAGGCCAGCACTGAGCTGCCCTCAGCACCCCCTCAGCTTCCCTCCTGTGCTCATTGGTGCCCAAAGTCTGGAGGGGGACGAGGCAGCAGGGGGCTGGCATGTCAGTGCGTCCTGAGTGTGCACCCACCCGGCAGGGCTGCCACAGCATCCAGGCTCAGCCCCACCCTTGCTCCATGATCGGAGCTGGTGCTGGAAGCGGGGAGAGGGCAGGCAGCAGCAGCAGGCACTTCTGAGCCTGCAGGGAGGAGGGGGGCCTTCCAGGCCCCCAAGAGCACAGAGATGCCTGGGTCCACAGCTGGGGTTGGGCTGCTGCATTGGCACCCTGGGAGGGTGGGGCTCCTGCCTGCTCCATGGAGTGGGGGGCCCAGGCCTCCCTGCTGCAGCTGGCATCTTGGCAGTGGCCAGCCATCTGGAGCCACCGCTGCCATCATTATTACAAATATTCATGTATAAGTCTTGTGTGGGCATATGTTTTCAGTTTCCTTGGGTATATACCTATGAGTTGAAGTTTTAGACCATATGTTAATTCCATGTTTAATCATTTGAAGAACTGCCAGACTGTTTCCCAAAGCAGCCACACCATTTTACATTTCTACCAGTAGTGTGTGAGAGTTCCAATTTCTCCACATCTTCACCAGCACTTTTATTTTCCGACTTTTTAATTCTGGCCATCCTAGGATGTGTAATGGTATCTCACTGTGATTTGGATTTGCATTTCCCTGATGGGTAATGATGTCTACCATCTTTTCATCCACTTATTGGCCATTTGTATATCTTGGAGAAATGCTCATTCGGATCCCTTGCCTTTTTTTTTTTAATTAGGCTGTCTCTTTATTATTGAGTTGTAAGAGTTATTTTTATATTCTAAATCCAAGTGTCTTATCACATATATGATTTGCAGATATTTTCTCCCATTCTGTGGTTTGTCTTTTCACATGAGTGTCTCTCTGTCACTCAAGCTGGACTGTGGTGGTATGAACATGGCTCACTGCAGCCTTGACCTTCTGGGCTCAAGCAATCCTCCTGCTTCAGCCTCCCAAGTTGCTGGGACCACAGGTATGTGCCACCATGCCATGCCTGGCTAATTTTTTTATTTTTGTAGAGACAGGCCTTTGCCATATTACCCAGGTGGGTCTTGAACTCCTGGGCTCAAGCAATCCTCTCACCTTGGCCTTCCTAAATGTTGAGATTATAGGCATGAGCACCACATCCAGTCTTTTCACATTCCTTTTTTTTTTTTTTTTTGAGACCAGAGTCTCACTCTGTCACTCAGGCTGTAGTGTAGTGGCACGATCTTGGCTTGCTGCAACCTCCAACTCCCTGGTTCAAGCGATTCTCCTGCCTCAGCCTCCCAAGTAGTTGGGATTACAGGTGCCCACCACCACACCTGGTGAATTTTTGTATTTTTAGTAGAGATGGGGTTTTGCCATGTTGCCCAGGCTGGTCTTGAATTCCTGACCTCAAGCAATCTGCCTGCCTTGGGCCCCCAAAATGCTGGGATTACAGGTGTGAGCCACTGCACCTGGCCCTTCACATTCTTCTTTCACATTCTTCATAGTGTCCTTTGAGACACAAAAGCTGTTAATTTTGATGAAGTCCAATTTATCTAATTTTTAAAAAAATTTTTATTATACTTTAAGTTCTGGGATACATGTGCAGAACATGCAGGTTTGTTACATAGGTATACATGTGCCATGGTGGTTTGCTGCACCCATCAACCCATAATCTACATTAGGTATTTCTCCTAATGCTATCCCTCCCCTTGCCCCTCACCCCCCAACAGGCCCTGGTGTGTGATGTTCCTCTCTCTGTGCCTATATGTTCTCATTGTTCAACTCCCACTTACGAGTGAGAACATGTGGTGTTTGGTTTTCTGTTCCTGTGTTAGTTTGATGAGAATGATGGTTTCCAGCTTCATCCATGTCCCTGCAAAAGACATGAACTCATTCTTTTTTATGGCTGCATAGTATTCCATGGTGTGTATGTGTCCTGACAGGGACTGCTTTAAACCTGATCAGTATGGGGAGTATTGCCATCACAACAGTGTTAGGTCTTCTAATCCATGGACATGGTATATTCTCCCTTTATTTAGATCTTTACTTTCTTTTGACAATGTTTTTATAGTTTTCAGAGTTTTTCTTTTGTTAAATTTATTCCCAAGTATTTTATTCTATTCAATGTTATTATGAATTGAATTGTTTACTTACTTTCAAAAAGTATCTAACCCCTGGCAACTCCTAATTTGTTTCCATCTCTGTAATTTGGTTATTTTGAAAATGTTTTTAAATAGAATCATGTGACATTTTGAAGTTGGCTTTTTTTTTTCTTTCTTTTTGAGACAGAGTCTTGCTCTTTTATCCAAGCTGGAGTACAGTGGCTCTGTTACCCAGGCTGGAGTACAGTGGCTCAATCTCAGCTCACTGCAACCTCTGACCCCCAGGTTCAAGCGATTCTCCTGCCTCAGCCTCCTGAGTAGCTGGGATTACAGGCGCATGCCACCATGCCTGGCTAACTTTTGTATTTTTAGTAGTGACAGGGTTTCACCATGTTGCCCAGGCTGGTCTCAAACTCCTGACCTCAAGTGATCCGCCTGCCTTAGCCTCCCAAAGTGCTGGGATTACAGGTGTGAGCCACTGCACCCAGCCTGAAGTTGGCTTTTTTTTAACTCAGAATAATGACTCTGAGATCCATCTAAGTTGTTGTGTATGCCAATAGTTTTTTCCTTTTTATTGCTGAGTAATACATGATATGGATGTACCAGTTTGTTTTACCGTCCACCTATTGAGAGACTTCTTGATTGTTTTCAGTTTTTGGCTAGCACAAATTAAGCTGCTGTGAACATTCATGTGTTTGTTTTTGGGTGGATGCAAATTTTCATTTTTCTGGGGTAAATATCCAGGAGTGCAACTGCTGTGTTGTATGGTAAATGTCTACTTTTTTTAAAAAAGAAACTGCCTAACTGTCTTGCAAAGTGGCTGTTCTATTTTACTTTCCCACCAGCAATGTATGAGAGATACTGTTTCTCCACATCATCACTGGCATTTGGTATTATCATAGCTTTTTTATTATAGCTGTTCTACTAGGTGTGGAGTGCTATCTCATGGTAATCTTCATTTGCATTTTCCTGTGACTAGTGATATTGAACGTCTTTTCTTTTTTCTTTTTTTGAGATAGCCTTGCTCTGTCACTGAGGCTGGAGTACAGTGGTGCCACCTCTGCTCACTGCAGCCTCTGCCTCCTGGGTTCAAGCGATTCCCCTGCGTCAGCCTCTTTAGTAGCTGGGACTACAGGCAGGCATGACGGGGTTTCACTACGTTGGTCAGGATGGTCTTGATCTCCTGACCTCATGATCTGCCGGCCTCGGGCTCCCAAAGTGCTGGGATTACAGGCATGACCCACCACACCCAGTGTGCTTATGTGCCATCTACATACTCTTTTTGATGAAATGTCTCTTCATAGTTTTTGCCCATTTTCTAATGGAGATGTTTGTTTTTTTATTACTGTTGAGTTTTGTTTTTGTTTTGAGATGGAGTCTTGCTCTGTCACCCAGGTTGGAGTTCAGTGGCGTGATCTCACCTCACTGCAACTTCTGCCTCCCAAGTTCAAGTGATCCTCCTGCCTCAGCCTCCCGAGTGGCTGGGACCACAGGCATGTGCCACCAAGCCCGGCTAATTTTTATATATTTATTAGAGATAGGGTTTTACCGTGTTGGCCAGGCTGGTCTCGAACTCCTGGCCTCAGGTAATCCATCCACCTCGGCCTTCTAATGTGCTGGGATTATAGGAATGAGCACCATGCCTGGCCAAGAGTTCTTTATATATTCTACATAACAGTCTTTGATCTGATATGTGGATATCAGGTATTTTCTTGCAAATATTTTCTTTTAGTTTGTAGCTTGTATTTTTTTCTTTGTTATTATTATTATTATTATTTGAGACAAGGTCTTGCTCTGTCACCCAAACTGGAGTGCAGTGGTGCAATCACGGCTCACTTGCAGCCTTGACCTCCTGGGCTCAAAGTGATCCTCCTACCTCAGTCTCCCAAGTAGCTAGGACCACAGGTGTATGCCATCATGCCTGGCTAAATTTTTTTTTTTTTTTTTTTTTTGGTAGAGATGGCATCTCCCTATGTTTCCCAGGCTGGTCTTGAACCTCTGTGCTCAGGTGATCCTCCCAGCCTCCCCAAGTGCTGGGATTGCAGGGATGAGCCACCACACCCGGTTAATTTTTGTATTTTGTAGAGATGGGGTTTCACCATGTTGCCCAGGTTTGTCTTGAATTCCTGGACTCAAGTGATCTGCCCGCCCCGGCTTCCCAAGGTGCTGAGTTTACAGGTGTGAGCCACCATGCCCCGCACTGAAGGATCTATTTCTAAGGTGGCTCAGTCACATGCTGGGTAAGTGAGTGTTGGTTGTTAGTGGAAAGTCTTAGTTCTCTTCTATATGAGCCTCTCCATAAGGGCTGCTTGAGTGTCTTTATGACATGGTGGTTAGGTTACTCAATAGTAAGCAATCCAAGACAGCAAGGTGAGGGCTGAAATGCCCTTTATGTTCTAGCCTGAGAAGTCACACATTAATGACACAGACTAGCTGTGATTCAGTGAGGTAGGGGACAACTCAAAGGTGTGAATATCCAGAGGCAAGGACATTGGAAACCATCGTGGAGACTGGCTACCACAGCTGGTCAATAGCAGAACTGAATAGATGCAATTCGACACAGTCTGGCTCCAGAGTTAGGAAGCATGAACACCCTCTTATACTGGCTTAGTATGGTAAGATTTGGGCTGCCTGGGAAATGTGACTTCTGTAAAGTAGAAGAAGGGCAACTGAGGAAGGGTAGGTGGCATTTCTATTTTAGGAAAATAGAACAATTTTGAGAAAGGAGCACATGGAAACTGAGTATTTGGTTACTTATTTTCTTAAAAATATCCAGGCTGGGCCGGGCACGGTGGCTCACGCCTGTAATCCCAGCACTTTGGGAGGCCAAGGTAGGTGGATCACAAGGTCAGGAGTTCAAGACCAGCCTGGCCAACATGGTAAAGCCCCGTCTTTACTAAAAAAATACAAAAATTAGTCAGGCATGGTGGTGCGCACCTGTAGTCCCAGCTACTTGGGAGGCTGAGGCAGGAGAATTGCTTGAACCTGGGAGGTGGAGGTTGCAGTGAGCCAAGATCATGCCACTGCACTCCAGCCTGGGCAACAAAGAAAGATTCCGTCTAAAAAAAAAAAAAAAATCCAGGCTGTAAACTTCTTGGAAAGTTGCCTTATACCTCAGCCTGCTGTCCTGAATGACTGTTCCACATCTTCTCCAACCTCCTACACCTTCTGCCCTTCTCCTTCTCTACTGATGACATGGCTTCCTAACCTTCAGAGAAGATTCAGGCACATCTACCCACTGATAGTATCTATGCTTACACATTCTCCCTGCCCTCCTTGAACAGTCTGTGCTCCCAAGGTCAACTCTTTGACTTGGCTACTAGATCTCTTCTCTCAACTACTCAAGGACATTAGGCTTGGCAGCCATTCATCCCTTTATCTGAAATTTGTCTCTCTCTCGGCTCATTCCCATCAGCATATATGTCAGGCTATACTATCTTCCATCTTTTTTTTTTTTTGAGACAGGGTCTTACTTTGTCACCCAGGCTGGAGTGCAGTGGCATGATCTCGGCTCACGGAAGCCTCAACCTCCCAAGTTCAAGCGATCCTCCCAATTTAGCCTCCTGAGTAGCCGGGACTACAGGTGCACACCACCAAGCCTGGCTAACTTTTGTATTTTTTTGTAGAGATGGGGTTTCTCCATGCCCAGGCTGGTCTTGAACTCCTGGGCTCAAGGGATCCGCCTGCCTTGGCCTCCCAAAGTGCTAAGATTATAGGTGTGAGCCACCGCACCCGACCTTGTCTTCCATTTTAAAAGTAAAACAAAAGCAAAAAACTTTCTCAATGCCCTTCCCCCTTCAGCTACTGTCCCAAGTCTCTGCTTCTCTTTAGAGCAAAAAAAAAAAATTTTTTTTTGAGATGGAGTCGCTCTGTTGCCCAGGCTGGAGTGCAGTGGTACAATCTTGGCTCACTGCAACCTCTGCCTCTTGGGTTCAAGCGATTCTCCTGCCTCAGTCTCCTGGTAGCTGGGATTACAGGCATGCACCACCATGCCTGGCTAATTTTTGTATTTTTAGTAGAGACGGGGTTTCACCATGTTGACTAGGCTGGTCTCAAACTCCTGACCTCAGGTGATATGCCCGCCTCGGCCTCCCAAAGTGCTGGGATTACAGGCATGAGCCACAGCGCCCGGCCTACAGCAAAACTTATGGAAAGAATGGTCAGTTATCTGTCTCCACTTTCTCTTCTCTCATTATCTGTGAGCACATTTTAATTAGGCTTTTGCCCACATCGCTCTGCTGAAACTGCTCTTTTCAAAGTAGTCAGTGACTTTCATATTAAATTAAACGGTCATTTCTCAGGCCTTACTCTTCACTTATCATTGTATTGGTTATCTGTTGCTATGTAACAATTACCCTCAAATTTAGTGACTCGAAACAAGAAGCAATTATCTCATAGTTTCTATGGGTCAGAAATCCAGGAATAGCTTAGCTATGTGATTCTGGATTAGGTTCTCTTATGAAGTTTCATTCAAGGTGTTGGCAGGGGTTGTAGTCATGTCAAGTCTTAGAAGGTTGGAGGATCCACTTCCAATATACTCACTCACATGTCTGGCAAATTAGTGTTTGTTTTTGATAGTAGGCCTTAGTTCTTCACCATGTAGACCTCTTCATAAGGTTGCTTGAGCATCCTCACAATATGGCAACTGGCTTCTCCTCTGGGAGAAGGGATTTCAAAGAGAACAAAGCAGAAGTTGAAATATCTTTTATGATCTGGTCTCATAAGTTGCACTCCATTATTTTCGGAATATCTTACTGGTTACACAAGTTAGTCTGATTCAAAGTAGAAAGAGATTACATGGGGACATGTGTACCATGAAGCAAGAGTCATTGGGGGGCCATCTTGGAGGCTAACAGAGTGATTATATGACTCAGTTAATTGCTCCCTTCCCCCTCTCTTTCCTCAATACTCCATCATTCTTGATATAATTTTATTTCTTGACTTTCTGGATACCACATATTCTTGGTTCTCTTCCTACCTCATTGGTTGCTTCTCAGTTTTCTTTCTCTTTATCCTCTCAACCTCAAAGTGTTAGAGCCTCTTAGGGTTCATTTCCCATCTGTAATGGATGCTGTTGTCCTACTTAGATCTCCTTTACAGGGCTAGTTGTACCCATTCCTCAGCTCCTGTGAGTGTTGGCTACTAATGGGTCATCATTTCCTTCTCCTCTGGAGAATTGCTCTCCACAAAGTGGATCTGCTTTGCCTGAGAGATTAACTACTGCTCTCCACTGCCCCGCAGACCTGTCATTGACTAATGACTAATGACTAATGACTAATGACTAAACGAGGTCAAGTAAAAAAGGCCAATTCCTTGCCTTGGTAGAACCAGCTTTGTGGAATAATTCATGCTCCAGAGTTCTCACAGGATCAAACTAAAGACCATATCTTTGCCTAGCTCTTTCTCCTGTCCTATTCTGTTTCCCTCACTCGTTTTCTCCTGACAGCACTCCCTCAAAGATCACATACACTCGAATCCCTATCTCAGTTCTGCTTCTAGGGATTCTGATCTAAGACACCAACCCACTTTTTTTCTGTTTATACTCATTCCCTAGGCTTCCACTGCTCTTCAAACATACCAAGGGTCTGTGCCACCTCAGAATCTTTCTCTCTGCCTGTCACCCACATCCCCAGATATCTGCATGGTTCAATTCCTCACTTCCTTCAGGTCTCTGCCCAAAGTTCACTTTATCAGAGAGGTCTTCCCTGTCCGCCTTATATAAATAGATGTATATCTCCATCTATCACTCTCTAACCCCCTATCAGATTAATTTTTTCAAAATGCATATTACCATTTGAGACATCATCTATCTACTTTTTATTTGTTTAGTGTCTGTCCCCTCCTCCGCTAGGCTATAAGTTCCATGAGAGCAGGGATTTTATTATTTTTGCTCATTGTCATTTTCCCAGTGCATAGAACAGTGCCTGACACATAGTAATTACTCAATAAATTATTTGTTGAATGAATGAATAAATGGACTCATTAATAGGGGAAACTGGGCCAACCTATAAAAAGCTTCCTTGTTCCCACCTATTCTCCCAACAGCCCTGCAGTGGGAAACTGGGCAAGCTCATAGCAGCAGCTAGAAATACCACTTTTGAAAAATAACAACAATATCTGTACCTAATTGAGTGCCTATTATGTGTCCAATACTGTTCTTGGCACTTTCACACATTAGCTCTAATCTTTAGAACTACCCTGCAAACTGGGTATAGAGCATGGTGGTTAACCAACCAAACTTTGGAGACAACGATTAAAATCTTGCCTCTGCTACTCTGTAACTATGTGATCTTGGGCAAGTTTTTGAGCTTGAAGAGTCCTAAATGTGGTTAATAATAGATCCCACCTCCAAGTGGCCAGCTCCTGGTACTATCACAATGTGTCCATGTTTGTCTCCTCCACCAGAGCAAAGTTCCTGAAAGTAATAACAGAGTCTCTTTCACAGAGTGGGTGGGAAGATTAAATGAGACAACGTATTCAAAAGATCTAGCAAATTGCCTGGAATATATTAGTTGCTTAATAACTCTTACTATTATTATTATACCATTTTTCAGATGAAAAAACACCAGTGATGTGGCTGGACTCCAGGGTGAATGGCCATGTCAGACCCCAGAGATGCTGCATCCTTAACCTTATTCTCCCAGCCTCAAAGATTCCCTAGGCATGGCAGGCTATGAAGCAGAGACACGAATCAAGGTGATGAGGGCTGGGGCATTAAATGGTAACCTGGATGGACAGTAGACTAGGAGGCTCCTCTAATGCCATATCACTGCAGGAGTCGCAGAACGTTGGCACAATTCAGGGAAGTCCCCCTAAGTTGAATTGACAGCCATTTTGATGGGATAGAGACTAAAGGTTGAAGTTAATTTGATTTCCAGAATATGAAGAAATTAGATGTTTTGGGCATGTATAAGTTTATGAACTGAGATTCAAACTCACAATATCAATAGTACAAAGCACTGTGTAATAAAGCCAAGCAATCAGCGCAATGGCTTTTCCTGGAATTCAGAGGAGAGAGATCATTGAGAGCAATCAAGAAAGGTTTCCTGGAGGATGGGACCTGGAACAATAATAGTACTACTAATAACTATTTATGGAGGGCTTGATTCTTTATATATTATTGATATGGTTTGGCTGTATCCCCACCCAAATCTCATCTTGTAGTTTCCATAATCCCCACCTGTCGTGGGAGGGACCCAGTGGGAGGTAATTGAATCGTGGGGGTAGTTACCTCCATGCTGTTCTCATGATAGTGAGTTCTCACGAGATATGATGGTTTTAAAAGGGGCTTTTCCCTTTTCACTCATTCTTCTTCTCCCTGCTGCCATGTGAAGAAGGACACGTTTGCTTCCCTTTCTGCCATGATAGTAAGTTTCCTGAGACCTCCCCAGCCATGCTGAATTGAGTCAATTAAACCTCTTTCCTTTATAAATTACCCAGTCTCGTGTATGTATTCACAGCAGCAAAAAATGGACTAATACAATTACTTCTTTTAAAGTATTCACAATAAACTAGCAATATATGTAAATGTTATCATCTCCATTTCACAGATAAGGAAACTGAAGCTCAGAGAGTGTAAGTAACTTTCTCATTATCATAAAGCTAATAAGTAGTTTGAGTCAGGATTTGAACCTAGGTCTATCTCTGGTCCTATGGAAACATGCCCATGGCCCATCCCTTTCCACACTTGAGTGCCTGTCTTGAAGGATCAAGCTGAAACTCAGCTCCCTCCCCTTGACAGTGACATACCCAGCAATCCCAAGTGGATTCCCACAGCACTTTGATACCACCTCCAAGTGGCCACTTCCTGGAACTCTCACAATGTGTCCATGTTTGTTTCCTCCACCAGAGCAAAGTTTCTGAAAAATCAGAGACATGTCTTATTCGTCTCTATCCTCATCAATTTTGCAGTACTTGGCACTCAGTAGGCATCAAAATATTGAAAAAAATTGATGAAGGAAAAAATAAATATTAAATACTGTGATACCAAAAAGCATCTTTTTGGGGTTTTTTAAAAGTATGCCTTGAGTTTCTCATGATTTTAAACATATATTTGATATGACTTTTTTTTTCTTTTTTGAGACAGAGTTGCCCTCTGTTGCCCAGGCTGGAGTGCAGTGGCGCTATCTCGGCTCACTGCAACCTCCGCCTCCCAGGTTCAAGTGATTCTTCTGCCTCAGCCTCCCCAAGCAGCTGGAATTACAGGTGCCTGCCACTAGGCCCAGCTCATTTTTTGTATTTTTAGTAGAGACAGGGTTTCACCATGTTGTCCAGGCTGGTCTCGAACTCCTGACCTCAAATGATCTGCCCGCTTTGGCCTCCCAAAATGCTGGTATTACAGGTGTGAGCCACCGCACCCCGCCCGATATGACATTTTAATTTCTTTCATGATTCGTGGTATTGTTGGAGAGACATCATTTATAGATATAAGAGGGACTATAAATAAACATATGAAAATGAAAAAGTATGAGATAGTAAATGATAATGCACTAACTTGCATGGATTCTTTAATAATGCAATACAAGTTTAGAAAATATAGAGATTGGTGTGATTTTAGGTGGTATAGGGAAAGAGAACTGAGGACAGCTTTCTGAAATGCTGTATTTGCTAGTTCTCAGTTGCAAGCAACGGAAATAGATTCTGAATAATTTAAGCTACAGAGCAGTTCACAGAAACACTGGGAAACCTGGAGAACCAGGCTCAGAGCCTAAACAGATATAACCACAGCCAAAACTACTCCAAAAGATAGTGTTTGGTGAAGAGTCTGCTGTCCACTATATGCCACATCTCACATCACTGACACCATCAGGCCAGGGACCTGAGCTTGGCACTGCTGCTAGAGCTGCATGAAAATTGGAAGTTGCTGTCACCAGGAACACCCTTCCCTTAACTCTGCTTATTTTCGTTAGTAACTCCAGAGTCAAGGCTAGGATAGCTGCATCTGACTGGCCCAGCCTAGGACAGTGCCAGCTCTGGCCGCAAAGGAGGCTGGGAAAGCACGGATCTGGTGTTTTCAGCATCTCTAGTGATAAGTAGGATCTGCTTCATATAAGATTCTTGGGGTCTTTTTTGTTTGTTTGTGTTTTTGAGACAGAGTCTCGATCTGTCACCCAGGCTGGAGTGCAGTGGTGTGATCTTGGCTCATTGCAATCTCTGCCTCCTGGGTTCAAGTGACTTTCGTGTCTCAGCCTCAGCCTCCTAAACACTTGGGATTACAGGCGCGTGTTACCCCGCCCGGCTAATTTTTTGTATTTTTAGTAGAGATGGGGTTTCACCATGTTGGCCCATCTGGTCTTGAACTCCTGGCCTTAAGTGATCCCCCCACCTAGGTATCCCAAAGTGCTGGGATTACAGGCGTGAGCCACCGTGCCTGGCCTATATACAATTCTTTTTGTCTTTTTCTTTTCTTTTTTTTTTTTTTTTTTTGAGACGGAGTTTCACTCTTGTTGCCCAGGCTGGAGTGCAATGGCATGATCTCGGCTCACTGCAACCTCTGCCTCCTGGGTTCAAGCGATTCTCCTGCCTCAGCCTCCCGGAAGTAGCTGGGATTACAGGCACCCGCCACCATGAGCAGCTAATGTTTTGTATATTTAGTAGAGACAGGGTTTCGCCATGTTGGCCAGGCTTGTCTCAAACTCCTGACCTCAGGTGATCCACATGCCTCGGTCTCCCAAAGTGCTGGGGTTACAGGCGTGAGCCACCACGCCTGGCCTATAAGATTCTTAAAGTGGGAAATTCTCATGGGCTGAGCAGCCTCCACCCCTATCTCCCAAAAAAGAAATGTCTACTGCAGTTGGCCAAATCTAGAGGGCAGGAAAAGGAAGAGGGATGGTTAGACAAGAGATCAAGGAGTGGCCCAGGGCAGTGGAAAGAGCCTTGAGGAAGCCTGGGAGGAGTTTTTGAGGAGGGAAAGGTAAGGTGCTAAGTGCTTTGGAGGGTTCTAGGGAGAGTGGAAGTATTTGGATAGAAAGTGGTGTTCTGTGACCTCACCAAGAGCAATTTTACTCAAGTGTGGAGGTAGAAGCCAATCATAGGAAATTATAGAGAAAACTAAAGTAAAAACATAGAGGAATCTCTCAAAAATATTGGGGACATTTGCCCCTATTAATCATCACGAAGACACAATCCAATGTCATCAATTCATCACTCATTCCATGACATGATTTGGCTGTGTTTCCACCTGTGTAGGGAAGGGAAGTAGAAAGTTGCCAGAATATGCCAGGTGCAGTGGTGCATGCCTATAATCTCAGCACTTTAGGAGGCTGAGGTGAGAGGACTGCTTGAGTCCAGGAGGTTGAGGCTGCAGTGAGCCATGATCAGACCACTGCACTCTGGCCTGGGCAATAGAAAGAAAGAAGAAAGGAAGAAGTGTGAGAAACGAACTCACCCATCCAAACCCAAAGAATGGACTCAGAGACCCAGAGAACAGTGAAAGTGAGACTTTTGATGACAGTCTTGCAAGATTGGGTGTCTGATAGGCAGGTACACCCAGCACAGTTTCAACAAGCAATTTATCCCCTCATGCACAGGTCCCTCTCCCAGTTCCTCATAGGCTGAGTACTATGTGGTCACAGTCTTCCCAGATGTTGCCTATTGATTGTTGGGTAGGGGCTTTAGGTGTTTTTTTGGCGGGGGGCGGGGGTTGTCTTGTGCATTTTATTGCAGCCCACAATGTGTTGCAATCCTAGTTAGCTCAAGGGCTCTTTAAGTATTTGACTTATGACCTAAGTAGCTGGACAGACTGATAAAAACAGACAAAGTAAGCTATTTTGCAGACTAGTAAATTTTTATCTTAAACTTCTTTGGTTCAGGTGAAGACAACTAAGGCAGGTGGGGAGGCTGACAAGCAGGCATTGGCTATCCAAGCAGGGGCCTAGTATATCCTGTTTCTTCTGTAGTTTGCTCACCTAAGCCAATTCAAGGCATTTTGTCTTGGAAATGGACCAGTGTATGCATTATTTCCTTCAATTCCCTCCTCTTTTTCTTTTTACTCCTATTGGTCCCATTTTCACATTTATGTTTGTGTCCTTTGGTTCTTAAATTTATTAGGTACTCCTCTAGGGACTCCTATTGAGTTAATACAAGTGCTGGGGTTAAAATAATTTGTTAGATCTCTCCAACTTCAGTGGCCACGTGGATTCTCGGGAATCTTATGGAATGCCAGGGTGAAGGGAATGGCCACTTGAACTAAAGCACAAGTTCCAGTCCAATTGGACAATAACAAGTTAGAGAGGTTTCTCTTCCCATAGTACCACCAGACATCAGCCTGGGGTATACGAAATGCTGAGTAGTTGCCTTTATTTGACTCACCAGTAATGTTTAGGATGTGGGTACAAGCTGAGAGTTTTCCCACAGGCTTACTGAACTCTGCCCCCTGCCTAGAGAGGCAAGAGGAGTGGTTCATATTCCCTTTGGAGAACAAGGGGATTGCTCTAGGGTCTGATCTCTGTAAGGCGGGAAAGAGCAATGATAGACTTTTGTAAGTCTTATTTCCCCATGCATTCGTGTCCTGGTATAGAGCCAACATGCAACACATTCCGTCGGGATTGGTATCCCATCCTAGGGAAATGGAACCACCTGTGCCTGAGGCTGCCCAGCACAGCATGCGTAACAGTTGGTCTTATTAAGAGCTAGTACTGGCCAGGTGCGGTGGTTCACGCCTGTAATCTTAGCACTTTGGGAGGCTGAGGCAGGTGGATTGCCTGATTCAGCAGTTTGAGACCAGCATGGGCAACATGGTGAAACCCCATCTCTACTAAAATACAGAAAAAAAAAAAATTAACCGGGCGTGGCATTGTGCGAGTAGCTGAGTAGTCCCAGCTACTCAGGAGGCTGAGGCAGGAGAATTGCTTGAACCCAGGAGGTGGAGGTTGCAGTGAGCTGAGATCGTGCCACTGCACTCCAGCCTGGCAACAGAGCGAGACTCCATCTCAAAAAAAAAAAAAAAAAAAGGAGCTAGTACCAAAAATTTGACCCATTCAACAGGCATTTACATCCCCATATTCAGTCTCAATTTCTAAAGTCTGCCTCAAGTCAGTTACCTTAATTATTTTTATTCTCTTAGAGTTATTGTCTGGTGGATTAAAGGAGGTAGTGGGAGGCCGGGTGTGGTGGCTTGCGCCTGTAATCGCAGCCCTTTGGAGGCCGAGGCGGGCGGATCACGAGGTCAGGAGATAAACCATCCTGGCTAACACTGTGAAACCCCGTCTCTACTAAAAATACAAAAAAAAAAATTAGCCAGCTGTGGTGGCGGGCACCTGTAGTCCCAGCTACTTGGGAGGCTGAGGCAGGAGAATGGCTTGAACCCGGGAGGCAGAGCTTGCAGTGAGCCGAGATCGCGCCACTGCACTACAGCCTGGGGGACACAGTGAGATTCCGTCTCAAAAAAAAAAAAAAAAAAGGAGGTAGCGGGACCAGGAGTTATAGTAATCCTGGGTGGGCTCGGGGTGGAGTTGGTGACTAGCCTAAGAGCAAACCGTTCCACCAGATTGCTTCCTGAGATATCTGTTCCTAATACCTACCTCCAAGGTTCCCGGTCAAGAGTAGCTGGGTTGTTTATCGTAATTAATATAGGATTGCATTCTAAATTTCTACAGTTAGGTGGCGTAGGGCCCTTAAACAAATGTATTTTATTCTATAAGGGTTTGTTTTTGGAAGAATGACTCACCCAACTTTGATATTGAGTGGTCCACCAGACCTGATTCCAGCTAGCACAGGGCTTTTCTGAGAGGGCCCAATAACAGTCTGTTTTAGGACATAGATCTTTGTCTGCTTGTGACAACTGTCTGTGGTTCCCTAAATTCCCACAAGGTAAGACTTGGCAGGTATTAAATTTTATAGTTTGGGGCAGGGTGGAGGTCTTGGTTATGTTGACTATTAGTTTGGATATTCCCTACTTTCCACCCCTAGTACTGGGCCCTATTCAATACTTAGGTCTTCTTTCACCCCTTGTATTAGGATTAATCCTAACCATATCCACCCCCAAGGACGGAGCCTGCTTATAGCTTCCTTTTAGGTTTTCCTTAGAGTTAGCTTTAAGGGTTCCTTAGGTGATCTATACACTTCCCATTCACCTTTTTCCCTTCCTTCTGGGGTTTCTTTTACCAGTCTCTTGACCCGAGTGTGAGTGTCCACCCCGTTCAGCTGTTCCTACGGCTGTCTCAGTGATCACGAGCACTTGATAGGAACCTTCCCAGCTTGGGTGGAGATTGTCTTCCTTCCAAGTCTTAATTAGCACCAAGTCGCCAGGCTGGAAGTGGTGACCTGTGAATTCAAGAGGCAGGGTTTGAGTTAGAAGTCTTTTTAACCTAAGGGATGACAGGGTGGAGGATATGGCCGGTATGTAATTTCTTTTTTTTTTTTTTTAAGACAGAGTCTCGCTCTGTTGCCCAGGCTGGAGTGCAGTGGAGCGATCTCGGCTCACTGCAAGCTCTGCCTCCTGGGTTCATGCCATTCTCCTGCCTCAGCCTCCCGAGTAGCTGGGCCTACAGGCACCTGCCACCATGCCTGGCTAATTTTTTTTTTTTTTTTGTATTTTTAGTAGAGATGGGGTTTCACCGTGTTAGCCAGGATGGTCTTGATCTCCTGACCTCATGATCTGCCCGCCTCAACCTCCCAAAGTGCTGGGATTACAGGCTATAATTTCTTAAAAATTGGTCTTTGGTTTCCATAGTAGGAAGGTCAGTAGTTCTGCCTAAATACAGGAATGCTTTGTAATGGCCTTAACCCAGGAGGTCTTCCTCCAGTACTCTGTTTTCTAACTACCTTTTTGTTTATTTTTTGGCAGGTTACACAACCCCCACACACTTGTTTAGCAAGGGTATAAATCCCTATACACCCATAATTTTTGAGTATTGCATCACACATGGCCTGGGGACCCCAGTGACTTCCCTTATGCAGTATGGACATTAGTTGTCTCATAAGGGGTTTGTTTATCATTTCTCTCCCATTACAGAGCACCCACCTTCCATCCTCAGTATGAGTGGCTCCTATCTTGCCCAGTTCTTCCTCCTCCTCTTTAGAAAATTGGGGTCTTAATACCACCTTAGGGATATCTGGGATTGGGCTAAACAGTCTAACTTCTTCCTCCAGGAGACTTGATTAGCAGCTTCACCGGCAAGCCTGTTCCCTACAGCTTCTATAGTGTTTCCTTTCTGATGGCCACTTACATCAACTACGGCTACCTCTGCGGGAAGCAGGAGGCTTTTTAAAACTTGTTTGACCAGTTCCCCATGTACCAGTTCGTTCCCCCCGTGCTATTTATTAGGCCGTGCTTTGTCCAGATTTTTTTCAGAAGTGTGTATTACTCCACAGGCATATTTGGAATTAGTATATAGTGCCTTCTTGGCCTTCTAGGAGCTTTAGGGCCTGGTTAAGAGCATATAATTCACAGGTTTGGGTTGACCAGTTATTGGGTAATCTACCTTTTTCACATAGGATTGTTTGTTTCCATTAATGACAGCATAGCCGTCGTGTCTTTTACCATCTATCACTCGGGATGACCCATCCACAAACAGCCTTATTCCATCATGTAGTGGAGTTTCTTTAAGGTCTGATCTAACTTTAGTTTGATATTCTATGATAGCTAAACAGTTACAGTCTGATGGCTTCTTATTATCCTCTCCTTTCCATGAAAAACTGGCTGGAGTTAGGTTAGGCACCTCCCCAAGGCCCGTTGACCCCAGAGGAACTTGGGGAGGCAAAGGCCTGACCAGCTGGCCTCCCAGGGTGCCTTTGGCCAGGCCCTGCTGGGTCTGGCTCTGGGCCAAGAGCTGCCAGCCTGTGGTGCCTTCCCTGATGGGCACACTCATTAGCAAAGGCATCCCTGGCTCTGGCCTCCCTTCCTCTTTCTTTGCTTCGAAGGCACCATCCATCTTCCTGGCAGGCCGAGAGCTGCACTGTTTTTATTTGATGCCACCCCTGCTGATGACCCAGCAACTGCAAAGGGTCTCTGGTTTGTCCCGCTCTGGGAGGGGGCTTTTTCTCCTCCTCAGCTGCAAGAATCCTCCCCTGGCCCAGCCTGGCTCTGGGAAACAGAACTTTCTTTCTTTCTTTTCTTTTTTTTTTTTTTTGAGACGGAGTCTAGCTTTGTTGCCAGGCTGGAGTGCAGTGGCGCGATCTTGACTCACTGCAACCTCCGCCTCCCGGGTTCAAGTGATTCTCCTGCCTCAGCCTCCCGAGTAGCTGGGATTACAGGCACGTGCCGCCCCATCCAGCTAATTTTTGTATTTTTAGTAAAGACGTGGTTTCACCATGTTGGCCAGGCTGGTCTCCTGACCTCAAGTGATCCGCCCACCTCGGCCTCCCAAAGTGCTGGGATTACAGGCATGAGCCACCACACCCAGCCGGAAACAGAACTTTCATACATCCCACCTCAAAGCATCTTGTCCGACTTCTCCCCAGCACGAGCTCTCTCTACTTCAGGGACTGCAAACTGGCATCCTCTCTCGCCTGTATTGGGTTTTTAAGTTTTTTGAACTGATCCCCAGCATTTAAAAATCATATTTCATGTAAAAAGTCAGAATTCTGGCCTCTGAGAAAGCAGACAATTTGGCAACACAGGGCCAGCACTGTAAGAACAGCCGAGCACTGCGGCCCCTTTAACACGGTGTGCCCTCTTCAGTTAGCCACAGTCCCCACCCAGCCCTGCAGCCCTCCTTCTCATCTTTTGCTGGCCCTGTAGTCCTTTGAGTTTACAACCCTAGTTCTGATCTTCCTTATGTAGCCTGCCAGCCCTTCTGCAGACTTACTGGCAGCTGCCCCTGGTGGACTTACAGCCTCTCAGTAAAACAACAACAAAACCTTAATGGTCATCTCATCCATTTACCCTTCCATAACCTGAATCCTCTCTACCACCTCCTGACAAACAGCCATCTGGTTTTTTTTTTTTTTTTTTAGATGGAGTCTTGTTCTGTCACCAGGCTGGAGTGGAGTGCAGTGGCGACTTCTTGGCTCACTGCAACCTCCGCCTCCCGGGTTCAAGCAATTCTCCTGCCTCAGCCTCCCAAGTAGCTGAGACTACAGGCATGTGCCACCACGCCCAGCTAATTTTTGTATTTTTAGTAAAGACGAGGTTTCACCACGTTGGCCAAGATGGTCTCAGTCTCTTGATCTCGTGATCTGCCAGCCTCGGCCTCCCAAAGTGCTGGGATTGCAGGCATGAGCCACCGTGCCTGGCCTGCCATCTGGTCTTTGTTGTAGGCAACCCATTACTCCTCAAGCAACCTGATCCTAAGCTCTCCTTCACATCCGTTTCTCACTTGCATCGCCCAGTTCCTGAGCTCTGTCCTTCCTTAGTGGCCGCACTGTAACCTTTCCCTGCACCTCCTTGCTGCTTGAGCCTCTAGAACCTTCCCCCAGCCCAGCCAACTTCTCGGCATCCTCTCACTTCTTCTTGTACTCTTTCTTCCTTTTACATTATTTTTCTCCCAAGTCTCACCTTCTGTGTCTCTCTTTGATCTCTGGCTTTTCCAGTCTTTCTCTCTCTCTCTTACTCATTTTTCTTTTTCTTTTTTTTTTTTTTTTTGAGATGGAGTCTCGCTCTGTCGCCCAAGCTGGAGTGCAGTGGCGTGATCTCAGCTCACTGCAAACTCCGCCTCCCAGGTTCATGCCGTTCTCCTGCCTCAGCTTCCCAAGTAGCTGGGACAACAGGTGCCCGCCACCGTACCTGGCTAATTTTTTTGTATTTTTAGTAGAGACGGGGTTTCACCGTGTTAGCCAGGATGGTCTCGATCTCCTGACCTCGTGATCCGCCCGTCTCGGCCTCCCAAAATGCTGGGATTACAGGCGTGAGCCACCGCGCCCAGCCCCTTACTCATTTTTCTTCTTCTGTCTCTCTCTCTGTCATCCCGTTTCCTTTCTCCCTCATACTCAGTTTCTTCCTCTTTCTCTCTCTGGGCACGAGCTGAGCCGTGCTGTACCCTGGCTCCCCACTTTCTGTCTGCAAAGATGAACAGCTCTGGCTCTCTTCTTTTTCTCTGGGCACCAGTGCACCTGCACAGTGTCTTACACTGTCTACCCTGTCTCAGCTGCTTAGTCCAATGGCTCCCACACACACAGATGCATGGCCAGCTCTCCCTTGCCTTCAGGGTCAGCAGCTTAACTTTCTCTCTCTCTCTCTCTCTCTCTGGCCCTCCATATTTGCCGTTTCCTCCCCTTTCTCTTTCTGATTTTCTTTCTTACTTGTTCTCTTTCTCTGTAGCAGGACGAGCCGCAGACAAAACTCCTCAGACACCGAGTTAAAAAGGAAGGAGTTTATTCGGCCGGGAGCATCGTCAAGACTCCTGTCTCCAGAGCCGAGCTCCCCGAGTGAGCAATTCCTGTCCCTTTTAAGGACTCACAACTCTAAGGGGGTCCGTGTGAGAGGGTTGTGATCAATTGAGTAAGCAGGGGGTACGTGACTGGGGGCTGCATGCGCTGGTAATCAGAACGAAACAGAACAGGACAGGGATTTTTACAATGCTCTTC